>NC_000002.12:95804283-96131350 GCF_000001405.40 Homo sapiens
TTTTAAGTCTAACATTTAAGTCTTTAATCCATCTTGAATTAATTTTTGTATAAGGTGTCAGGAAGGGATCCAGTTTCAGCTTTCTACATACGGCTAGCCAGTTTTCCCAGCACCATTTATTTAATAGGGAATCCTTTCCCCATTTCTTGTTTTTGTCAGGTTTATCAAAGATCAGATGGTTGTAGATGTGTGGTATTATTTCTGAGGGCTCTGTTCTGTTCCATTGGTCTGTATCTCTGCTGGGACGTATCTCAAAATAATAAGAGCTATTTATGACAAACCCACAGCCAATATCATACTTAATTGGGAAAAACTAGAAGCATTCCCTTTGAAAACTGGCATAAGACAGGGATGCCCTCTCTCACCACTTCTATTCAACGTAGTGTTGGAAGTTCTGGCCAGGGCAATCAGGCAGGAGAAAGAAATAAAGGGTATTCAATTAGGAAAAGAGGAAGTCAAATTGTCCCTGTTTGCAGTTGACATGATTGTATATCTAGAAAACCCCATTGTCTCAGCCCAAAATCTCCTTAAGCTGATCAGCAACTTCAGCAAAGTCTCAGGAGACAAAATCAGTGTGCAAAAATCACAAGCATTCTTATACACCAATAACAGACAAACAGAGAGCCAAATCATGAGTGAACTCCCATTCACAATTGCTTCAAAGAGAATAAAATACCTAGGAATCCAACTCACAAGGGACATAAAGGACCTCTTCGAGGAGAACTACAAACCACTGCTCAACGGAATAAAAGAGGACACAAACAAATGGAAGCACATTCCATGCTCATGGATGGGAAGAATCAATATTGTGAAAATGGCCATACTGCCCAAGGTAATTTATAGATTCAGTGCCGTCCCCATCAAGCTACCAATGATTTTCTTCACAAAATTGGGAAAAACTACTTTAAAGTTCATATGGAACCAAAAAAGAGCCCGCATTGCCAAGTCAATCCTAAGCCAGAAGAACAAAGCTGGAGGCATCACGCTACCTGACTTCAAACTATACCACAAGGCTACAGTAACCAAAACAGCATGGTACTGGTACCAAAACAGAGATAAATTGGAAATCTAACAGAAGCATGTAGAACTACTTATCAAGCCCAAGTCACTTTTAGATATTTGAGAATGTGTACAAACCATATGGGTCTATTTTCCCCAAAAGTATGTTTTTTGCAGTAGTGGTTAGGAGTATTCTTTTGTGAGATGGTATTTTTCTTAACCAACCACCATTTAGATTCTCGGTTCTCTTAACTTTTAGGTTAACAACTCAATACATCTTCCAAGTGTCCTCGTATACTTTTTCTGGTTTGACTATTAGTTTAGGTGGTGCCTATGGCCCATTCAAACTCTGAGACGCTGAGGCTCTGATGTGTATCCATCTGGTTAGAGTATGTATGAGTAAAGCCAAGGTCAGTCAATGACTTGACCTCACTACCTTTTCCAAAATTTCTAGTTCTAACATTGGCTAGCAATTTTGAATGCTTGTCAGACAAATACCTCAGAGTCCTTGCCCTGCTAATGCAGTCGTTATTAATAGTGAAAATTACATTGTGTTGCCTTATTTAATGATGTTAACTGAGTAAGCATTTATAGAGCACCTATTCTGGGAAAGATTAAAAATATACAAAGTGATAATAAATGGTCTCGTCTTAAGAAGCTTAAGAGGAAATATGACATATTAACAAGTTGCCATGAATTAACGCATCATATAATAATACAATAAGAGAGTATAAACTATTTTAATAAACATGTTCTACAAAATGGAGCATTTGGATCCTGAAAGGGGGCTAGAATTTAAAAGTATGAGTTGAGAGAGAAAGCATTCCAGTCAGAGGTACCAGCAGAAAAAGTAGCTCTGAGACAGGCATTGGAATTATCAAATATATTTTTCTTCAGATTTTATGAAAGTATGCTTATCCATGAATGCTGAAGTGCTTATCTATGTCAACATTTTGTTAAAGAGTTACTCAAGCTCAGAAAATGTAGGGAAATTTTATTTATATTTTCTCAGAAAATATATTTATTGATATTTTCTGAGAAAATATAGAAAATATAGGGAATTTTTAGTTTATATTCTTTGATTTTACCATGAATCTGAATTTCTGTTATTTAATTGTTTAAATAGTTACTTTAATTTTTGTGTTAAAGATAACGCATTATAGAATATCTAATTTACTTATCACCTTCAGGAAAATCAAATAAGCATTTGTGAAGTGTCAACTATTTTCTCTGCAGTGGTGCTTTTCAAACTACCCAGAGTGAAAGACTTTTATTTTTTGTAAAATGTAAAATACTGTGGCAATGTCAGATTGCTATAAAAGGTTTTCAAATCTGTACTTCCAGGTACTTCAAAATTAGTTTGCAGATTAGTACCAGTGGTCTTAGTACAATTTGAGTAGCTACAGTAAGTAAGGAGTCGATACAAAAGAAATACAGCATATTGTCACCATCATTGGTGTAAGAATGTTCTGGGGAGGACTAGGCTTACCTATGTAACCAGTGGAAAATGCAGCATATGGTACAATTACTAAAGATAAATATAGACATAAAGAAGAGCGATGATAAAAGCTGTTCTGGATCCCAGTTAAAATCTTTGGGGTTACTGCTTAACTCTCTGGACTCACAGCCCCGACCCACCATCCCCAATGTGCAGTTTCACTCATGGAAAAAAAGTTTCTAGACCAGCAGCTGAGGATGCATTTGCTCTATGTTCAGCCCACTCAAAATACAGTTCTGTAATCAGAATACAAAAACAACCACCAACAACATCAGCCCAACTTTCTTTACTGTGTTTCATTTAATGCTGAAATCAGACAATGATTAGAACATGAAACTTTGTTTGAAAAAGTATATTCAATAAATTTTGTCTTTAAAACAGAGCTCTTGACCTATAAAGTATAAAAAGTAATTACAATGAAATATTCTTCAGTAAATCTGACACTTTGGGATTCCAGGCAAAAGGATCGCTTGGGTGCCAAGAGTTCAAGACCAGCCTGGTCAACATAGTGAGATTCTATCTCTGAAAAAAAAAAAAGAACAAAAAACAAAAGTTAAACAAATCAATAAATCTGAGATGCACTGGTATAATTCACTGGCTTGCCCAGTTGGTACTCTCTTAGCCATGGCTATTCCTGATGACTAACTGGCAGTAAAAGCCAGGAAATTATGGAGGTCTACTGAGGAGCCCCCTCTCGAAGTGAAGTTTTCCCATTATTTACACTTAAGAAAAAATTAATGTGAGATTGGATTTTAAACGTCCCCATTAAAAACAGAAGAATGGAGGGAAAAAGGTGGGTGGGGAGGGAGAGAGAGATCTGAATAAAACATTTACTTTATCATTTATCTTTTAAAATGACATGGAATGCCAATTCCAAAATCACTTAATTTTTAGAACCACTGCAATCTAAACACTGTCATCAGAAACATGCCAAGTGTTGGTTCTCTGTGGTAGGTCTCCCATCTTATATTTTCACTGTATTAAACTTGACCCTTGCATGGGTTTACCCTCCAGCCTGTGGGCCTTCACTAACTAGGACCCCATCTACCTGCATGTTTTTTGCTCTGCACTTTCTTTGCCATTCACTGGCCCCTTCTTTAGTGTTTGGTCTTCAGGTCACCACTTTCCCTTTTAGCTAATTCCATTACTCTGATTTTCTCTGTTCCTTTAGCTACCCTATCCTAGAACAACTCTCCCAGGGATGAAAATGGGGACTTCAGAATTGAGAAATGGAAGATGTTACGACAACCTTCCTATCTTATTTTTTTGGTAAACTCACTCTTTCCCTGTCTCTATCTCTCTCTCTCTCTCTCACACACACACACACACACACACACACACACACACACAGAAATTTACAGGGTAAGAGAAATTAGGAAGATAAATTTGGTGGTAGAGTCAAGAAGAGGTTGAAGAGGTGCTAATATTAAAAGAGAGATTTGAATAAAATGTTTTTAGAATTCATAGGTATTATGATATTCTATTGTAAAATGCTATTGGTTAAAATTATCTTTGTATGGGCAAACTGAGTCTCTGTCTCCAACTGTCTGTGAACAAGCTATTCAGTTCACTAAACCTCAGCACCTCATCTGTGGAATGAGCACCATAGTAGCTCCTGTCATAAAGGTTAAATGATTTTGTAAAGGACAGATTACAAAGTATATATAAAGTATTTGATTTTTTTGTTATTAAAATACTTATAATGTCTGTAATATTTTTAAAGTAAAGAGGTATAATGATTTATACTTCTCTTTATTCTAGAAACTGATTCTTAGTTGAGCTCAGAGGTTTTTCAACTTTTCTTTCAAATATTGAGATAAATAACATTGATCTATCTATTTATCTATCTATCTATTTTGAGATAGGATCCTACTTTGTCACCGAGGCTGAAGTGCAGTGGCCTTTGTCTTCCAGGCTCAGGTAGGATCCTCCTACCTCATCCTCCCAAATATCTGGGACTACCAGTGTGTGACACCACCCCCAGCTAATGTTTTTGATTTTTTTGTAGAGATGAGGTCTCACTATGCTGACAAAGCTGGTTTTGAACTCAAGCAGTCCTCGTGTCTTGGCCTCCCAAAATGCTGAGATTACAGGCATAAGCCACTGTGCCTGGCCTTTTATTTTATATAGATCACCGTCCCTTACTGAGTATCACATAACTGTTATTATAAACCTTGAATAAGAGATTACATGTTTTGGCCAGGCATGGTGGCTCATGCCTGTAATCCCAGCACTTTTGGAGGCCAAAGTGGGCAGATCACCTGAGGTCAGGAATTCGAGACCAGCCTGGCCAAAATGGTGAAACCCCATCTCTACTCAAAATACAAAAAAAAAAAAAAAAAATTAGCCAGGTATGGTGGCACATGCCTGTAGTCCCAGCTACTGGGGAGGCTGAGGCAGAAGAATTGCTTGAACTCAGAAGGCAGAAGTTGCAGTGAGCTGAGACCATCCCACTGCACTCCAGCCTGGGCAAATGAGTGAGAATCCATCTTTAAAAAAAAAAAGATTACATATTTCATACAGTATTCCAAAACCAAAAACACTATGCTTTGCTTTTCATTACCATGAATCTATAAGTTATTAAGCTTTCAGTACTGCAAATATTGTCACATATTAACAGTTTGACTTGAAAATACGTGTAATTTTTACTAAAAATAGAAAAGAAAGGCCTTGTCTTTAGAAGCTTCCAAGGAACATTATAACAGAAGTTATATTTTCCACAATTTTGGTTCAATTAATCTTATATATTGCAACTGACTTAAATAAAATTTTAATTTTTGAACACTTTAAGGTTTACAGAAACATTGTGAAAATAGTATAATATTCCTGGTAAGTACCCAAACTCTGCTTTCTCTATTACTAAAATTTTATATTAGTGTGGTGCATTCATTACAATTAAGGCATCAATATTGTTATCTTATTATTATCTAAAGACCATACTTTTTCAGAATTCCTCAGTTTTTATTTAGTTTCCATTTTCTGTTCTAGTATACATCCTAGAATCTCATATTACATTTAGTCATTGTGAGAGAGACTCCAAGTCAGTAAGTGCTGAAACAGGGTATATTAAAAAAGAACCAACATAGATTACAAGAGGAAGACTCAAAGCTTCCAGAATTATTTTCTTTCTATCTAAAATCATTTTCTATCTTTCATCCTATCAGCACTCATAAATTACACACACTCATAACCTGCCACAATTTATTGGCAGATTGTGAAGGGGGAGCAGGCATGTCACATAGTGAAAGCAGGAACAAGAGAGTGAGGGGGGAGATACCACACACTTTTAAACAACCAGATCTTGCGAGAGCTCACCTGCTATCATGAGGAGTACCAAGGAGATAGTACTAAACCATTCATGAGAAATCCACCCTCCTAATCCAGTCACCTCCCTCCAGACCCCACCTACCACACTGGGGATTACAGTTCAACATGAGATTTGGGTGGGGACACAGATCCAAACTATATCACAGGGGTTTCCCTATGTTGCTTAGGCTGGTCTCAAACTCCTGGCCTCAAGTGATCTTCCTGCCTCAACCTTCCAACGTGCTGGAATTAGAGGTATCAGCCACCATGCCCAGCCAGAAATTTCTTTCTCAAGGGGCTTTTCATCTCACTTGAAATTTTAGTTTAGGGATCTCCCAACTTACAAAGGGTTTGTGTTCCAAAATTTTGTTTCTAAGTCAGGTAGGCTCACTTTCCCACAGAAAGTGAGAAGAAGCCAGTCCCAAAGCAAGCAATAAAAGCCTGTTGCCTCACAAGTGAACTATGATGTTGCTAAATCCATCAGGAATAGTTTTACTTTTGCTCTTTGTTGAATGGGCTACTGTGGGCCTGTGGGGGCACCTAACCACCATTTATCTTATTTCTTTGAAGCAGGTCATGCTGTCACGTGTGGTCAAAAGGGAATTAGTGATGATAATGGAGCTTTCTCTGCCTCTCTCCCTCTTGACTGCCAAGGTCCAGGGAAGTTCACATCTCAGTGGTCACGGGCTGGCCAAGTAGATCCCCACCAGTTGCTGGATAATGCCTGTGAACTACTGGCTAGCATCTATTCTGAAAACCTAGCTTCTGGTTTGCTTGTTTATTCACCAGTATCTCACATAATTTTCTTATGACCATCTGGCACCTAATATAGATCCCAAAAGAGTTTAAGAGGATTTACCCTTTAGGCAAAAAATACTGGCAGTGTTTATAATCCCCTCAAAAAGAGAAAGGGAGAAAAAAAGAAAGAAGAAATGTTTTTAAAGGAAGAGATAGCACCATGTAACTATAAATAACTTTCTATATCGGACTGAAAATAAATTTTTGTTTTTTATTTTGGCTCATTTGGTAAGCTAACGAACTGGAAGAAAAGAGCTAGTTTTAACTAAACAACTCTAAAAGATGTCAGAATTTGAAAACTTAGAGTTATGAATAGATTTGATTCATTTAGCCCCAAAACTATTAAAAGTATATAAAATATTAATAGTCAATTTTCCACCAAAACCATTGAGCTACAGAATTCCAGATATCGAAATTCTAAGGAAATGTTCTGTTTTAGAATCAAATCATGTACTAGGCTGAAGTTAAATCAAATACCATTTACTGAGTATTGTTATTAGGATAAACATCTTTCCATACTTTGGTGAAATTGGAAATACTCTTGCAGAAGTGTTTTCATCTCTCACCCAGAAAAAGTAAATAATGACCTTCCTTCTTCCACTTAATGTAAAATCCTACATTTACATATATTGTGTCATCCCTTGTTTTGTGATTATTTGCTTACAGATTTTCTCTAGGTGCTCTCTAAGCAGAGAGAACAGGGTACTGGTTAAGATTGTAGATCTAGGGGATCACTGATCTAGGTCCTATTCCAAATTTGATTCCTCACCTGCTAAGCTTGCAAGTGCAACTTATTTAAATTCTCTGAAGGTTAAATGTTTCATCTAAATAGGGATAATAATAAACACCTATAGCATAGAGTTGTTTGAGATTAAATGAGATAATACATGTAAAATTATGTGCCTGGCATACAGCAAGATTGTTGTTGTTGATGATGATGATGATGATGATATTTTTCTATCCCCAGTGCACAACTGCTTGAATGTATTAGATAATCAATACATGTACATGTTTCTTGAACTGAGATCAATTTCCCCATGTTGTCTGACTGATGAAGCCCTACATTTTCTTCTAGAGGAGATGACATTTGAGCAAGATCTTAAAGAAAATCAGATGCCTTCACCTGACCACTGCTTGGTGATCCCATGGCACTTTGTACATCTCTCCATTAGCTCTCATCTCACCAGCCCATCATTATTGTATGTGCTGCCTTCTGAAGCTTGCAGCTGGCTACATCAGGTAGAATAAAATCATCCTTTCATAAAATAGTGACCTCCTTTTTTATTTGCATTTCCAAAGCCAAGCACGTGATAGGTAGACAATAAATGCTTGCTCCTGGGCTGTGCTAAAGGCATCTATAACCACTAAGCCCAAACAGTGTGGTGTCCCTTTAAAAGGAAGGAGCCAGTGTTTATATCACTTTTTCTCGACCTTCAAGGCTCCATTCAAAGCCCACCTCCAGCATGAGGCACTATCCAGTCCAATCCACAGTGATCACTCCCTTTCTGAGTCCTCCTAGGAAATCAGACACAGTCATTTGAGGTGTGTGTTAGTGATCTTCCCTCAGATGCCCAGTGAGCTCTTGTGCACAGTACCAAGGCATGTAATAGGCAGGAAACGTATTTAATTGCTTGGCTTAGTTCTAGTTTTCAATGTGTACTTCTCCATAATTATCCGATCAACCCTAACTTGAGAAGATAGGCAAACTGGATTTGCACACACTGGAGTCAATTCCTGATACCCCCGGGGGTGTGAATGAACAGAGGTCTTCTTGCTGGCTTCTGTAACAGTATCTCTCTTTAGCCAGCACCCAATTTTTGGAACCATTATGAGCACACAAAAACAGCATTTTACACAAATCAAAAAATAGCTCCCAACCATGTCTTTGTGGCATTGTTAAACAACAGTAAATTGTACTTTGAGTTCTATTTCATCTAATTAAATGAAATGAGAAGTGGGCTCAATTCCCCCAGAAAGAGACTGGAGGGAACCACAATCTTTCCTGTGATTAGATACACCACTAAGGAAATCTGACCCTGAGCAACTGAAAGCTGCCTATTCTCATTAAGAAGAGCTACAGACTGACCCTTTTCAAAGACTAGTAACTGGACACTTATTTCTTTCACAAATTATCTTCTTTTCCCTTTTTCATACCAGGAATTCTCAGGGATTATAATCCTCATCAATATAACAAGCCTCCAAAGTCATATTTTTTAACTTTGTGAAATGCCCTCCCACCTAACTACCCCATTTGACACCTGCAGCCATCCTCTAGAGAGGCAGACAAGATCGACCGTCTCACTTTACAGAAGTGCAAAGAGTAGCTGGCCTAATGCCACAGCCAATGAACAGATGAAGGAGGCCTACAACCACCTAGTCTTCCCTACTTCTCCTCACTCCTCCCCTCCGACCTCCTTACATCACCACTGACCAATGGGTCACTGTGTGGCCGTTCAGCATCTTCCTATGCTGTGTCAGGCAAGAGAACTTCTGGAAAGAGAGCATCTCATGTTTATTAAGGAGACTGGGTGTCCTTGTAGAAAGTCCTGCCATGCACAACCCCAGTCTTAACTGATGTGTTTCACCATACTGAAGGCAAGTTGCCATCTAACATAGTTGAAGGGGAGCCAGTTGTGGTGATCTTTGTTCCTGCTGAAAGATGGAAAGAAAATGAGGAAATGAGCTCATTTTCAAAGAAAATGAACATTCTTTCATATGAAAGAAATAGGAGCAAAGTGACAGGAGGGAAACAAAGCTTAGGGTTGGTGTGAGATACACAGGGTGTTAGCCCCACAAACAGTGCTGCTGGGCCAAGTTAATTCCCTGTTTTTCCCTATATATGTGGTGTGGAAAAGCTATTTATAAAATGTGTTTAAATATTTAGGACCAAATAAATCAACATTGTTGGGAAACATTGACTCTGACCAGAACTCATTTCCTTGCCCTAGTCCAATGTGAATAACAAAATGAAGAATATCAGGATGATTTGAGACCAGGAATACTACAGATGTCCAACACTTCCACCTGGAATCCCCAAAGAGGCCCGCTTTTAGCCTCCACACTGGTTGGTGACCTGGCATGAGAGAAATGACAGAAATCTCAGAAGACTGGCCTCATGAATAATCTTCAGTATCAATGGAACAAAGCAAGCCTTCTAGAAATTACCTGACTCTGCAGTTCACTCTGCTGCTTCAGATGAAAATTTTCAGGTCTGTCTGCCACTGTAGTGAAGGACTGCTTTGGGTAGTGTCTGTGGAGAAACTTTTTAAAGGACATAGTTAAAATATTGTGCTACAAACCAATTCTTGAACACCAATCGTTTTGTCCTACCTCTCTGTGACAGTGAAAGATGGCTGTGCTCTTGGCAAAGGTCATCTCTCTGTCATGATTCTGGATCTCCTTTTCTTCTCCTGATTATCTGTCACTCAGTTATCCCCACTGTCTTCCACAACTTTAACCTCAGCTTCTCTATTCTAGGAGACTCTTCTCGCAGGCTCAAGGCTCTCCTACCCTCCATCATTCCTCCCTCTACCCCACACAGCCAGCATGTGTCCAGCTAGTCTATCCTTCAGCCAAACTTCCTTAGAAAGAGGCCTTACCTCACTGTCCCTACCCATCTCCTCTCTGACTCACTTCTTAACTCCATGACTGGGTTCTGGTTTCTTTCCCTTGCCTGTTGTGACTTCCTATGGACACAGCCAAAAACCATCACATAGTCCTGTTGTATGGCATCCCCTCCATCTTGAAATGTCCTCTCCCTCAGTTCCTATATGTTATCACACATGCCTGCCTTGGCTTCTCCCTCTAGTTGTTCCTTCTCTGTCTTCTGTGGGCTTCTTATTGTCTGCTCACTCCTTCTTCAGTGTCCTCACATGGGCTTCCTTCCCTTCTCAGCTGATGCCATCACCTGGGGAATCACAGTTACTCAGCAGCACTGGGGCCTCTCTATCTCTATGCTGGTCATGCCTATGTGTGAGCTGCAGACCCAGTGGAATTTCCATTTGTGCATCCCATGCCCAGCCCACCCTCCACCAGTCTCGAATGCAGCTGTTCAGCCCTACCCCAGTCCTCAGAAAAGTTCCTCTCCCTGGATCCTCTTTTTCCTTCTTGAGTGCCCGGTTGCCCAAGTCAAAAACCTGGGAGTGATATAAACTCCCCACACATCCAGTCAGTCACTCATCAACTCTATTGATTCTGTCTGCTAAATGTATCTCAATTGTATTAACTTAAACATATGCATATATCTTCTTCTTCACTGCATTTTTGTGGGCTGCACTTACCTTTCAGGTAACAACAACACTGGCCCCTCTCGCACTTCTAGTCGGAAGTGCCAAAATGATGAGAGCTAGCCATGGCAAACCCACAGCCAACATTACACTGAATGTGCAAAACTGGAAGGGCATCCAAATAGAGGAGGGAAGAGAGGAATAGACAGGAAGTCAAACTGTCTCTGTTTACAGATGACATGATTCTATATCTAGAAAACCCCATAGTCTTAGCCCCAAAGCTCCTTCTGCTGATAAACTTTAGCAAAGTCTTAGCATACAAAATCAATGTGCAAAAATTCCTAGCAGTAAAGCAGAGAGTCAAATGAAGAACATAATCCCATTCATAATTGCTACACACAGAAAAAATAAAATACCTAGGAATACAGCTAACCAGGGAGGTGAAAGATCTCTAAGAGATCTCTAGGAGAATTACAAAACACTGCTCAAAGAAATCAGAGAAGACACAAACAAATGGAAAAACATTTCATGCTCATGGATAGGAAGAATTAACATCATTAAAATGGCTATACTGCCCAAAGTAATTTACAGATGCAAGTTATCCCTATTAAATTACCAATGGCATTCCTCACAGAACTAGAGCAAACTATTTCAAAATTCATATGGAACCAAAAAAAAAAAGAGCCCTAATAGCCAAGCAATCCTCAGCAAAAAGAACAAAGCTGGAGGCATCATGTTACCCAACTTCAAACTATACTACAGGGCTACAGTAACCAAAACAGCATGATACTGGTACAAAAACAGCTCATCACTTTGAGCTATGTTTCCTCAATACCCAGATTTTTTAGAGTTTTTAATATGGAGAGGCCTTGAATTTTATTGAAAGCCTTTTCTGCATATATTGAGATAATCACATGGTTTTTATCTTTAGTTTTGTTTATGGGATGAATCAGATTAATTGACGTGTATGTTGAGGCAACCTTGCATCCTGGGGATGAAGCATACTTGATCATGATGGATTAACTTTTTGATGTGCTGCTGGATTTGGTTTGCCCGTATTTTGTTGAGGATTTTTGCATTGATGTTCATCAAGGGTATTGGCCTGAAGTTTGTGTGTGTGTGTGTGTGTGTGTGTGTGTGTGTGTGTGTGTGCCAGATTTTGGTATCAAGATGATGTTGGCCTCATAGAATGAGTTGGGGAGGAGTTCCTCCTCCTCAATATTTTCAAATAGTTCCTGTAAAAATGGTACCAGCTCTTCTTTGTACTTCTAGTAGAATATGGCTGGGAATCCATCATGTTCTGGGCTTTTTTTGATTGGTAGGTTATTTATTACTGATTCAATTTCGGAGCTTGTTATTGGTCTGTTCAGCAAATCAATTTCTTCCTGGCTCAGTTGTGGGAGGGTGTATTTGTCCAGGAATTTATCCATCTCTTTGAAGTTTTCTAGTTTGTATGCACAGAAGTGTTTGCAGTAGTTTCTGATGGTTGTTTCTATTTCTGTGGGGTCAGTGGTAATTACATTCCCTTTGTCATTTCTAATTGTGTTTATTTCAATCATCCTCTGTATTAGTCTGCTAGCAGACTTTCTTATTAATATTTTCAAGAAACCTACCCTGAATTCGTAGATCTTTTGAATTTTTTTTTCTTCATGTCTCGGTTTCTTTGAATTCAGCTCGGATTTTCAGTTATTTCTTGTCTTCCTCTAGCTTTGGGGTTTTGTCTTGCTTCTCTAGTTCTTTCCGTTGTGATGTTAGGTTATTAATTTGAGTTCTTCCTAACTTTTTGATGTGGGATTTAGTGCTATAAATTTCCCTCCTAACATTGCCTTAGCTATGTCCAGAGGCTCTAGTATGTTGCAACTTTGTTCTCATTATTTTCAAAGAACTTCTTGTTTTCTGCCTTAATTTCATTATTTATTAAAAAGTCATTCAGGAGCATGTTGATTGATTTCCATGTAATTGCATGATTTTCAGCAATTTTCTTAGTCTTCTATTTTTACTGCACTGTGATCTCAGTGTGTATTTGGTATGAGTTCAGTTGTTTTGCATTTGCTGAGGATTGCTTTATGTCCAATTATGTGGTTGATTTTAGAGTATGTGGCATATGATGATGTGAGGAATGCATATTCTGTTGTTTTTGAGTGCAGAGTTCTGTAAAGGTCTATCAGATCCATTTGATCCAATGTTGAGTTCAGGTCCTGAATATCTTTGTTCATTTTTTTGCCTCAATGATCTAATACTGTCATTGGAGTGTGAAAGTCTCCCACTATTACTGTGAAACATACTTTGTAGGTCTCTAAGAACTTTACTTATGAATCTGGGTGCTCCTGTGTTGGATGAATATATATTTAGGATAGTTAGGTCTTCTTGTTGAATTGAAGCCTTTGCCATTATGTAATATCCTTCTTTGTCTTTTCTATTTTATTTTAAGTTCCAGGATACATGTACAGGATGTGCAGGTTTGTTACATAGTTAAACATGTGCCATGGTGGTTTGCTGCACCTATCAACCTATCACCTAGGTATTAAGCCCCACATGCATTAGCTATTTATCTTGATGCTCTCCTTCCCCCTACCTTCCCAACAGGCTCCGGTGTGTGTTCTGCCCCTCCGTGTCCATGTGTTCTCATTGTTCAGTTCCCACTTATGAGAACATGTGGTGTTTGGTTTCCTGTTCCTGTGTTAATTGGCTGAAGTTTATGGCTTCCAGCTTCATCCATGTCCCTGCAAAAGACAGGATCTCATTCCTTTTTATGGCTGCATAGTATTCCATGGTGCATATGTATCACATTTTCTTTATCCAATCTATCATTGATAGAAATTTGGGTTGATGCCATGTCTTTGCTATTGTGAATAGTGCTGCAATAAACATAAGTGTGCATGTATCTTTAAAATAGAATGATTTAGATTTCTTTGGATATAAACCTAGTAATGGGATTGCTGGGTCAAATGGTATTTCTGCTTCTAGATCCTTCAGGAATTGCCACACTGTCTTCCACAATGGTTGAACTAGTTTACGTTCCCAACAGTATAAAAGTGTTCCTGTTTCTCCATAGCCTCTCTAGCATCTGTTGTTTCTTGACTTTTTAATAATTGCCATTCTGACTGGCATGAGATGGTATCTCATTGTGGTTTTGATTTGCATTTCTCTAATAAACACTGATGTTGAGCTTTTTTTTTTTCATATGTTTGTTGGACGCATAAATGTCTTCTTTTCAGAATGTCTGTTCATGGCCTTTGCCCACATTTTGATGGGGTTATTATTTTCTTGTAAATTTGTTTAAGTTCCTTGTAGATTCTGGATATTAGACCTTTGTCAGATTGGTAGATGGCAAAAATATTCTCCCATTCTATAGGTTGCTTGTTCACTCTGATGATAGTTTCTTTCCCTGTGCAGAAGTGCTTACGTTTAATTAGATCCCATTTGTCAATTTTTGCTTTTGTTGCAATTGCTATTGATGATTTCATCATAAAATCTTTGCCTATGCCTATGTCCTGAATGGAACTTCCTAGATTTTCTTCTAGGGTTTTTTACGGTTTGGGGTTTTACATTTAAGTTTTTAATCCATCTTGAGTTAATTTTTGCATAAGGTGTAAGGATGAGGTCCAGTTTCAGTTTTCTGCATATGGCTAGTCAGTTTTCCCAGCACCATTTAAATAGGGAATCCTGGCCAAGTGCGGTGGCTCACATCTATAATCTCAGCACTTTGGGAGGCTGATATGGGTGGATCTTGAGGTCAAGAGATCAAGACCATCCTGGCCAACATGGTGAAATCCCGTCTCTACTAAAAATACAAAAACTAGCTGGGCGTGGTGGCTCGAACCTGTAGTCCCAGCTACTCGGGAGACTGAGGCAGGAGAATCACTTGAATCCGGGAGGCAGAGGTTGCAATGAACTGAGATCATGCCACTGCACTCCAGCCTGGTGACAGAGTGAGACTTTGTCTCAAAATAAATAAATGAATAAATAGGTATTCCTTCCCCTATTGCTTGTTTTTGTCAGGTTTGTCAAAGATCAGATGGTTGTAGATGTGTGGTCTTATTTCTGAGATCTCTATTCTGTTCCATTGGTCTGTGTGTCTGTTTTGGTATCAGTACCATGCTGTTTTGATTAGTGTGGCCTTGCAGTATAGTTTGAAGTCATATAGCATGATGCCTCCAGCTTTGTTCTTTTTGCTTAGGATTGTCTTGACTATTGAGTCTCTTTTTTGGTTGCATATGAAATTTAAAGTAGTTTTTTTTTTAATTCTGTGAAGAATGTCAATGGTAGTTTGATGTGAATAGCACTGAATCTATAAATTACTTTGGGCAGTATGGCCATTTTCATGAGACTGATTCTTCCCACCCATGAGCATGGAATATTTTTCCATTTGTTTGTGTCCTCTCTTATTTCTTTGAGCAGTGGCTTGTAGTTCTCCTTGAAGAGGTTCTTCACACCCATCATTAGCTGTATTCCTAGGTATTTTATTCTCTTTGTAACAATTGTGAATGGGAGTTCATTCATGATTTGGCTCTCTTGTCTATTATTGGTGTATAGGAATTGAAGAATATTGTCTATTGCTGGTGTATAAGAATGCTTGTGATTTTTGCACATTGATTTTGTATCCTCAGACTTTGCTGAACTTGCTTATCAGCTTAAGGAGTTTTTGGGCTGTGACAATGTGGTTTTCTAGATATAGAATCACGTTTTCTGCAAACAGAGACAATTTGATTTTATCTCTTGCTATTTGAACACGTTTTATTTCTTGTTTTTTTTTTTTTGAAGGGTTTTTCATGTCTCTGTCTCCTTCAGTTCCACTTTGATCTTAGTCATTTTTTTTTTCTCTTCTGCTAGCTTTTGGATTTGTTTGCTCTTGCTTCTCTAGTTCTTTTAGTTGTGATGTTAGGGTATTGATTTGAGATATTTCTAGCTTTATGATGCGGGCATTTAGTGCTATAAATTTACCTCTTAACACTGCTTTAGTTGCCTCCCAGAGATTCTGGTACATTGTCTCTTTGTTCTCATTGGTTTCAAAGAACTTCTTGATTTCTGCCTTAATTTTATTATTTACCCAGAAGTCACTCAGGAGCAGGTTGTTCAATTTCCATGTAGTTGTGTGGTTTTGAGTGAGTTTCTTAATCTTGAGTTCTAATTTGATTGCACTGTGGTCTGAGAGATTGTTATGATTTCAGTTATTTTGCATTTGCTGAGGAGTGTTTTAATTCTAATTTTGTGATCAACTTTAGAGTGTCATATGCCACTGAGAATAATATATAGTCTGTTGTTTTGTGTTGGAGAGTTCTGTAGATATCTATGAGATTCACTTGATCCAGAGCTGTGTTCCAGTCCTTTCTTGTTAATTTTCTGTCTAGATGATCCAATATTTACAATGGGGTGTTAATGTCTCCGACTATTGTTGTATGGGAGCCTGAGTCTCTTTGTAGGTCTCTAAAGACTTGTTTTATGAATCTGGGTTCTCCTGTATTGGGTGCATACATATTTAGGATAGTTAGCTCTTCTTGTTGAATTGATTCCTTTATCATTGTGTGATGCTATTCTTTGTCTTTTTTTTATCTTTGTTGATTCAAAGTCTGTTTTGTCAGAAACTAGGATTGCAACCCCTGCTTATTTCTGCTTTCCATTTGCTTGGTAAATTTTCCTCCATCCCTTTGAGCCTACGTGTGTCTTTCCACATGAGATAGGAACCCTGAATACAGCACACCTGAATCTTGACTCTTTATATCCAAATTGCTGGTCTGTGTCTTTTAATTGGTACATTTAGCCCATTGACACTTAAGGTTAATATTGTTATGCGTGGATTTGATCCTGTCACCATGATGCTAGCTGGTTATTTTGCTCACTAGTTGCTGCAGTTTCTTCATAGTGTCATTGGTCTTTGTACTTCAGTACATTTTTGCAGTGGCTGGTACCAGTTTTTCCTTTCCATCTTTTTTTTTTATTATACTTTAAGTTTTAGGGTACATGTGCACATTGTGCAGGTTAGTTACATATGTATACATGTGCCATGCTGGTGTGCTGCACCCACTAACTCGTCATCTACCATTAGGTATATCTCCCAATGCTATACCTCCCCCCTACCCCCACCCCACCACAGTCCCCAGAGTGTGATATTCCCCTTCCTGTGTCCATGTGATCTCATTGTTCAGTTCCCACCTATGAGTGAGAATATGTGGTGTTTGGTTTTTTGTTCTTACGATAGTTTACTGAGAATGATGATTTCCAATTTCATCCATGTCCCTACAAAGGACATGAACTCATCATTTTTTATGGCTGCATAGTATTCCATGGTGTATATGTGCCACATTTTCTTAATCCAGTCTATCATTGTTGGACATTTGGGTTGGTTCCAAGTCTTTGCTATTGTGAATAATGCCGCAATAAACATACGTGTGCATGTGTCTTTATAGCAGCATGATTTATAGTCCTTTGGGTATATACCCAGTAATGGGATGGCTGGGTCAAATGGTATTTCTAGTTCTAGATCCCTGAGGAATCACCACACTGACTTCCACAAGGGTTGAACTAGTTTACAGTCCCACCAACAGTGTAAAAGTGTTCCTATTTCTCCACATCCTCTCCAGCACCTGTTGTTTCCTGACTTTTTAATGATTGCCATTCTAACTGGTTTGAGATGGTATCTCATTGTGGTTTTGATTTGCATTTCTCTGATGGCCAGTGATGATGAGCATTTTTTCATGTGTTTTTTGGCTGCATAAATGTCTTCTTTTGAGAAGTGTCTGTTCATGTCCTTCGCCCACTTTTTGATGGGGTTGTTTGTTTTTTTCTTGTAAATTTGTTTGAGTTCATTGTAGATTCTGGATATTAGCCTTTTGTCAGATGAGTAGGTTGCGAAAATTTTCTCCCATTTTGTAAGTTGCCTGTTCACTCTGATGGTAGTTTCTTTTGCTGTGCAGAAGCTCTTTAGTTTACTTAGATCCCATTTGTCAATTTTGTCTTTTGTTGCCATTGCTTTTGGTGTTTTGGACATGAAGTCATTGCCCATGCCTATGTCCTGAATGGTAATGCCTAGGTTTTCTTCTAGGGTTTTTATGGTTTTAGGTCTAACGTTTAAGTCTTTAATCCATCTTGAATTGATTTTTGTATAAGGTGTAAGGAAGGGATCCAGTTTCAGCTTTCTACATATGGCTAGCCAGTTTTCCCAGCACCATTTATTAAATAGGGAATCCTTTCCCCATTGCTTTTTTTTCTCAGGTTTGTCAAAGATCAGATAGTTGTAGATATGCAGCGTTATTTCTGGGGCTCTGTTCTGTTCCATTGATCTATATCTCTGTTTTGGTACCGGTACCATGCTGTTTTGGTTACTGTAGCCTTGTAGTATAGTTTGAAGTCAGGTAGTGTGATGCCTCCAGCTTTGTTCTTTTGGCTTAGGATTGCCTTGGCGATGTGGGCTCTTTTTTGGTTCCATATGAACTTTAAAGTAGTTTTTTCCAATTCTGTGAAGAAAGTCATTGGTAGCTTGATGGGGATGGCATTGAATCTGTAAATTACCTTGGGCAGTATGGCCATTTTCACGATATTGATTCTTCCTACCCATGAGCATGGAATATTCTTCCATTTGTTTGTATCCTCTTTTATTTCCTTGAGCAGTGGTTTGTAGTTCTCCTTGAAGAGGTCCTTCACATCCCTGGTAAGTTGGATTCCTAGGTATTTTATTCTATTTGAAGCAATTGTGAATGGGAGTTCACTCATGATTTGGCTCTCTGTTTGTCTGTTGGTGTATAAGAATGCTTGTGATTTTTGTACATTGATTTTGTATCCTGAGACTTTGCTGAAGTTGCTTATCAGCTTAAGGAGATTTTGGGCTGAGACAATGGGGTTTTCTAGATATACAATCATGTCATCTGCAAACAGGGACAATTTGACTTCCTCTTTTCCTAATTGAATACCCTTTATTTCCTTCTCCTGCCTAATTGCCCTGGCCAGAACTTCCAACACTGTTGAATAGGAGTGGTGAGAGAGGGCATCCCTGTCTTGTGCCAGTTTTCAAAGGGAATGCTTCCAGTTTTTTCCCATTCAGTATGATATTGGCTGTGGGTTTGTCATAGATAGCTCTTATTATTTTGAAATACGTCCCATCAATACCTAATTTATTGAGAGTTTTTAGCATGAAGGGTTGTTGAATTTTGTCAAAGGCTTTTTCTGCATCTATTGAGATAATCATGTGGTTTTTGTCTTTGGCTCTGTTTATATGCTGGATTACATTTATTGATTTGCGTATATTGAACCAGCCTTGCATCCCAAGGATGAAGCCCACTTGATCATGGTGGATAAGCTTTTTGATGTGCTGCTGGATTCGTTTTGCCAGTATTTTATTGAGGATTTTTGCATCAATGTTCATCAAGGATATTGGTCTAAAATTCTCTTTTTTGGTTGTGTCTCTGCCCAGCTTTGGTATCAGAATGATGCTGGCTACATGGAAACTGAACAACCTGCTCCTGAATAGTCATTCAGGATACATAACGAAATGAAGGCAGAAATAAAGATGTTCTTTGAAACCAACGAGAACAAAGACACAACATACCAGAATCTCTGGGATGCATTCAAAGCAGTGTGTAGAGGGAAATTTTTAGCACTAAATGCCCACAAGAGAAAGCAGGAAAGATCCAAAATTGACACCCTAACATCACAATTAAAAGAACTAGAAAAGCAAGAGCGAACACATTCAAAAGCTAGCAGAAGGCAAGAAATAACTAAAATCAGAGCAGAACTGAAGGAAATAGAGACACAAAAAACCCTTCAAAAAATTAATGAATCCAGGAGCTGGTTTTTTGAAAGGATCAACAAAATTGATAGACCACTAGCAAGACTAATAAAGAAAAAAAGAGAGAAGAATCAAATAGACACAGTAAAAAATGATAAAGGGGATATCACCACCGATCCCACAGAAATACAAACTACCATCAGAGAATACTACAAACACCTCTACACAATTAAACTAGAAAATCTAGAAGAAATGGATAAATTCCTCGACACATACACTCTCCCAAGACTAAACCAGGAAGAAGTTGAATCTCTGAATAGACCAATAACAGGAGCTGAAATTGTGGCAATAATCAATAGTTTACCAACCAAAAAGAGTCCAGGACCAGATGGATTCACAGCCGAATTCTACCAGAGGTACAAGGAGGAACTGGTACCATTCCTTCTGAAACTATTCCAATCAATAGAAAAAGAGGAAATCCTCCCTAACTCATTTTATGAGGCCAGCATCATTCTGATTCCTTTCCATCTTTAGTGCTTCCTTCAGGAGGTCTTGCAAGGCAGGCCTGGTGGTGATAAATTCCCTCAGCATTTGCTTGTCTGAGAAGGATTTCTCCTTCACTTATGAAGGTTAGTTTGGCCAGATATGAAATTCTAGGTTAGAAATTCTTTTCTCTAAGAATGTTGACCATTGGACCCAACTGTCTTCTGGCTTGTAGGGTTTCTGCTGAGAGGCCCACGGTTAGTCTGACGGGCTTCCCCTTGTAGGTGACCTGCCCTTGTCTCTGGCTGCCTTTAACATTTTTTCCTTCATTTTGATCTTGGAGAATCTGATGACTATGTGTCTTGAGGGTTGATTTTCTTGTGGAGTATCTTACTGGGGTTCTCTGGATTTCCTGAATTTGAATGTTGGCCTGTCTTGCTAGGTTGGGGAAGTTCTCCTGGATGATATCTTGAAGTGTGTTTTCCCAACGTGGCTCCATTCTCCTTGTCTCTTTCAGGTAGTCCAAGCAGTCATAGGTTTGGTCTTTTACATAGTTCCACAGTTCTTTGAGGTTTTGTTCATTCCTTTTCATTCTTTTTTCTCTAATCTTGTCTGCCTGCCTTATTTTGGCAAGATAGTCTTCAAGCTCTGATATTCTTTTTTCTGCTTGATCAATTCAGCTGTTGATACTTGTGTTTGCATCACGAAGTTCCCCTTATGTGCTTTATAGTTGGCTCCGGTCATTTATGTTCCTCTCTAAACTGGTTATTCTAGTTAGCATCTTCTGTAACCTTTTAACATGGTTCTTAGCTTCTTTGCTGACAGAAGTAGGGTTCAGAAGGTGGGTAATAACAAATTTCACAGAGCTAAAGGAGCATGTTCTAACCCAATGCATTGATTTCTCCACCTCCCTTTCAGGGATGCCAGTGATTTGTAGAATTGGCCTCTATACATAACCCCATACTTATTGGAGGTTTTGTTCCTTCCGTTTTATTCTTTTTTATTTTTGTCTGTCTTATTTTAGAGAACCAATCTTTAAGTTCTGGGATTCGTTCCAATGTGTTGGGTTAGAACGTGCTCCTTTAGCTCAGTGAAGTTTGCTACTACCCACCTTCTGAAGCCTACTTCTGTCAATTCATCCATCTCAACCTCCTCCCAGCACTGTGCCCTTGCTGTAGAGGTGTTGTGATCATTTGGAGTAAACAAGCCACTCTGGCCTTTTGAGTTGTGAGGGGTTTTTCATTCCTTTCTCATCTTCATGAGTTTGTCTCATTTTGATCTTTGAGGCTGCTGACCTTTAGATGAGGTTTTCGTGGGGACTTTTTGGTTGATGTTGTTGTTGCTTTCTGTTTTCCTTTGAACAGTCAGGCACCTCTTCTGTAGGGCTGCTGCAGTTTGCTGGGGATTCACTTCAAGCCCTACTTATCTGGGTCCCTCCCACACCTGAAGATGTCACCAGAGAGTGCTGGAGAACAGCAAAGATGAGACCCCACTCCTTCCTCTGGGATCTCTGTCCTTGAGGGGCACCCACCTGATGCCAGTAGAAATGCTCTTGTATAAGGTGTCTGGTGACCCATTGGGGTGTCTCACCCAGTTGGGGGGCACAGGATCCAGGACTTGCTTAATGAAGCACTTTAGTTGTCCCTTTGTGAAGGGGGTATGCTGTGCTGGGGGAAATCCCACTCGTCTGGGATGCCTGGATTCCTCAGAGTGAGCAGGGGGAAAGAATAAGTCTTCTGGTTTGTGGAGACAACAGCCAGCCACCCCTCCTGCTAGGGACTCAGACTTAGAGAGATCAGAGTTCTCTCCCTAATTCCCTGGCTTGAGTTGCTGGAGTTCCTGCAGGGATGCCCCACCCAGTGAGGAGGGATGGGTGAGGGTCAGCCTAAAGAGGCAGTCTGGCCATGATCTGCCACAGCCAGTATGCTGCGCTGTGGGGAATACCTCTTGGGACCAAGCCGTCCAGTCTCCCTGGCATCAGCAAAGGAAAAACAGCAGCCTGGCTCTGTAGAAATGGCTGCCGCCCTTCCTCCCCAGGAGTTCAGTGTCTTAGGCAGCTAGCAGCCACAGTGATGGCTGCTGTCCCTTCTTGGGGAGCTCAGTTTCCTCAGGCAGCAGGCAGCTGCAGTGATGATGACTGCCCCTCTCTTGGGAAGCTCAGTTGTCTTAGGCAGCCAGCAACCACAGTGATGACTGCTCCCCCTCCCCCAGGGAACTCAGAGGGTTTAGGCAGCAGGCAGCCACAGTGATGATGACAACCCTCCCCAACTTTTTAGGCAGACTCCAGCTGAGTGGCTGTTGAGAATCTGCATGGCTCTGTAGTTGGCACCCAAGGCCCTGGTGGTGTGGTCTCATGAGTGGGATCTTCTGATCTGTGGATTGCAAAGATCCATGGAAAAAGCAGTTTCCCAGGCTGGGTAGCATGCTCACTCACTGCCTCCCTTGGCTGGCTGAGGGTGAGGGCTCCCCTTGCCCCATGTGGCTCCCAGGTGGGCCAATCCACCAGCCCATCTTTCCTTGTTCTCTATGGGCCATGCCAACTACCTAGTCAGTCCTGATCATAGAACCTGGATATGTCAGTTGCTGGTGCAGGATTTGCACACTGTTTTAGTTCTTCTCAGTGGGAGCCTCGAATTGCAGCTGCTTCTAGTTGGCTATCTTGCCCCTGCCCCCTTGTCTTTTTGAAAAATTATTGTTCATTTGAAATCTGTTTTGTCTGAAATTAGGATTGCAACCTCTGCTTTTTTTCTGTTTTCTATTTGTCTGGTAGATTTTCCTCCATCCTTTTAGTTTGAGACGATGAGTGTCATTATGTGTGAGATGGGTCTCTTGAAGACGACATACCATTGGGTCTCGCTTTTTTTTTTTTTTAATCTAGCTTGCCACTCTGCCTTTTAAGTGGGGCATTTGTCCATTTACTTTCAAGGTTAGTATTGATTTGTGTAGATTTGATCTTGTCATTGTGCTGTTGGCTGGTTATTATGTTGGCTTGTTTGTGTGGTTGCTTTATAGTGTCACTGGTCTGTGTGTTTAAGTATGTTTTTGTATTAGTGTGTAGTGGTCTTTCCTTTCTATATTTAGTCCTCCTTTCTAAAATCTCTTGTAAGGCAGATGTGGTGGTAATGAATTACCTCAGAATTTGCTTGTCTGTAAATGATCTCATTTCTCCTTCATTTAGGAAGCTTAGTTTAGCTGGATATGAAATTCTTGGTTGAAGATTTTCTTTAATAATGTTAAATATAGTCCCCCAATCCCTTCTGGCTTGTAGGATTTCAGCTGAGAGATCTGCTGTTAGCCTCATGGGGTTCCCTTTGTAGATGGCCTGCCCCTTTCTCTCTGGCTGCCTTTAACATTCTTTCCCTCATTTTGACCTTGGAAAACCTGATGTTTATGTGTCTTGAGGATGGTCTTGTGTAGAATCTTGTAGGAGTTCTTTGTATTTCCTGAATTTGACTGTTGGCCTTTCCAGCAAGGTTAGGGAAGCTTTCATAGATGATATCCTGAAATGTTTTCCAAGTTATTTGATTTCTCCACCTCCCTTTCAGAGATGCCAGTGATTTGTAGAATTGGCTTCTTTATATAATCCCATGCTCCTTGAAGGTTTTGTTCATTCTTTTTTATTTTTGTCCATCTTATTTTAGAGAACCAATCTTCAAGTTCTGAGATTCATTCCTCAGATTGGTTTTTTCTGCTGTTAATACTTGTGATTGCATTGTGAAATTCTTGTATTGTGTTATTTGGCGCTTTCAGATCAGTTAGTTTCTTTTTTTATTATACCAGCTACTTTGTCCTTCAGCTCCTATAACACTTTATTGTTATTCTTATTTTCCTTGGATTGGGTTCTGCCATTGTCCTGAGTCTTGATGATTTTTTTTCCTATCCATATTCTCAATTATATTTATGTAATTCCAGACAGTTCATCCAGGTTAAGAACTCTTGTTGGAGAACTGGTGTGGTTGTTTGAAGGACATATGACACAGAGGCCATTTGAGTTACTGGAGTTCTTGCATTGGTTTCTTCTCATTTCCACCTATGGGTTTTCCTTTAATTGCAGTGTAGATTGAGTACAGTCCGTAGACTTATTTTCAGATGTTTTCACCAGGCTGAGGCTTTGTGCAGGTTCTTTATTTGAAGCTGACTTCTCATTTCTGGTTTCAGAGGGGAGTATATTAGTAAGGTATTTTTGGTGCTGAAGCTTTGGGATGTGATCCAGTAGGTGGCACTTGGGCTTACTGGTCAGTTGGTAGAGTCTTGCTTGGTCATGTGGCTCCCCTATGTTTCCTCACAGTTGCAGCCATGTTCACTCTCAATGATCTGAAAATGTGCTTCTCTCCTCCTTGAGTGCTGGCTGTAGATCATGGCTTGGCACTCCTAGGCTGCCCACTGCAGCTCTGGGGCAATCTCAGTGTTTATATTTCTTCCCTAACTTTGGGGAAGAAGAGGAAGGGACATTAGTAGTGGTTGTAGCCAAGGGTCTTTTGTTTGTCTCCTCAGGGTTCTACCCCCGGAGAATACAGGTCAGCAACTGTTTATTGCAATCAGCAAGCAGGATGGAGAATTCATGCTGTGGGGGCCAATCCAGGGGTTCCCTGTCTGTTATGAGCAGTGGGGAGTGTGTAAAACCCGTGGGAGATGGGCTTTGGTCAATTAAAGCTTGTTGAAGGTGTAGATAAGGGTGTTAGCTCCTTCATCAGTCTGAGGGTAGCAAGGACAGTTCCACTGCAGAAGCAGTGGCAGAGAGGCTTTCAGTTGCCCCTGGAGGCTCTGTCCAGGGAGTGGCTGAGTTGCTACTGGCTCGACAGCTCTGGCAGGGGGGTTAGGTAGAGGCCCAGGCCTGCAAGACTTGCCTAGTGAGAAGATACAGGAATGGGAACCCAGGTAACAGTCTGGCCACTTTTCCATAGGGCTGCTGCAGTATGCCCAGGGCCCACTTCAGTCTCTAGTAGCCTCAGATTTTCCAGTACCTGGAGTTATCATCAGTGAAGGCTGTGAAACAGAAAAGTTGGCAGCCTACTGCTCCCTTTGGAAGCTTTGCCCTAGGGAGGTATGAATGAACTTGTTGCTGGCCCAAACACACCTGTAGGAGGTAGCTGGAGACCCCAGTTAGGGGGTTTTGCCCAGTGAGGCGGAATGACATTGGGAAAGTGCTTAAAAAGCAGTCTGACCACATTTTTATAGAGCATCTGTGCTATGCTGAGGGTCCACATCAGCCCCTGGTCTCCTTGGACACTCCAAAGACTGAAGGTTGAAGTGGTTAAGTTGCAAAAACAGCAAACATGATGGCCTGCCCCTCCATCAGGGAGCTCCAGCCAAGAAAAAACTGAAATCACTGTCAGCAGGAGAACACCAGTGGGGGTGGCTGGAGGCCCCAGTTGGGAAGTCCCAAACAGTGAGGAGGAATGAATCCGGGACCTGCTTAAAGAAGCAGTCTGGCTATGCTTTTGTACAGCAGCTGTGCTGTGCTGGTGGGCTATATCCACCCTAAGTCAGCTGGGACTCCTTAAAGCCCAAAGGTTGGAATGGCTAAGTTGCCAAAACATCAAATATGGCAGCCCACCCCTCCCTCGGGGCACTCCATCTCAGGGAGAATTCAAATCTCTGTCAGCCTGAGAATACCAGAATGGGTAGCTACAGGCCCTGGTTGGGAGGTCCTGCCCAGTGAGGAGGAATGGGATTGGGGACCTTCTTAAAGCAGTAGTCCGGCCATATTTTGGTAGAGTAGCACTGTGCTGTGCTAATGGATCCCTCTGTCCCTGGTCTGCTGAGACTCTCCAAATCCCAAAGGCTGGAGCAGCTAAATTGCCCAAACAGCAAAGATGGTGGCCTGCTCCTTCTCTCAGGAGCTTCATCTCAGGGAGTCTCAACAGTGTTGCTGGTGGCTGGCTAGAATTCCAAGCCAGTGGCTCTTATCCTGTGAGGTTCTGTGGAAGTGGAGCCTGCAGGCTGTTGCTGCTCAGCTCCCTGAATTCAGCCTCTTCCCTAGGAATATGTATGAGGGTCTAACCTCCCACTTTGCCAGAGTTGCAGCTACTTCTGCAGGAAAGCCCAGGTACCTAAGGCTCCCAGGTCTCCATGTGTGCCTGAGTGGCTGCTGTGCCAAGATTCCACATAGCTCCATCAGACTGAAGGCCCTGGTAAAGTGGGTTCATGAGAAGATCTCCCAACCCAAGGATTGCAAAGATCCATGGAAAAAGCATGGGTTTCCAGGGTCACACATTCACTCACTGCTTCCCTGGGTGAGGGAGGTTCCACTGGCTCTGTGGTACTCCCAGGTGGGCTGTCATTTTGCCTTTCTTTTCTTCATTCTCCCTGGGTCAAGTTGTTTCCTTGGTTAGTCCCAATGTGAGTACCTGGATGTTTCAGTTGAAGGTGCAGTATTGACTCTCCCCTTGTGTTCCTCTCTGTGAGAGCCAAACACACTAGCTGCTTCAACTCGGCCATCTTGGCCAGTCCACTGCCCCCTCACTGCTATATTTTTACATATAACATGTACAACTCTATAAAGTACTTCATTATACTCATTTTACAGGTGAAGATAGTTTAGACACACAAAGACTGAATAAGATATAAGTCCTTTCCTTATAAGTTGCAAAATCTGGAATTGCCAATGTACATAACTGCTACGTGTCTCAAACTTAAGACGTAATCAGGCATTTCTAAAGCTCCACACTTTTTAAATGTTTAAATATTTTGTTAGAGTTTTAAAGAATGATTTACTTAAAAAATGTGATTATGGGGGTGTGTGGCCAAGATGACTGACTAGAAGCAGGTAGGGTGCACGGCTCTCATGGAGAGGAATGAAAGGAGCAAGTCAATACAGTACCTTCAACTGAAACAACCAGGTACTCGCATTACTCATATAATCAAGGAAACAACTCCAGCCAGCCACCAGCAACAGTGTTTTACCTACCTGAGACTGACTTCCTAGGGGACAGGGCAGGCCACCATCTTTGTTGCTTGGGTAACTTAGCTATTCCAGCCTGTTGGGCTTTTGAGAACCCAAACCAACTGAGGGCAGAAGGGATCCCCCACGCAGCACAGCTGCTCTACCAAAATGTGGCCAGACTGCCTCTTTAAGTGGGTCCCCAATCCATTCCTCCTCGCTGGGTGGGACCTCCCAACTGGGGCCTGCTGCTACTCCGGCAGGTGCTCTCAGGCTGACGGAGATTTGAATTCTCCCTGGGATAAGTTCCCTGGGGGAGAAGGGGGCCGCCATCTTTGCTGTTTGGGTGACTCAGCTATTCCAGTCTGTGGGCTTTGGAGAGTCCAAAGTGACTAGGGTGGAGGGGATCCCCAGAACAGCACAACTGCTCTACCAAATCATGGCAAGATCCTTTAAGTAGATCCCCGATCCGTTCCTCATTGGGTGAGACCTCCCAAGTGGGGCTTCCACCTCTTAGTTCTAGAGCTGACAGAGATTTACATTCTCCCTTGGATAGAGTTGTCAAGGTCGTGCCAGTTAAGAAGGAATGGGTCAGGAACCTGCTAAAAGAATCTGCCTGACCAAGATTTTGTAGAGTAGCTTTGTTGTGCTGGGAGATCCCTTCTGCCCCGGTAGGTATGGATTCCACAAAGCCCTCAGGCTGGAGTGGCTAAGTTGCACAAACAGCAAAGATGGCAGCTCATCTTTGGCCATCTCATCCCAAGAATTCAAATATCTTTGGGCCCGAGAACACCAGCAGGAGTGACTGGAGGTCCCAGTGGGGTGATCCCTCACCAGGCAGGACCTTGAGACCTCCATGCCAGGAATAATTGAAATGTCTGGCAGCCTGAGGACACTGGGGGAGGGGGCGGGGTGGTGGCTGGGGGCCCAAGTTGAAAGGACCTTCACTGGGCAGGAACTGGAGACCTCCATGCCAGGGATAATTCAAGTACATGTAGTACTCATGTACTACAGTGTGAGTACACAGGTAGGGGTGGCCAGAGGGCCCAGTTAGGAGAACCCTCACTGGGTGGGACCTCAAGAACTCCATGCCAGGGAGAATTCAAATCTCTGAAAGCCCCAGGACACTGGCGGGGGTGGCTAGAGGCCCCGGATGGGAGGTCCCTCACTGGGCCAGACCCCGAGACCTCCATGCCAGAGAGAATTCACATCTCTGTCAGCCCCAGAACACTAGCAGGGTGGTTGCAGGCCCTAGCTGGGAGGTCCTCACTGGGCGGGACCCCGAGACCTCCATGCCAGGGAGAATTGAAATCTCTGTCAGCCCCAGAACATTGGCGGGGGTGGGGGGAGTTGGCTGGAGGCCTGAGTTGAAAGGACCCTCACTGGGCAGGAACTGGAGACCTCCATGCCAGGAAGAATTCAAACCTCTGTCAGCATGAGAACACAGGAGGGGGTGGCCAGAAGTCTCAGTTAGGAGAACCCTAACTGGGTGGGACCTCAAGAACTCCATGCCTGGGAGAATTCAAATCTCTGTCAGTCCCAGAACACCAGTGAGGGTGGCTGGAGGCCCCAGTTGGGTGGTCCCTCACTGGGCAAGACCCCAAGACCTCCATGCCACGGAGAACTCAAATCTCTGTCAGCCTGAGAACACTGGTGGGATTGGCAGGAGACTCTGGCTAAAAGGACCTTCATTGGGTGGGACCTTGAGAACTACATGCCAGGGAGAATTCAGATCTCTGTCAGCCCGAGAACACCGGTGGGGGTGGCTGGAGACCACGGTTGAGAGGTCCCTCACTGGGCAGGACCTCAAGACCTCCATGCCAGGGAGAATTCAAATCTCTGTCAGCCCCAAAACACTGGCAGGGGTGGCTGGAGGCCGAGGTCCTTCACTGGGCCAGACCTGGAGACCTCCATACCAGGGAGAATTCAAATCTCTGTCAGCCCGAGAACACCGGTGGGGGTGGCTGGAGGCCCCGGGTGGGAGGTCCCTCACTGGGCGGGACCCCAAGACCTCCATGCCAGGGAGAACTCAAATCTCTGTCAGCCCCAGAACACTGGCGGGGGTAGCTGGAGGCCCTAGTTGGGAGGTCCTTCACTGGGTCAGACCCCGAGACCTCCATGCCAGGGAGAATTCAAATCTCAGCCCCAGAACACTGGCGGGGGTGGCTGGAGGCCCCGGGTGGGAGGTCCCTCACTGGGCGGGACCCCAAGACTGCCATGCCAGGGAGAACTCAAACCTCTGTCAGCCCCAGAACACCAGTGGGGTTGGCTGGAGACCCCAGATAAAAGGACCCTCATTGGGCAGGACCTCAAGAACTATGTGCCAGGGAGAATTCAAATCTGTCAGCCTGAGAACACCAGGGGCGGGTGGCTGGAGGCCTGAGTTGAAAAGACCCACACTGGGCAGGAAGTGGAGACCTCCATGCCAGGAAGAATTCAAATCTCTGTCAGCATGAGAACACAGGTGGGGGTGGCCAGAGGCCCCAGTTAGGAGAACCCTTACTGGGCGGGACTTCAAGAACCAAGAACTGCTTACCTGGGAGAATTCAAATCTCTGTCAGCCCCAGAACACTGGCGGGGGTGGCTGGAGGCCCTGGTTAGGAGATCCCTCAGTGGGCCAGACCCCAAGACCTCCATGCCAGGGAGAATTCAAATCTCTGTCAGCCCCAGAACACTGGCGGGGGTGGTTGCAGGCCCCTGTTGGGAGGTCCCTCACTGAGCAGGACCCTGATACCTCCATGCCAAGGAGAATTCAAATCTCTGTCAGCCCCAGAACACTGGCAGGGGTGGGGGGAGTTGGCTAGAGGCCTGAGTTGAAAGGACACTCACTGGGCAGGAACTGGAGACCTCCATGCCAGGAAGAATTCAAACCTCTGTCAGCATGAGAACACAGGTGGGGGTGGCCAGAGGTCCCAGTTAGGAGAACCCTAACTGGGTGGGACCTCAAGAACTCCATGCCTGGGAGAATTCAAATCTCTGTCAGCCCCAGAACACTGGCGGAGGTGGCTGGAGGCCCCGGTTGGGAGGTCCCTCACTGGGCGGGACCCCAAGACCGCCATGCCAGGGAGAACTCAAACCTCTGTCAGCCCCAGAACACTGGTGGAGGTGGCTGGAGGCCCCAGTTGGGAGGTCCCTCACTGGGCAGGCAGGACCTAAAGACCTCCATGCCAGGGAGAACTCAAATCTCTGTCAGCCTGAGAACACCGGTGGGATTGGCTGGAGACCCCAGCTAAAAGGACCCTCATTGGACAGGATCTTGAGAACTACATGCCAGGGAGAATTCAGATCTCTCTCAGCCTGAGAACAGCAGGGGCGGGTGGCTGGAGGCCACGGTTGAGAGTTTCCTCACTGGGCAGGACCTCAAGACCTCCATGCCAGGGAGAATTCAAATCTCTGTCAGCCCCGGAACACTGGCGGAGGTGGCTGGAGGCCCCAGTTGGGAGGTCCCTCACTGGGCAAGATCCTGAGACCTCCATGCCAGGGAGAACTCAAATCTCTGTCAGACTGAGAACACCGGTGGGGGTGGCTGGAGACCCCAGCTAAAGGGACCCTCATTGGGCAGGACCTTGAGAACTACATGCCAGGGAGAATTCAGATCTCTGTCAGCCCCAGAACACCAGCGGGGGTGGCTGGAGGCCACGGTTGGGAGGTCCCTCACTGGGCCAGACCTTGAGGCCTCCATGCCAGGGAGAATTCAAAACTCTGTCAGCCCCAGAACACTGGCAGGGGTGGCTGGAGGCCTCAGTTGGGAGGTCCCTCTCTTGGCAGGACCTCAAGACCTCCATGCCAGGGAGAATCCAAATCTGTCATCCTGAGAACACTGGCGGGGTTGGCATAGCAAGGTGCTCTACCAAAATGTGGCCACACTGGGTCTTTAAGAAGGTCTGTGATCCATTCCTCCTCACTGGGCAGGACCTCCCAACCAGGGCCTCCAGCCACCCCCACCAGTGTTCTCGGGCTGACAGAGATTTGAATTCTCCCTGGCATGGAGGTCTGGAGGTCCTGCCCAGTGAGGCACCTCCCAACCGGGGCCTCCAGCCACCCTCACCAGTGTTCTGGGGCTGACAGAGATTTGAATTCTCCCCGGTATGGAGGTCTCGAGGTCCCGCCCAGTGAGGGACCTCCCAACAGGGGCCTCCAGCCACCCCCGCTGGTGTTCTCAGGCTGACAGAGATTTGAATTCTCTTTGGGATGGAGGCCTTGAGGTTCCATTCAGTGAGGGACCTCCCAATAGGGGCCTTGAGCCACTCCCGACAGTGTTCTGGAGCTGACAGAGATTTGAATTCTCCCTGGCATGGAGGTCTTGGGGGTCTGGCCCAGTGAGGGACCTCCCAACCGGGGACTTCAGCCACCCCCGCCAGTGTTCTGGGGCTGACAGAGATTTGAATTCTCTCTGGCATGGAGGTCTCGGGGTCTGGCCCAGTGGGGGACCTCCCAACTGGGGCCTCCAGCCACCCCCGCCAGTGTTCTGGGGCTGACAGAGATTTGAGTTCTCCCTGGCATGGAGGCCTGGAGGTCCAGCTCAATGAGGGTCCTTTCAGCTGGGGTCTCCAGCCACCCACACCGGTGTTCTCAGGCTGACAGAGATTTGAATTCCTGGAATGAGTTCCCACGCGCAGGAGCAAGGAGCTATCTTTGCTGTTTGTGCAACTTAGTCGTTACAGCCCGCGGGCTCTGGAGAATCCATACCTACCGGGGCAGAAGGGATATATCATCAGCACAGCACAGCTACTCTACAAAATCTTAGAAGGCAGATTCTTTTACCAGGTTCCTGATCCATTCCTCCTTACTGGGCAGGACCTCGACAACTCCTTCCCGGGGAGAATGTAAATCTCTGTCAGCTTGAGAACACCGGTGGGGTGGTGGAGGCCCCAGGTGGGAGGTCCCACCCAGAGAGGAGGAAAGAATCAGGGATCTGCGTAAAGAATCTGCCTGGCCACTATTTGGTAGAGCAGTTGTGATGTGCTGGGGGATCCCTTCCACCCCAATCGTTTTGGACTCTCCAAAGCTGGCCCCACCCTCTCCCCCAGGCCCCAGTTGGAAGGACTCCCACAGGGTGGGAACTCCAGAACTCCCTCCCAGGGAGAATTCAAATTCCTGTCAGCCCCAGACACCGGTGGGGTAGCTGGAGGCCCTGGTTGGGAGGAACAGATTGGGAATCCCCTTAAAGAATCTGTCTGGGGCCGGCCACGGTGGCTCATGCCTGTAATCCCAATACTTCGGGAGGCCCAGCAGAGCGGATCAGTTGAGGTCAGGAGTTCCAGACGAGCCTGGCCAACATGGTGAAACCCCATCTCTACTAAAAATAAAAAAATTCACTGTGCGTGGTGATGAGCACCTGCAGTCCCAGCTACTTGGGAGGCTGAGGCAGAAGAATTGCTTGAACCTGGGATGTGAAGGCTGCAGTAAGCCGAGATCATGCCACTGCACTCCAGCCTGGGTGACAGAGCAAGACTCCTTCTCAAAAAAAAAAAAAAGAAAAAGGAAAAAAAAAAAAGAATCTGGGCACATGTTGGGAGAGCAGCTGTGCTATGCTGGGGATCCCTTCTACCCCATCAGTTTGCACTGTCCAAAGCCCACAGGCTGGAATGTCTGTGCCGCCCAAACAGCAAAGATGGCGGCCAGCTCCTCCCCTGGGAAACTAATCCCAGGCAGCTCCAGCATCCTTGGCACAAGCTGGCAAGTATTGGCTGAAATGACAGGTGCCCTGGAGAAATTTGAAAGGGTTATCCACATACGGTTGCTGATTATTTTCACAATTTTCCTGAGATGTCGTTATCATTCTCTGACTCTCTTGTCTATTATCAGACATTTGGCTCTCAGAGGTGACTTTCTGGCTGAAGAATGTGGATTCGTCACTGTCTTGTGCTCAATGTAGAGGGGGCTCTGTAATTCCAGAAATGTCCATATCTGATGAAAGAAAGCAAAGAAGAATGAAACAAAAAGAGATATGTACCATATTCATATGTAGATTCAATGCTATTAAGATGTCAGTTCTTTCCAATGTATAGATTCAATGCAATTCCAATCTAAATGAAAATGTTTATATGGAGAGGCAAAAGACCTTGAATAGCTAACACCATATTGAAGGAGAAGAACAAACTTGGAGGACAGACACTACTCAATTTCAAGACTTACCGTAAAGCTACAGTAATGGAGACAGTGTGGTATTAGTGAAAGAACAAACGGATAAAATGAGATAGGGAGTTCACAAATAGAAACACATTAATACATTCGATTAATTTTTGACAAAAAAGTAAAGGCATTATGATGATGAAACAGTTTTTTCAGGAAGGGCTGCTGGAATACCTGGATATCCACATGCAAAAAAAATAAATCACAGACCTTACACCCCCACCCAAATTAACTCAAAATGGATCAGCAACATAAATGTACAAAAAACTATAAAATTTATAGAAGGTAATATAGAAGGAAATACAGATTATCTTGGGTTTAATGATGACCTTTAGAAAAAACACCAAAGTTGAAGTCAATAGAAGAAAGAATTGATAAGCTGGACTTGATGAAAATGTAACATTTTTACACCATTAAAGACACTGAAAGAAAAGAGAAACCACAGATGGAAAAAAAAATTTGCCAAAACATATCTGATTAAGAACTATTATTCAAAACATATTGAGCAGTAAAAGACATGAGCTAAAGACCTTAACAAGTACCTCACCAAGTAAATTATACAAATGGAAAATAAGCATATGTAATGAGGCTACACATAATATTTCCTCAGAGAAATGCAACCATGAGATGCCACTGCACACGTATTAGAATAACCAAAATCTAGAACCACTGACAACATCAAACGCTGGCAAGGATGTGGAGCAAGAGGAAACTTCATTCATTGCTTGTGGGAATGCAAAATGGTGCAGCCACTTCTTGAAAGTTGTATTCTATGTACCTCAACAACATGGCCTTCACTGTTCATATTCCTATTATCATTTTGGTCGGCCACTTAACCAAGGTCTAATTAAGTTCCACAAGTTTCCTCATCTTCCTGTCTTCTTTGCCTATTACCCAGTTCCAAAGCAAATTCTGCATTATCAGGTATTTTTATAGCAAAACCCCACTCCTTGGTACTAATTTCTGTGTTAGCAACACAGAATAACACAGAAAAGAGCAACATGGAGAAACACAAATTTTTGTGTTGCTATAAAAAAATAGCTGAGACTAGGTAATTTATAAGGAACAGAGGTTTGTTTGGCTCACAGTTTTGCAGGCTGTAGAAGAAGCATGGCAGTGGCATCTGCGCAGCTTCTGGTCAGGGACCCAGAAGGCTTTTACTTGTGGCTAAAGGTGAAGAGACAAGAGGTATGTCACACATGGCTAGAGAGGTAGGAAGAGAGGGGAGAGGTGCCACACTGTTTTAAACAACCATCTTTCATGTAATGCAGTGAGAACCCACTCATTAGTGAAAAGAGGGCAAAAAGCTATCCAGGAGAGATCAACCACCATGACCCAAACACCTCCCACTAGGTCCCACCTCCAACATTGGGGATCAAATCTCGACACAATATTTGGAGGGTACAAATTTGCAAACAATATCACTCTCTTTTTCTCTTTAACTTTGGACAATTTGATTGTAGTGTATCTTGTTGTGAGTCCCTGGATTCACCTTATTTGGTTTCGTTTGGGCTTTCTGGATCAGGCTTTCTGCTTTCTTCCCCATGCTTGATAAATTCTCTGTCATTAATCCTTTAAACATTTTTCTGTTCCTTTCTTCCTCACTTCTCCTTCAGGCATGCCAATAATGCGTGAGTGGTCCTGCTCGATGGTGTCCCATAACTGTCTAAAGTTGTCTTCACTCTGTTTGCATTATCTTTTTTTCTGATCCTCAGGTTAGATAATTTCCAGTGACCAGTCTTAAAGTTCACTTATAGATTCTATTAATGGACACCTCTATTAAATTTTTTCAGTTCAGTTACAGTACACTTTAGATCTATGATTTGTTTGACATTATTGTGTAATGTTTTTCCTTTTCTTGAAGTTCTCAGCTTGTTCTTGCAAAGCTATCTTGACCTCAGTGATTATTGTTATGACCATTATTTGGAAATCTCTGTCAGATAAATTACATATCTGCACTTCACTCAGGTGCTGGAGATTTATCTTGTTTTCTTACTTTGAATATGTTTCCCTGTTTCTTCATTTTTCCTCGACTCTCTCTGTTGGCTCCTGTGCATTTGATAAGACTGGCCTCATGTAGGAAAAGGATCTCACCAAACTTTCCAGCCAGAGATCTTCAGGTACCTCTCAAATCCTTGTGTGCTCTAGTGTTGACTGTTTTTGTTGGCTCCCTGGAACTTAGGATGTGCCACGCCTTGTCAGTAACCAGAAATTGGTTAAGGTAGGAGCCAGACAATCCAGATGTAGCTAAAAAGTTAGAAGGCTGGAGGAGTGTTTCAGTTCTTTCTAGCTACATGATGAAGATTAGTATGGACATTTATCTCCCACTCTCTCTCCATTAAGCTTGGTAGAGGATCTGTGACAAACACACCTATGCACACTCTGGATGCAGCCTCTGATCCTGAGGAGATAGCTTCTGAATGTGGGCCCATTGTATGCTTACTTCTTTGTTTTCTATGGTCTAAATACACTCAAAAATAAAAAATCCTGTCGATTCACAGAGCAAAGTTGTTAAGAAAACAGTTCCTTGGGCACTAACTACAGAGGTTGTGGAATTTGATGCATAATCAAGCTCCTTCCGGGAAGAATGGGTAGGCTTGGATTTATTACTGGGTTGAAACTGACGTAAGACTGGTAGTGTCAAACTATGGTTCCATCTGCCAGATGAATTATACTTTGTAAGCCACATTAGCCCCCATGATGCCAGTATTTAAATACAAAGCTAGAAATGATTAATAGAGTGAGAAAAGCATGTTGAAAGCTCAGATAGGCTGAAAGCTAGGCAACTTGCATTAAACAGTAAACTAAGCTGTGAATGCAAAAAAAAAAAGTTCTTAAAGGAAATTAAACAGGCTACTCCAATGAATGCAGAAATGATAAGTACAATGGTATTACTGCTGATATGAAGAAAGTTTTAGTGGTCTGGATAGAAAATCAAATGAGCCACAACATTTCATTAAGCCAAAGCTGAATCCAGAGCTAAGCCCTAACATTCTTTAATTCTATGAAGTCTGAGACAGGTGAGGAGGCTGCAGAAGACAAGTTTAAACTAGCAGAGGTTGGTTCATGAGGTTTAAGAAAAGAATCTTCATAACATAAAAGTGCAAGGTGAAGCAGCCAGTGCTGATAGAGAAGCTGCATCAAGTTATCCAGAAGATCTAGCTAAGATCATTGATAAGGGCAGTTATGCTAAATAACAGATTTTCAATGTAGACAAAACAGCATTATACTGGAAGAAGAGGATACCTAAAACTTTCACAGCTATAGAGGAGAAGTCAATGCCTGGCTTCTAATCTTCAGAGGACAGGCTGACTTTCTATGTACTGGCTAATGCAGCTGGTTACATTAAAACATTAAAGGAAGTACTCATTTACCATTCTGCTACATTTTTAAGTTCTTCTAAACCTATGCTACCTATACTCTATAAATGAAACAACAAAGCCTGGATGAAAACACATCTGTTTACAGTATGGTTTACCAAATATCTTAAGCACACTGTTGAGACCTATTGTCCAGAAAACATGTGTGTGTGTTTGTGTGTGTGTATACGTGTATGTGTGTGTGTGTATGTATATATATATGTGTATATATATATGTATATATATATATATCTTTTAAAATATTACTGCTCATTGACAATGCACTCATAACCCAAGAGCTCTGATGGAGTTGTACAAATAGATTAATATTGTTTTCATGCCTGCTAACACAGCATTCATTCTGAAGCCCATGGATCAAGGACATTTTATTATTTAAGAATACATTTTGTAAGCCTATAGCTGCCATAGACAATGATTCTTCTGCGTATCTGCACAAGGCAAATTAAAAATCATTTGGATTTTTTTAGAAAGCAATCACTATTCTAGATGAAATTAAAGATATTTGTGATTCCTTGGAGGAGGTCAAAATATGAAGTTTGGAAGAAGTTGATTTCAGCCCTCATAGATAGCTTGGAGGGTTTCAAGACTTCAGTGGAGGAAGTAACTGTGAGTGTGGTGGAACTAGCGAGAGAACTAAGTAAAATTGGAGCCTGAGCCTGTGACTGAATTTCTGCAGTTTCATGATCAAACTTGAATGTACTAAAAGTTGTTTCTTATAGCCCCATCCATCTGAGATGGAATCTATTCCTTGTGAAGACACTGTTGAAATGACAAAAAAAAAAAACACCTATCTTATTATACAAACTGAGTTGATAAAGCGGTGGCAGCATTAGATAGGATCGACTCATTTTGAAAGGTGTTCTACTGTGAAGTAAAATGCTATCCAACAGCATGGCACACTACAGATAAACCTTTCATCAAAGGAATCAAGGAGTCAACTGATGCAGCAAACTTTACTCTTGTTTTATTTTAAGAAATTGCCACAACCACCTCAATCTGCAGCAACCACCACCTTAATCATGCAGCAACCACCACCTTAATCATTCAGCAGCCATCAACACAGAGGAAAGACTCTTTATCAGCAAAAATTAAAATTCACTGAAGGCTCAGATGATCATTTGCATTTTTAGCAATAAAGTAGTTTTTAAAGTATGTAATTGTAGACATAAGGCTATTGCACATTTTATAGACTATGGTATAGTATAAAAAACTTTTATATGCAGTGTAAAACCAAAAATTCAAGTTCTTGTTACATTGTGGTTGCCTGGAACCACACCTGCAATATCCCTGAAGTATGCCTGTACAAGAAAATATGGATAACATACTAAAATAAATTTGGGAAAAAATTCATTAACAGAATGATAGTTCTGAAGTAGAAATAGATATGATAACAAAAAACAAATAGAAATTCTAGATATAGAGAATACAACAAACTAAAAATTTAATACAATGCTTCAGCAGCTGATTTTATTAGCAGAAAAAAAGAATCAGTGAGCTTACAGAAAAAACATTTGAAATGATTCCATCAGGGGAAAAACAACAACAAAAAAGAATAACAAATGCATATGGCAATTATGGGACTCAATCAAACAACCCAACTTTCATATAATATCAGTTTCTGAAGGAGAAGAAAAAGAAAAAGGCCTAGAAAGCATATTTAATGAAATAATGACTAAAAATTTCCCAAACATGAAGAATGATGACAACACTGAGGTATGAAAACTGCAGAGGTCATGAATCCATTTCAATCCAAGAGGCATTTATCAACACACATCACAATGAAGTTATTAAAAATGAAAAACAAAGAATACTGAAAACAGCAAAAAAACAAGAAATACATCACATTCAAGGGAGCTTCAATATGGCTTTCAGTGGATTTCTCTGCAGAAAACCCTACAGTCCACAAGAGAGAGGGATGATGTATTCAAAATGCTAAAGCAGACAAGCAAGCAAACAAACAAAAATGCCAATCAACAATACTGTTCCCGGCCGGGTGAAGTGGCTCATACCTGTAATCCCAGCACTTTGGGAGGCCGAGGCAGGTGGATCAGGAGGCCAGGAGTTCAAGACCAGCCTGGCCAACATGATGAAACCCCATCTCTACTAAAACTACAAAAATTAGCTGGGCATGGTGGCATGGGCCTGTAATCCCAACTACTTGGGAGGCTGAGGCAGGAGAATTGCTTGAACCTGGCAGGCGGAGATTGCAGTGAGCAAGCTTGAACCTGGGAGGTGAGATCACACCACTGCACTCCAACCTGGGTGACAGAGCAAGACTCCATCTTGAAAAAAAAAAAATTCTGTGCCTAGCAAAGCTGTCCTGTAGAAATGAGGGAGAGGGAGATATAAAAACCTTTCTATACAAAAAAAAACTAATAAAGTTTATAATCAATATCCCTGTTTGATCAGAATTACTAAAGGAAGAGCCTTACATTGAAATAAAAGCCTAAATAGTAAGAAAAAAACATATAAAAGTAAAAAGCTTCAATGCTATCAGTAATACACAGTCATGCTTAAAATGCTGTAATATTCTAAGGGTGGTTTGTAAAGCAATTTTATCCCTACTAGTAGGGTTAGCAGACAAAGGTACTGAAAATAACTGTAGCTACAATAAATTGTTAAGGTATATAAATATGAAATAAAAGGGTAAGTTTTGACAAAATTGTACAATTGTATGGGAGAGAGAATGAAAATGTAGACTTTTGGATGCAATTAAAGAGAAGTTGCTATCAGAAGTTGTTAGAGTAGTTTGTTATAAGAATATGATATTTTAGGTAAGTTTCATGATAACCACAAAACAAAACCTATCATAACTGCACAAAATAAAAAAGTTTATTTTGCAATTTATCCAAAATTTTAAAGCATACCACCACAGAAAGCCATCAAGCTATAAAATAGTTCAGCAAGAGAGAAAAAGGGAACAAAGAACTCATAAAACAATCAGAAAAAAAATTACAAAGTGGCAGTAGCAAGTCCTTCCCTATAAATAATTACCTTGATAGTAAGTGCATTACATTGTCAAATAAAAGGACATAGAGCATCTCAATGGATAGAATAAAAAACAAGATTCAATCATGTGCTGCCTACAAGAGACTCACTTTACCAGTCAAGACATATATAGGCTGAAACTGAAAAGATGAAAAAAGATATTCCATGCAAATGCAAACTAAAATAGAGCAGGGGAGCTATACTTATTATTAAAAGAAATAAACTAAGTCAAAACCTATAAAAGAGATACGGTTCACTGCATAATGATAAAGGAGTTAATTCATCACGAAGACATAATACTTGTAAATATATATGCACTCAAGGTCACAAGACCTAAATTCATAAAGCAATTATTAAATAATCTCATGAGAAAAATATACTGCAATACTATAATAGTAGGAGACCTCAATACCCCAATTTCAACCATGGAAAGATCATTTAGAAAGATAATAAATTAAGAAACATTAGATTTGAATTATACTTTGGAGCAACTGGATCTAACAGATATACCCAGAACATCCTATCCAACAGCAGAAGTGTACCTGTTCTTCTGAAATGTGAGTGGAACATTCTCCAGTATATATCATATGTTAGGCCACAAAACAGATCTTAACAAATATTAGAGAATTGAATTATAGAAAGAAAATTTTTGCATCCCAATGGCATAAAGCTAGAAATCAGTAACACAAGAAATCTTGAAAAATACATAAAATGGCAAAATTTAACATATTAATAAATGGCCCATGAGTTACAGAAAAAATTAAAAAACGTATTTTAAGACACACAAAAATGAAAACACAACATACCAAAACTTATAGAATGTAGTTAAATAAATCATTATACCTCAATGAACTAGATGAGAAACAAAGCCAAGAATTAGCAGAAATAAGAAAATAGCAAAGATTAAAGTGGAAATAAATAAAATAGATATGAGAAACCCAATGGAAAGAATTAATACTGAACTTCTTTTTAAGGCGATAAACAAAATCAACCAATCCGTATCTAGACTAACTAGAAAAAGGACTATTCCAACAAATAAGATCAGAAATGAAATAGGAGAAAATACAACTTAACTCTAAAATACAAAGGATTACAATTGTTCATATAATGAACATTTGTATGCCAACAATTTGGATAACATAGAAGAAATAAAAACATTTCCACAAATATACAACTTACCAAGACTGAATCAAGAAGAAACAGAAAATCTGAATGGACTAATAAATAATAAGGAAATTGAAGCAGAATTTCCTTTTTTTTTTTTGAAGCGGAGTTTTGCTTTTGTTGCCCAAGGTAGCGTGTAATGGCACAATCTCGGCTAACTGCAGCCTCCACCTCCCAGGTTCAAGCAATTCTCCTACCTCAGCCTCCCAAGTAGCTGGGATTACAGGCGCCCACCACCACACCCATCTGATTTTTTTGTATTTTTAGTAGAGACAGGGTTTCACTACGTTGGCCAGGCTGGTCTCGAACTCCAGACCTCAGGCAATCCACCCACCTCAGCCTCCCAAAGTGCTAGGATTACAGGCATGAGCCACCAAGCCCGGCCTGAAGCAGAAATTAAAAGCCTCCCATGAAAGAAAAGCATAGGACCAGAAGGCTTCACTGCTAAATTCTGACAAACCTTTAAAGAACTAATAAAAATTACTCTCAAACTCTTTCAAAAAAGTGAAATAGAGGAAATACTTCCAAACTCATTTTATTAGGCTACCATCATTCTGATACCAAAGACAGACAAGGACACTACAAGAGACGAAAATACTAGGCCAATGTCAGTAATGAACCCTGATGCAAAAATCTTCAACAAAACATTAGCAACCAAATTTAAGAATATATGAATGGAATCATTCACCATGATCAAGTGGGATTCATCCTTTGGATGCAAGTTGGTTTCAACATATGCATATGAATACATGTGATAAAATGCATGAACAAAGTCAAAGACAAAAATCGTACGATTCTCTGAATACATGCAGAAAAAGCACATGACAAAATTTAAAACCTTTTCATGATGAAAGCTCTCAACAAAACAAGTGTACAGAAAATGTATCTCGACACAAAAAAGAACCATGTATGACAAGCTCTTAGCTAATGTTATTCTCAACGTGAAAAGTTGAAAGCTTTTCCTCCATGTTCAGGGACAACACAATGATGACCACTCTCACCACTTCTTTTCATCGTTAACAGTGGAATTCCTAGGCAGAACAATTAGACAAGAAAAGAAAAGAAAAGCATCCTACTCAGAAAAGAAATGTGAAATTATCTCTAATTGCAGACAACATGATCCTGTATACAGAAAACCCTAAATATTCCACCAAAAACTGTTAGAACTGATGCATGAATTCAATAAGGTTTCAGGATACAAAATAATCTAACAAAGATCAGAAGTGTTTCTGTATACAAATAACAAACTACCTGAAGAAATTTTTAAAAAATCCCAAGTACGATAGCAACAGAAATTAAATACTTAGGTGTAAATTTAAGCAAAAAATTAAAAGTCCTGTATATGAAAAACTATAAAACACCAATGAACAAAAATTTAAAAACACAAGTAAATGAAAAAAAAAAATTCATGCTTGTGGATGGGATGAATTAATATTGTGATAATGAACAAAATACCAAAAGCAACATATTTGATGCAATCACTATCAAAATTCCAATGCCATTCTTTTACAGAAATGGAAAAAAATCTTGACATTTGTATTGAACAGACCTAAAATAGACAAAATAATCTTGAGCAAAAAGAACAAAGCTAGAGACAGCCTGCTACCTAATTTTATTACATATTGTAAAACAATTGTAATCCAAATAGCATGGTAGTGGCATATAAATGGACAAACTGGCTAAACAAAATGGAAAACCCAGAAATAAACCCACACACAGTCAACTTATCTTTGACAAAGGTGCCAAGGACATACAATGGTTAAAGGATAGTCTGTTCTACAAATGGTGTTGAGAAAACTGAATATCCACAGGAAAAATAAAGTTAGTCCCTTAACTTACACCATATACTAATATCAACTCCAAATGAAGATTTAAATAGAAGGCCTGAACTGTAAAATTACTAGAAGAAAACATAGAGTTAAAGCTCCACAACACTGGTCTCAGCAATACTGTTTTTGATGTAACCCTGATAGCAGTCAACAAAAGCAGAAATAGACAAATTTCTTGTGGCTTAGTTTTGAATTTCTGGTCATTTACTCAATCTGGTCATTACTTTCCCACACTTCATGGTTACAAGTAAGCCAAGAGGTGGATCCACCTTCCTACTGCAGTATCTGAAAATCACTGTCTGTTCTATCCTCGGCCTGACCCTCTCTGGCATTCTTGGGATCTACATTTTGATGGAAATGTAATGCTCTGGAACCCTAGGCATATATGAACCAGAAACACGTATGCAGACTCTACTTACAGACAGCAACATAGTTGGAAATATATTAATCACAGTTGGATAGGAACAAATATTTTATATCTCTTTCTTAGAGATCTGGATTCCACTAAAACGGATTCATGGATGTCAGGGCATTAGGGGTGTGGATTGATAACAAACCTCTCCTTTTTCAGTGCCAAACAAACTTAGAAATAAAAACAAGAGGTCAGATCAATATCCAAATACATTATTCCTCCTAAAGCTGATTTAGAAACTATGGCTTAATGTTGACCAAAAAAGACTTCTAATATTGCCCCCTAGCCTTGACTTTAGAACCTGAACAAAAAAAAGTTCATCTGAAGAACAGTCAGTTACCCACCCAGTGCAGGGAGGGTCTTCACCTGCCTTCCACTTCTCCTGTTCAGAATCCAGAGGAGAAAGAGAGACTAGATGTACTCATTGATCACTGAGTAAGTTTGCCTTACTAATAGGCAAACGTGGACCAATGGATTTGATGGGACCAATGGATAAGATTTCCCATCCACCAAATAAATCACATCTTCTCCTGGCTCTGGGAATGAGCCAGATAAAGGTGAAGAGTTGGCAGTGTTTCTACTCAATATTTGTGAGAAGACCGAAGGTGTTGTCAATGGGTAGACAGAAATGGAATGAGGTGGGAAAGTTTTACTCGTTTGACCAACTTCTTTTCATTCATGTAGTATATGCTGAAGGTAACCGCTAGAAGAATTGACTTCTGGAAAGATGATTTCCCTCACAATTGCTTGATCTTGAGTATTTTTATTTTTGTGTTAAAGAACTGATGTTGGTTTGTGTACACTGAAATAATGGGGGGAAGCTCTGTATGGACGGAAAAGAAAGTTTCCTTTCTTTTCAGAGCTTTCTGTTCAGGTTATCGGAGTCTCCCTATTCATGGGATGAGTGTCCACAACAAACTCCACAATCCTGTGTCTGGTCATTGAAGGTATGTATCAGAGTGACACTTGGAAGCATGGTATAAAGAGGAAATATGCATTTGTCAAATGAAAAATTAAAATATAAAAAAAGTTTAAAAGGAAAAACAGAATGAGAAGGGCAGGGGCTTGATTAGAGTTTTGTTAACTGGGACAAACATTGCAGTTTTAGTCAAATATTGCCATCTTTGTAGTGGAAGACTTTGACATGTAAGTTCTAGATTATACTTTCATTTATAAATAACTGTGTAGCTTAATGAGATGGCCCCTGTTAGTATCTTAGGCCATCTATTGAAGGTTTACTAAATTCTTCCAAAGCATGTGAGTCTGCTCCTCAGCAAAGCAGTGACAAACCTGCTTTTCCCTGGTTTCCCCAACGGTGTAAAAGCTTATTAAAGAATTCCTGAACAATATAAAGTTCTCTCAGAAAGACGGAACTTCCCAAGCTCTTGTCTCAGGAGAGAATGTGGATTATAGAAAGATTGTGGGTGTGAGTGGAGTGGGAAGTTATTTAGGTAGTAAGATTTTCAGGCTTGGCGCAGTGGCTCACACCTGTAATCCCAGCACTTTGGGTGGCCGAGGCGGGCAGATCACAAGGTCAGGAGATGGAGACCATCCTGGCTAACAGGGAGAAACCCCATCTCTACTAAAAATACAAAAAAAAACTAGCTGGGAACCTGTAGTCACAGCTACTCGGGAGGCTGAGGCAGGAGAACCGCATGAACCCAGAAGGCGGAGCTTGCAGTGAGCCAAGATCTCGCCACTGCACTCCAGCCTGGGTGACAGAGCCAGACTCCGTCTCAAAAATAATAATAATAAAAAAAAAAAGTTAAAGAGGCCAAGAAACATCATTTAAAACATGATATAAATTTTCATCAGACATAAAAGATACAAAAATATTTTCATTTAATAAATACTTTTGCATGTCACACATTTAATGGGAAACAAAATATCATGTTAACAGCCTAGTAATACAATTTTATTGTCTTTTAGATTTTTTTTGTCAGCACGTATTCTTTCTGTTTTGTTTTGCATTTGAGATGGAGTCACTCTGTTGCTCAGGCTGGAGTGCAGTGGCATGATCTTGGCTCACTGAAACCTCTGCCTCCCGGGTTCAAGTGATTCTCCCACCTCAGCTTCCCGAGTAGCTGAGACTACAGGCATGCACCACCACACCCAGCTAATTTTTGTGTTTTTAGTAGAGACAGGATTTCACCATATTGGCCAGGCTGGTCTTGAACTCCTGACCTCAAGTGGTCCACCTGCACTGGCCTCCCAAAGTGCTGAGAATACAGGCATGAGCCACTGCAGCCAGACAGCACATATTCTTGTTATGCTTTTAAAACTAGGTATTGATTTAGATTTTACTCATTAGTAGATTCTAGTGCAGAAGCTATAGAGCAGCAGTCCCCAGCCTTTTTGGCACCAGGCAGCAGTTTTGTGAAAGATAATTTTTCCACAGATGGGGGTTTGGGGGATGGTTTCAGGATGGTGATTCAAGCGTATTACATCTATTGTGCACTTTATTCCTATTATTACTACATTGTAATACATAATGAAATAATTACACAACTCATCATAATGGAGAATCAATGGGAGTCCTGAGCTTGTTTTTCTGTAACTAGATGGTCCCATCGTGAAGAGAAAGGAGACAATGACATATCATCAGGCATTAGAGTCTCATAAGGAGCATGTGACCTAGATCCCTTGAACGTGCAGTTCACAATAGGATTTTCACTCCTGTGAGAATCTAATGGCTTTGCTGATCTGACAGGAGGCAGAGCTCAGGTGATAATGTGAGCAACGGGCAGTGGCTGGAAATACAGATGAAGCTTCACTCGCTTGCCTGCCACTCACCTCCTGCTGTGCAGCCTGGTTCCTAACAGGTCATGGACCTGTCTGTGACCTGGGGGTTGGGGACCCCTGCTATAGAGGATTCAGATTTAAATTCAGAAGTTACAATGAAAAAGAATTATATTCTTTATCTAAATGATTTCACAGTTAACTAAGAGAAAGTCAGTATATGTTGAAAAGTTTATCAGTGTTAATAAGAATGAAAAATATGTACAATATGCAATTACTATTAAATATAATTTGCCCATAGTTGCACACTGAATTCATTATCATGGCAGTTAAGTATCAGAGCTTCTGGTTTCTCACTCTTCATTCATGTATTCAGCAACCATGTGCTAAGGTACTAGGACAAGCACTGGAATTACAAGATAAAGATGATACAGTCCACCCCTCAACAACTGTATGCTATAATCTGAAAAAACAAACAGGCAATTCCCGTACAGAGTCATACATACAATGACAGGCATAAGACAGCACTTATTGGAAGACATAGAAGGGATACTAGCCCAGGTTTGTGTCAATATTGTAGGCTTTTTGGTAGAGGCAATTCATAGGTTGATATCTGAAGGGGAAGGAAAACACATGTAGGATAGAGGGAAGAAGTAAATGCAAACAGCTGGAGGTGAAGACGATCACTGTGGAGCTCCATGTAGTCTAGTTTGGCTGGATGCTAGAACAAAGGTGCAGAGTATGGTAAGTGGCGAAAGATAAGGCTGAATAACTTGACAAGAACCACACTGATGTGAGAGTTTTGATTCCATGCTAAGGAATTTTCAACTTTTCCCACGGGCAAAAGTAAACCAATGACAAAGTCAATGACTAGAGATTTAAAATGTCACTGGTCAAGTGACTGCTTGTGACCTGTAATTGCTTAACTAATTATTATCACGAGTGTGGGGTCTGTTAGCCTTAAATCACTACCTTAACCTTGAGAAGTTGACGATGCCTTTGTTTTGTGAGAACAGTTTCAGTTTGCAGGCTGATAGTTCTATAGGGGTGGCAGAAGAAAAGTGTAGGGCCAGAAAAAAAGGGATACACAGACTTCTTGCGATTTTTTAAAGCTATGGAACATGATGAATTAACAAAGCATAAGTATTACCCTTCACTATGAATGTTTATGTTTTCACATCTTTCACTAGATGTGTGTAAGAAAAAATATTTAATGTAGCATTTATTAACCAAGCAATTGAGAGGGAATACCGTTCACTACTTAGAGTTTATTTCAGAAATCAATGATTGGAATTTAATTCATAAATTTTGGCAACATACCTTCATCTAGCTCTCAAACACCTGCAGCATCTGAAATAAATCAAATATTACTTATAATGTTTCAGTCAAACAAGAGACATTATCATGTAAACCCACTGTAAGTCAAGGAGCATCTGTACTGTAGATTGATCATCCCTAATCTAAAAATCTGAAATCCAAAATGCTCTACAATCTGAAACTTTTTGAGCACGGACATGACACCACAACTGCAACATTCCACACCTGACCTCATGTGACAGGCTCTGGGGAAAACAGTAAAAACTTTCTTACCTGCAAAAAATTACTGTAAAACATTGTAGAGAATTACCTTCAGGCTATGTGCATAAGGTATATATGAAACATAAATGAATTTCATGTTTAGACTCAGGTACCATCCGCAAGATATTTCATTAGGTATATGCAAATATTCCAAAATCTGAAAAAAATCTACTTTTGGCCCCAAGCATTTTGGACAAGGGATATTTAACCCGTCCTACTGGAAAAATAAAATTCCTTTTCAGTATGACAGAAATTAAGAAATCAGCTTACCAAACTTGAATGCTGCAGGATTTTCTCAAACCGCTCAATTTGTTCATCCTGTTTTTTAATAATTTTTCTCATCATGACATTTTCTACTTCAAGCCTAAAATGTGCATTTTAAAATAATTACTCTCACACATAATTGTTTTTAAATCATGTAAATTCTAAACAAACTTCTGAAGGTATAATTACACAAATTCTTAGCAATCACAAAAGTAGACGATTGGGCTACTGTGTCATTTTTCTACCTGTGTTTTGTTGATAATATGCAAAATTTAGGAATAATGTAGAAAAATGATGTATGTCAATATAGCTTACAGATGAAACTTTTTTGGCTTCACAAAGACATACTAATTATCATAACTGATACAATTTTCATACTACAGTGCTCCTTTGCTTTATAAATACTCAAGTTATTTTGTGTGCTGCTTCAAATTTTACTTTTGTGCGTCGCCTTCCATCTCCTTAGTACATCTTATAGTAGCTGTAAGTTGATCCTGTATTTCTTGAAACTAAAACAAAGAATTTTAAAAAATTACATTTGGAAATGACCTAAATGTCCATCAGTAGATGAATGAATCAACAAAATGTATATAAAATATTTTAGACTATCAGAATCTTTTTTATTTATAAAAGGTCATAATCTAGGAGAAGTCATCCCATTACCTGTTTTTTGTAATTAATTTTAGTGGGACACTGCTACACCCCTTCAGTCTGCATATTGTTCATGGCTACTTTTGTGCTGTAACTGCAGGGCTGAGTTATTGCAACAAGGATCTTATGGCTCACAAAGCCTTAAATAATACTATCTGGCCCTTTACAGAAAAGTTCACAGACCCCTGCTCTAGGACTAAAACACAACATTCTTCTTGCTTTTGAATTACATTTTATCAGTTAAATACTCAAACTTACAAACTGGTAAAATGTGGAAAGATAAAGGATTACATCAGGCTAAGCATTTATATTTTGAATTCCAAACACTACCACATCAACTATAATTTTATTTTTTGTATGTATGCATTTAGTTTTATTATAGCAAAGCAACTTGCACATTTTTAAATATTTAAAACTAAGCGTCATCTTTTCTTTCTAGGGAAACAACAAGAAAATTTAAAAACAAGCAGGAACAAAATTAAAATCGACAAAGTCAGTTCCAAATAAGATCCTACAGGATATTATTGACTCTCCCATTGAATAGCAGGACTCAGGTCATCATTAGGAGAGAAGTAATTTAAAAGCATCATCTTAAACTGCAAAGGTGTCCATTAAACATGCCAAAGGAGAAGCCCTGTTGTCTAAATGCCCACTTAACCAACCCAAACATCTCAAACCCATCCTTTGCTGACCTTCTATAACCCCCTTTTTAGTTTAGCTTTTTCTACAAATAAGAGAAAATAGATACATGTTGGCAAATGCGAACTGTCCATATTCATATAGAGACAGAGTGTGCTCTCTGAGCCCAATACAAAAGGAGTAACGATTTTCATCGAAATAAAAATTTATTCAGTAAAATGGCCTTTCTGAACAAATTAACCTGAAATCTATGAAATAAGTATACACAGGTTCTTTATACATTCAGAAAAGTAGAGACTAAAAAGAAGATAATTTTCTGAAACATTCCATTAGACATTATCCTCTGAATTAATCTGGCTTGCCTCACCATGCCAATAGAGAAATCATTAAAAATAGACGTTTAACAGGAAAAAAACTCTCTCAATTTCTGTGAGAAATGATGCATAATTCTCAACTTTCCTAAGGTTAAATATTTAAGAAAAAAATATATGTATAAAAAATGGCAGAATGAAAGCCAGAGATTAAGATATAGGTGCATTATAATAAAATCTTAATAAAATTAATAATAAGGAAAATACAGAAGAAAGCCATCCACTATAAAATTTTAATAACATTAATTATCATAAAAATACAAAAGAAAGCCATCCACTAAAATTAGTACCCCAAAACACTTTATATTAGTTAACTAGCTACAGATTAACAGTTGTTGGTGTGCAAAGTTGCATACATACTTGACTTCTCATCTGGTCTAATTTCTTCCTTGAATCCTGCATCCCATTTTCTAAATAGATGCAGTGACGCGATGAAGCATCCAGCAAAGCTTTTGTTGCTGATCGTTTGTTTAAGACATCATCTTGTTTTTGTTGAAGCTGTCTCACAGCTACCTGATAAGATGTTATTTTTGTTACTGATTTTACAAATCACCTTATTATTAAACCATTAATAATATTTAACTCTAAAGCATACGCTTTGAAAAATATCACCACACAGACCGATTCACCTTCTTTTCCTCATGTGTACACATTCCCGTGTATTACTGAATCCAGTTAAGGATACAGAAGGTGTTATCTTCCTGCCAAACTGGTATTGTTATTCACACAACATATTCAGCCCACTAGTCATTCCTCCCTTGATGAATCTGCAATGCTTAAAAACCTTCTGAAGTCTCAAAAAGAAATGAGTATGTGGGTGAGACTGACGGTAGTAAATTATACATTGTGGAATGATTTCCCTCTTTTTTTAAATTAGAAACTCAAATCAACCTCAGAGTTCCTCACATTAAATCATCTGCTTAAATCCTTCCAATAGATGTCTATCTCAGAAGAAAAGTAAAATTCCAGTGGCCTTAGATGCTCTAAGTAACCCGCCCTCCACCTCCCGCCCTGACTCAGCTGCTATATCTCTCCTCCGTACTCACTCCATTCCTACTCTACGTGAATCCTGCCACTCCTCGTTAGTCTGAAATCCTCCTTAGTCTGAGAATGGGGATCCAGTGTCAAACTAATAAATCACAGATAGCTATGCCTCTCTTTGTCCTGGACAAAGTTATATCCAAATGATAGTAATTGAGCCTTGAAATAAAAATTATGAGCAAATTTTTTATTTAAAAACTGAAAGTAAATTATAAATGTCAGTGGGAAGATTAAATCAAACATGATTTGGCTAAAATTTACTGCATTTTCCCCATATTATAATAGAAGTAAAATTAGATGCCTTGAAAGAATAGAATGATCATATCTATACATAATTTGAGATTGAAATAGTTTCAGATTTAAGTCAAATTGACATGAAGAAAAACAAAATTTTACCAACTAAGACATATTTAAAGCTACTGAAGAAAAGTAATTATGAAATAGGGAATACACTTCAGTTCATCTAGGAAATCTGAAATTCACTGTCAAAGTACCCCACTTAATTGAATCAATTTCAAAATACCATTTTAGGTATGAGCATTTCCATATACCTGATTTATCATGGTCTTAAAATGTTGCAACATAAATACATTAAAATTATTATTTCAGCAGTATAAGACTACATTATTAATGTTAGTCTATATTAACATTTTAAAACTTAAAATTTTATAAGTGACACATTAACTTTAATCAGAGGAAAGCATCTCTCAGTTCTAACTTTGACTTGCTGGAGACAAGGAATGTTTCTAAGCAGATATATTTATCATATGTATCCTTTTTTATATTCAACTAGATCCAACATTCAGCTGTAACCAAATATTACTTTAAATTTTACTTCAGGAAGTTTGAAAAATACTTATTTTTCTTGATACTTACTTCTCTTTCTGCTTTCTCTTTTTCATATTGGCATTTTTTTTCTTTCGAATGATTCAATTCATTCACCAACATTTTATTGTCTTCTTCTAGTAAGAGACGGTGCTTTCTGCACTCAGCTTGAAGGTTTTCTACTCTAGCATCACATCTGGCTTGAATATTAAGTATTGCTTTTTCTTGATTGTCAGCTTTGTTGCGAGCATCATCCAGTTGCTGTTGAAGCAACATATTTTGTTTTTTTAGTTGACAAAATCTTTCCTGCTTTTCTATGCATTTTTCCATTGTATTGTATCCACTTTTGTACATTTTTTCAATGTCCTTCATTTGACTCTGTTTTTGCTTTAGCTCACTTTGCACGTGTTCAAAAACCAAAGCCTTTTCTTTCAGAGCCTCTCCTGTGTAATGGAGCTCAGTTTCGAGGACTCTGAACTTACTCTCAGCTTTAGAAAGTTGCAGAGAAAGAATCAGAACATGAGAATTCAAATTTTCCTGTAAATGACAACATTTATCTACTGTGCCCTGGAAAGCAAGCTCTTGGTCTCTTTTTGATGAGTGACTTTGATCATGATCACATAGAGCAGCATTCAGTCTACAACGGTATGATTGCATTTCTGTTTCCAGTCTTTGCCCGCTCTCTCTTTGCTTCTCCAGTTTAGAACGGAGCGTTGTGTTTTCATCCGTCAGAGCAGCAAGCTGTCCACTATAACAGGCTATCGTTTCTGCTAATGTTTCCTCATTCCGTTTTAGAGCCTTTTGAAGGTCTTCATGCTTTCTTTTCACAATTTCAAAGTCTTTTAAGTATTTCTTTTCCAGGTTTTGGTTTTTTATTGTGTCTTTTTCCAGCCTGAGCCTGGCAATTTCATCTTGCATCAAGCGGTTTTCATGCAGCAGGTCTTCTTTTTCATCAGTTTCAGAAACCTAAGTAAAACAAAGCAAACTTGTAACTAGTATCCAATAGGATAACATATTGTGATTGCTTCTGAAATTAAATAATAACCCGAACATTTATACAATGAGAGGTTGCCATAACTGGATATCTAACTGGGAAAAAAGAAGTTGAGTCAAAACCTCAAACCTCATACAGCATAAATTCCCCAAAGTTCAAAAGTTTATTTGAAGACAGTGAATCCATGAAAGCAAAAAAGAAACCACTAGATAATTTTTTTAAATTTCAGGATAAAAAAAGGCTTTTACTGAATTACAACAAATTGCAAGGCATAAAGAATTAATAACTATGACCACATTAAAAAATTGGGTTTACACTCTAACATCTAAACTATACCTCTCCCTATAGTGAGAGCCTTAGCTTGGCAGATATTTGGACAGATGAATGACATTTTCCAAATTCTTTAAGTTCTCTTTTTCTAAAATATTGTATAGATATTCTACTTTTCTAATATTGTTATGGTCAATTTTAAGAATGACATTTATTGATAAATGATAAGTCTAGGCATTATACTAAGCACTTTTACACGCACAAATCAATGAACTCATTTAGTTATAATTCTATAGCAAAAGGTTAAAAATATAAGCAAGCTGCAGGATTTTTCCCAGCTTTTCTGACTCTATTCCTAGTGCTCTTCCATCAAATCAGTAACTTCTGTGAGGTAGATATATACATACAAAAATAATCTTTTATTTCAAGACACCAAAAGTCAAGAAAATTAAATCTATAAAGCTCTTCTTAGAAAATCATGAGATTATTTGCTATTGTGATAACTTTTATTCCTTTTCCATAACATTCGAAATGTAATTAATATGAAATAGGGGAAAATATGCTGAACTATGTCACTAGGAACAAAATACTAACAATATCATTAAGTATATATTGTAGAATAGCATTGTTTTCAAAAGGCCTTTGAACTAAAATAAAATATTTCAAGATTTATTATAAATAATTATAGTTATAAATGCCATGATTCATTTTTAAGATGAAATAAAATTTGGGGATTGTTCAGGCCTAAATAATGTACATTAAACAAAAGAGATGGTATAAGTAATATTAATAAGAGTAGAAATATGAAGTTTTACCAAACATTAATTTACCTGATTTGAATTATTTCCTCCTGTCTTCAATTCCACCTCTGCTGATTTGAGAGCCGGTTTAATTGGTTTTGTCACATCAGCTTCTATCCTATATTGCTCTTCTGTGATTCTTAACTTTTCCCTAACTTTTTGGTGCAACTCTTCAACATTTCTTCTTTTCTTTTTTTCTTGCTGTATGGCAAATCTGTAAATATACTTATCTTAGAATTTATCTTATCAGTGAGGACTAAGCTCTAATTTTTTATCTTACCCAAATTCCTACCTAAGGGGTCCAGGGAGTCGTGCCCTACAAACCATGGATTCTCATCAGATGGGTTTTATTTGACCCTGTATATTGTGACTTGCTTTTCAATCTGACTCTGGCATAACCTTACGAGACAAGGAAGAAAATATTTAATCCAAAATATATTTCCTTGCCATGCCTTGAAATTGCCCTGCAAAGTCTCTTGTGGGAAAAATCCACATTCTATAGAGAACCCCCTTTCCCCTTTGTTTTCCTTCCTTTCTATGCAGATCCAGGGGATATTCAGCTGAGACCCAGGCACCCTTTTGGGTCTGATAAGAAACATTTTACAATCTGCTGTCTCTGAAGTCTGCTGAGAGATTCCTCTGCACAGTAAAACTTGGTTTCCACAATCATTTATCTTAACCTGAACATTTCTTTCCATTAATCCCAGGTCTTCAAATAAACTCAACCAATTGTCAACCAGAAAATGTTTAAATTTACCTACAGCCTGGAAGCCCCAGCTTTGAGTTGGCCTGCCTTTCTGAACCAAACCAATGTATTTCTTACATGTATTTGATTGCTGTCTCATGCTTCTCTAAAATGTATAAAACCAAGCTGCGACCCAACCACCTTGGGCACATGTTCTCAGGACCTCCTGAGGGCTGTGTCGGGGGCCATGGTCACTCATGTTTGGCTCAGAATAAATCTCTTCAAATATCTTACAGAGTTTGACTCTCTTTGTTGATATTAGAAAATAAAACATTCGTATGTTGGTTTATTATCCTAATAAAATTTCTATGTTCTTAAATACTATTTTTCTTTCTAGTTCTCATGTTTTTAATTTCTCACCTCAATCTCATCCAAAGGGCATGTATAAGTTGAAATGTATTGATAAAAGAACATCCTGCATAAGTTTCTATTACTAGTAACTCTAGTAAATATTATGAAAAAGGATGTTGAAAATTATTCAGTAAAGTTACAAGATAAAAATCATCTTTTCTTCACACAGTAATTACTCCTCAATTAGGATGAATCATTTAGAGTTAATTAACATAAAGTTACTTTTTATAAACAAGTTGATACATTCACTAGAAATACATTTTCATCTTCATGAAACATTCATTGCAGGTATCCCTAAACATAATTTACATTGTAAGATAGCATTTTCGATGTCTTTATGAAACATATATCAGCAGATTACTGTAATCCAAGACTAGGTTAAGAATGTAATATGTTACCCTACACTTTTTAAGATTGTTTTTTGGGTAACACTTTCAGTCTATCCTGCTGATTAGTATGTACTTTATAACCAATTGTAAAATCTGTTTTGGAACAACACAAGATCTAATATTTAATTAAACAATAAAGAATAATACATGTCTTCAGCATAAAACTGAATTAATTTTATCTACATAACAGAGAGAGAGAGATGTTGAATAAGCTAATCAGTAATCACTTTCCATTTTACTTTTTATTCCCTACATATTAAGAATAAAACTGGATACTTTTTTTTTTTTTGAGAGGGAGTCTCCTACTATCACTGGGCTGGAGTGCACTGGTGCAATCTCTGCTCACTGCAACCTCTGCCTCCCAGGTTCATGCGATTCTCCTGCCTCAGCCTCCTGAGTAGCTGGGATTACAGGTGCAACCACCACACCTGGCTAATTTTTTGTATTTTTAGTAGAGATAGCATTTCACTATGTTGGGCAGACTGGTCTCGAACTCCTGACCTCGTGATCTGCCCACCTCGGCCTACCAAAGTGCTGGGATTACAGTCATGAGCCACTGCACCCGGCTGATAATTTTTAAAATAATTATTCTGGGTAAAGAAAAATATCTGTTTTATACTCTGTTGGTTGAATTATAAATTAATATAAACATTCTTAAGAACAATTTAGAAATATTGATCAAAGATCTAAAACAGATCTAAAAAAGTTTCTATACTTTAACCAGAAGAATTTATCCAATGTAAATAATTAGAAATGTAGAAAACTATGTGTATATAAAAGATGTTCCTTGTAGCATTATTACAAAAACTTTTTAAAACCTAAAATTCAATTCTTCAATTAAATAATGAGATTTCCAAAGGGTAAAATTCTATACAGCCATTAAAATTATGATTTAAAAGAATATGCATTTAATTATTAGAGAAGTATCACAATTAAGAACTTGTGATATTATATCCAATAATTTCACACTCCATAAGATTAAGAAGCTTTCTTCCCTGTTAAATCCTAGAAGGAAAGTTCGCAATTACAAAACTTCTCCTTATACGTCTTTAATATAAAACAAACAGTTCAAACATTTATTTAAAACTAGGTCATACCTCAAACTACAGAGTTCTTTTTCCAATTCAAGTGTTTCATGCTTTAACTGCGATTTTATTTCTTCTTTTTCAGATAGTCTCTTTTGTAGTACACTAGCCTTATTTTTCAGTTTTCGAATTTTTACTCTAAGTTGCTCACAGTGATTATCTTTAAGTTCTGTTAATCTTTTACATAAACAAAATGTCTTTTTAATTTTCAATAGGTGAACACAATCTGTAACCAGGAAAAAACAAAGTAGAGATAAAATACATGAGTAGATTTTTGGATATAAAGGACTGTGCATTTTTAACATGTATTCATTCATATGTTGAACAAGTATGTACATATTGAGTGCCTACAAAGTGGAAGATATTATAGTAAGGTCTGCAGGTAAGACAACACCTCTGCTATTGTTTTAGCTTAAAGTATAGTGAAGAACCAAGATAAAAAGGTGACAGTTATAAACTCAGATAGGTCCTGTAAAAAAAAAAAAAAACATAGTTATGTGATTGCATAAGATAATTTGATCTATACTTCACCCAGGGAAGATTTCCCTGAGGAAGAGATGCTACACTGAGAAATGAAGGATGAAAAAGAAGCAGTTAAGCAAAGAAGAAAGCAAAGCACTCTGGCTAGTTTGCAGCATGTGCTGTGCTGAAGCTCTGCTGCAATCTGTTACTAGCTCTGATGGAGTAACAGATACTGATTTTTCAACTTATCTGAATGAATAAAAAACAAAACAGACAAAATACATTAAACTGATTTTCAACACAGTGGACTTCAGGCAATGAAGATGGTAGGTGATCACTGAAAGACAGAAAACAAATATAGCAGGCCTTACAAATATCCCAGTTCTTTTGACAGAGTTTTGACGGAGGTTCGAGGCCATGACAAAGGGAGAAAATCTGACATAGAGCTGGGGTGATGAAGCTGAGAGGCCAGTAAAACGAAAGCAGATAGAGATCACAGGACAGAAAACTGGAGAGAAAAAAGCAGTACAGGAAACAAATCCTGGAGATGTGCAGAGATTCCCTCTTGGGTATTTAGTGGAGTAATGAAAAGTGCTTGTGTGCTAGGAAACTTCCTAAGAACAATGAAAAATAAAATTTAAAAAAAACAGTTAAAGAAAATTAGCAGAAACGATGTCTGGGGTTCACACAATGACTGGAAGAGGGTCCATTCCCATGAGCCAGGCCAAAATACCACATACTTCACAGGACAATGAATACTCAGAAAGGTCTTGCCTCAGGAGTTAGGAATTACCCCAAATCTAAAAGCAAGAATGGAAAGATTATAAGTAAATCTCTGTACTCCAAATAAAACTCAAGATAATAAGTGGAGGCAGGGAAGGTTTTTTTTTAAAAAAAACACAAACCATACTTGTAGAGACGCAAATTACATTGTCACAAATAAAAACTATAGTGGATGGAAATAAACACAAATTAGAGATAACAAAGGAAAAATTCCTAAATTTGACACGATAAACTGCAAGAAACTTTCAAGCAGTTAATAGATAACTCCTCAAATAAAAAAGAAGAGACAGAAAAAAAATTAAAGAAAAAATGGCCAAAAATATTGTAACCTTAACACAAACCATAATCCCACAGATTCAGGAAGGAAGTGTCTGGGACAGAAAAAAATGAAAATGTATCATTGTCATTTTTTATACCATCTAGGATGTATAATATTACTGAAGGTGAACTGTGATAAGTTAAAATTATATACTAAAAATCCTAAACACTAAGATAGCAAAACAGTTATCGCTAATAAACCCAAAAATATATATAAAATTGAATCATAAAAAACAGTTGACTAATCTAAAGGAAAGCAGGAAAAGAAGGGGAACACAGAACAGTTGGGACTAATAGCAATCACACAGCTACCAGACAAACATAACTATATCAATAATCACATTATAAATGACACTTGTCTAAGAACCTCAACTATAACACAGACTGTCAGGCTCAGCAAGAAAGCAAGACCCAACTACAGGCTGCCTATAAGAAAAGCACTTTAAATGTAAAGACACAAATTGGTTGTAAGGATGGAAAAAGATACATGCTAACAGTTGGCAAAGGCAGCTGAGCAGGTGTGGCTGTATTAATACCAAAGTAGATTTCATAGCAAAAAAAAAAACATTCCAGCAATAAATAACAAAGGTCATGTCACAATTGTAAAAGGTTCAGTTAATCAACAAAACATAACAATCCTAAGTCTTTATGCCCCTAATAACAAACCAGCCTCGCAATATATGAGACCAAAGTGGATAGAACTACAAAAAGTAACAGACAATTTCTAGGTAATCTGAGGTTTCAATACCCTTTACTCAATAAGTGATAGAACAAGAAGGCAGAAAATCAGCGAGAATAGACTTGAACAACACTATGCTTTCCAAGTACCCACGGAACACTTACCAAAATAGACCATATTTTAGGCCATACAACAACTCTCAAAGGATTGAGTCAGAAGGATTTAAGTCATACAAAGTATGTGCCCTGACCACAAATCAATCAGATTAAAGACCGATAACAAAAATAACTCTGGCAAATACACAAATATTTGGAAACTAAGTAACACACATCTAAATAACCCTGGGTCAAACAGGTAATGAAAATAGAAATAGAAAATAGAAAATATTCTGAACTGAATAAAAATTCATCAACCAGAATTTGTGGAATGCAGCTACAGCTGTACTTGAATACAAATTTTTAGCACTGCTGAATGTCTACATTAGAAGAGTCTTAAATCAATGACTTTGACTTCTACCTTAAGCAACTAGATAAAAGAAGAGTGACTTAAACCCAAAGCAAGCAGAGGAAAGGAAATAATAAACATCTGCTGTGGTCTGAATGTTTGTCTTCCCCAAAATTTATATGCTGAAAGCCAATCACAGATGTGACGGTATTAGGAGGGGGGATTTTTACAGGTAGTTGGTCATGAGAGCAAAGCCCTAATGAATGGGATTAGTACTTAGTGCTCTTATACAACAGACCCCAGATCTCCTTCACCCCTTCTGCCAAGTGAGGGCACAGAGAAAAAGCATTCATGAACTAGGACGTGTTCCCTAATCATACACCAAACACGACAGCATCTGGATCTTGGACTTTGCTGAACCCACAACTGCGAGAAATCAACTTCTGTTGTTTGAACCAGTCTATGGTATTTTGTTATACTGTTGGTTCCAGAAGAAACAATAGAAAAAAATCAACAACACAAAACACCTTGAGGAGCTCAATAAATGTGATAAAGCTCCATTTAGCCAGGCTGCTCCGAATAAAAGAAACAATACAAATTACTAGTTTCAGAAATAAACAATGTGACATAATTATAGATTCTACAGATACTAAAAATATAACAAGATATTATAATTTCTATGTAAGTAAACAGGACAACTTAGATAAAATTAACAAATTCCTTTAAAAATGAAAATTAGCAAATCTCAATCAAGAAGCAATAGATAACGTGAATTGCCCTATATCTATAAAAGAAAGTTAAGTTATAGTTAAAAACCTTCCTAAAAGAAAACTCCAGACCCAGCTGGCTATGCTGGTGAATTCTACAAAACATTACTGGAAGAAAATAATACAATTATACATAAACTCTCCCAAAAGAAACAGAAAGAAGGAGTATATCTCAACTCAGTCTGTAATGTTAGCTTTACCCTGAACCAAAACCAGAAAATATTACCAAGAAGAAAATTCCCTCATGAGCACGAATGTAAAAATTCAACCAATTTGTGATGCAACGAAGACATCCTCCCATAGTGGAGTGAATAAACTGTGGTTACACAGCCATACAGTGGAATATCACTCTACACATAAAGAAATGAGCAATCAATTCATGAAAATATGTGAAGGAAACTTAAATGCATATTACCAAGTGACATAAGCTAATCTGAAAAGGCTACTTACTGTATGGTTCCAACTATATGATCAGGAAAAGGCAAAACTATGGATAAAGTAAAAGGGTGCCAAAGGGTAAGAGACAGCAGGAAAAGATACATAGGCAGAGCACAGAGGATTTTTAGGGAAGTCAAAATAATTTATATAACATGGATACACATCATTGTACATTTGTCCAAATCCATACATGTACAGTACCAAGAGTGAACCCCAATGCAAATTATGGGCTTGGGGTGATTGTGATGTGTCAATTTAGGCTCATCTATCATAGCAACTACCACTATGGTGAAGGATACTGGTAATGAAGGAGGCTAAACATGTATTGGATTGGGGGTATACAAAAAAATATCTGAACCTCCCTCTCAATTTTGACAGGAACATAAAACTGGTCTAAAAATAAAAGTCTTTATAATAAATTCTAAATGAGACTTTAGTAAATTGTATCCGACAGTATAATGAAAAGGTAATACATCATAAACAAATGGGGTTTATTCCAGAAATGGAAGGTTGGCTTAACATTGAAACACCATCATTATTTACCACAAAACAAACTGAAAGAGAAGACCCATAGGATCATCCCAACAGACACAGGCATCTGATAAAATTTACTCCTGATGTCTCAAAGAAGAAACACTCTCAGTAACATAAGAATCCAAGGGAAGTTCTTCAGCATGATAAACAACGTCTATGATGAACCTACAGCTAACGTGCATCATAGTGAAAAACTGAATGCATTTCCCATAAGATGAGGAAGAACATGGGAATGTCTGCTTTCACTACTTGTTTGTAGCATTGTTCTGAAGATTCTAGTTAATGCAGTCAGGCAAGAAAAAGAAATAAGAGGCATCCAAGTTTAAAAAAAGAAATAAAATTGTCTTTATACACAACCATGACCATAAAATAGGTATGGGTAAACCCCAACCTGTGGGCCAGCTTCTTGTCTGATAAGCTTTTATTGGAACACAGCTGTGTTCATTAATTTATGGATGATCTATGGCTGCTCTCATACTAAAATGGCAGAGTTTATCAGCTGCAAAAGAGACCCTTTTGCCACAAGCCTAAAATATTCACTATCCTTAGTAACAGGGTAGTTTGAGAAAGAAAGGTTTAACAACCTTTGGTCTATGAAGAAAATCTGATCAAATCTACCAACAATGTGCCAGAACTAATAAGTGAGTTTAACAAGATTGAAGGATACAAATTCAATATAGAAAAATTAACTGTATTTCTATATGCTAGTGATAAACAATCAAATGAAAATTTTAAAACTATCATTTTCTATAGTTTTATAAAAATGTATATTTGGATTAGCAATGCTCAACCTGTATAAATAAAGTCAAATACATCTACATTAAGTAAACTATCATTTACAACTTCATCAAAAATGAAATACAGATAAATCTGATAAAATATGAAAAGACCTATAAACTAAAAACTACAAAATACTACTGAGAAAATTAAATATTACCTCTATAAAAGCAGACATACACTTTATTGAGGAGTAGATTCGCTATTGTTAAGATGTCAATTCTCCCCAAATTAATCTATAAATATGACCCAATCCCAACTTAATTTCCAACAAGCGAGCAGTCTTTATTTTATTGATAAGCTGATTCTAAAGTTCATGAGAAAATGCAAAGGATCTAGCACAGTCAAAACAGAACAAAGAACAAAATTGGAGGATTCATTTCAACAATTACTATAAATCAATAGTAACCAAAACAGTGTGCCATAGGTACAGGCTGAGTATCCCTTATTCAAAATGCTTCAGACTAGAAATTTTTCAGATTTTGGATTTTGGAATATTTGCATATACATGATGAGATATCTTGGGGATAGGACCCAAGTCTAAACACAGAATACATTTGTTTTTCATATTTACCTTGTACACAAAGACTGAAGGTAATTTTAAACAATACTTTTAATAATTTGGGGCATGAAACAATGTTTGTATACATGAGGTCGGATGTAGAATTTTTCCACTGTGGTGTCTGTGTTGGCAATCAAAAAGTCTGGGGTTTTAGAGCATTTCAGATTTGGGATATTTAAATTAGCAATGCTCAACCTGTATAAAGAAAGTCAAATTCAGACAATCCCCAACTTAAGGTGGTTTGACTTACTGACTTTACAGTGGGTTTACTGAAGTATTAAATTGCTTTTGACTCAAACACTGGGTTTCCCACAATTTGGGGAGCACCTGCAAATTAATAAAATTCAACAGACAGTCCAGAAATAGATAACACATAAGCAACCAGCTTATGACTGACAAAGGCAGGATGGCAATGCAGTGGAGAAAGGATAGCCTTTTCAACATGTGGTGTTGGAACAATTGGCTGTCCATATCCAAAAAGTGAACTTGAATCCATACCTCACCTCACTCCATAGACAAAAGGAAACTCAAAATGGAGCACAGATTTAAATGGAAGATCCAAATCTATAAAATTTCTAGAACAAACACAGGAAAAATCTTTGTGACCTTGTGCTAGGCAAACATTTTTACATATGACACAAAATGCAAAATCTGTAATTCAACAATTAAATTGGATTTCATTACGATTAAAATCTTCTGCTCTTCAAAAGATACTACAAAGCAAGTGAAAAGTCAACCCAAAAACTGGCAAAAATACCCTTGTAAAAAAGTAGCTAAAAGTAATAGTATCCAAATACATACAGAATTATTAAAATTCAACACGTAAGAAAACATCAACCTACTTTTTTATATGCAGAAGATGTGAAAAGACAGTTCAACAAAGAAGATGTACAGATGGCAAATAAACACATGGAAAGATGCTCAACATTTTAGTCATTAGGATCATGTACATTAAACCCATAAGAATATACATAATACACCCATCAGAATAACTAAAATTTAAAAAAATAAATGCAGCAGTAGTGTGACAACATAGCAACTGGAATGGTCATTTACTGCTGATGAGAATAGAAAATAGTACAAATATTTTGGAAAACCATTTAGCAGCTTTTAAAAACAGGAATATGAAGGGCCATGAGGAGACGTTAGTGGGTGATGGATATATGTTGACTATCTCGATGATGGTAATAGTTTCACATGTGTATACATCTGTTAAAACTTATCAAATGGTACCTTTTACATGTGTGCACTGTATCGCATATCAATTATACCACACTAAAGCTACTGATTGTAGGAGCAAACACCTAAGGCACTGGCTGTGACACAGAGAAGGGTATGCAGTGATGCAGTATAAAGCTCGAGGACTGAAATCCATACCTTATAGCAATAAATGGCAGCTGGGTTTTCAGCAAGCAGGTAACATGATCAGGTGTGATTTTTTACAACTATATAATTATGATTGCAGAACAGGCCATGGTTTTGGAAGGTGGAATAGTAGAAAAGACAGTTAGAGGGTTATCACAGTATTTCAGGTGGGAGAAAATGGTAACATGACCATGGGTAAAGGGGTAATGGCATAGAAGAGAAGCAGAGTAAACAAACACACTGTGTGTATCATTCACACTGAGAAAAGTACAGTGAAATGATCATAGCCCTTGGCTGAGAAGGTACAAGATACAGTTGCTTTCATTCTATTTTAACATAAGGCATATTTCTGAGATGAACATTCTTGTAACATATCAGTACTCTATGGTACAGTGTTAAGCAATGTGTGCATACATTGCTATAGGATTTTTAAAAAGCCTTATATTTATGCATTGGTCCTACCTTTACACTTCATTTCATGTTGATCAATGAGTAATATGACATTCTTACAATTACAGCAAAGCGAGTCACCGTCCTCTGAGACTGTTTGAGATGACTGAATTATGTCATCAAGGTCATCCCTAGAATGTATTTGGTTTTTCACCTACAAAATAAATAACACTGTTTCAAAATGTCCCCAAAATATTTATAGCATATACAAAATGTACAGAAGTGGGAATTGCCCATCTGTTTATATGAGCACAAACACAGGTACCTGTTCTGTACTTTTTTTTTAAGCAATTTCCTTTATGTTGACTCTAGTTCAGAAGACCACATGGTCTATGGATAAATTAGTTTCCCAGTTCCTATGCTATTTAGAAAACTGACAGAGAGACTTGGGTTAATTAAGGAACAAAGATTAAGAGAATGTCTTCCTGAGCTTGAGTTATTTTAATTGCAAAAACAATCTATTTATACATACAATTAGGTATTTAGATTACCCCATTTTACACAAGAGATTTTCATAAGTAAAACAATTCAAATGGATCAAATAATTGGTGAAGAGAAAAACCAGAGTAGCAGCAAGTGACCCTCTAAGTCTTTTGGAAGTTGAACTTTCTCCAAAGCCAGGAACTCTACTTTACTTGTAATATGCTTACCTCATTCTTAAATCTTTGCATATATCACTTAATTCCACTTCTAGACATACTGCTGATGTTCTGTCACCATGTGGTGGAGAATAATGCACATTTTCTAATTCAAGTTTTATGCTTTCATACTTATTTGCACTACAGTTGTCACATAACGGCTTCTGGAACACATTCTGTATTGGTTTTGTACTGTTTGTAACAACAGAAACACCATCATCTTTTTTTTTTTTTTTAAATCACATGCTTCATTTCTTTGGAGCAGGTAAGCCACATACCTAAAAGGCTTTTTGAATCACTAAATTGAGGCATATGTCCGATGTTTAATTTCCAATTAGCGGTGTTTTGGTTTTTTGTCATTTGCCTCACAACCTATTTGTCTTCTTTTATTTCATCCATAGCTACTTCTGGGTTTCTTGCTTTTGTACTTTCAGTATCATTATAAAAATTTTCCTTGTCTGAGTTAAAAACATGTTCAGTATCTGGTTTGTTGTCGTTTTCACAGTCTACTTTATTTGTATTTAAATAAAGCTCTGAAGGTGACTGGCAAGCATATTCTGGGGACCCAGAGTATGAATGAGAAAGAAAGGCATTTTTGAGACTGGGTTATTTTTGTTCAGGAAATATCTGGACTACTACAGAGACAGACATGCCAGATGCATCACTTTCCTGACAATCAGGTGAATCATTTGTCAAATTAGAAGGTTTTTACTTAAGTTTGTTCTTCCTGTAGAGTTATTATGTAGTTGCTCTTCCTCAATACAAGCAGTTTTGTAATTTTCACAAATTTCACCAAAACTCTGCTTTAACTTATTTGTGATGAATTTTAAAGGTTTTTTTTACCCTAGTTTGTCTTGTTTGATCCACATTCTCTCATACTTTTGTGCACAAGTAAGTCCTGCATATATAAAGAGGTCCTTTCTATCACAACACTTTTTCACTACTAGTTGTTGAGACAATTTTTGCACATGCAAAAGTGGAAGATAAATTTGCTAGTTTTCTTTCTTAGATGTCTTTTCTGTCAGAGTACATGTTTTAAAAATAACTTTATCTTTAAATAATCAAGTGTAAAAAGAGAAAAATTAAAAAATAATTAAAGTTTAATATCAAACTTCTTAATCTATGTTTACCTACTCCCAAATCACTGGATTGTAACTAAGAAGTGAAAAATAATTTGCATTAGCCTAAAATCAGTGAAAAACATAAACCATGAAACTTTAATTTGTCACTGTTTGTTTGGACTAAACTTGAATAATTCATTATGTGTTAAATTTCCCAAAAATGAATTAGGAGATGACTTGTGGTACTATAAAGGCAGTCACTTTAAAAGATTTTATCACTATATGAACAGTGTACACTTGAGTGCTTTTTCCTAATATTACTAACTAATGATTAGGCAAACTTTAAATTATTAGGAGCCAAAATCACCACCAGTCAGTAAGAAAAGCAAATTCTTTGTCTGGCAGCCAAGATGGCTGAATAGGAACAGCTCCAGTCTACAGCTCCCAGCGTGAGCGACGCAGAAGATGGGTGGTTTCTGCATTTCCATCTGAGGTACCAGGTTCATCTCACTAAAGAGTGCCAGACAGTGGGTGCTGGACAGTGGGTGCAGTGCACCGTGCGTGACCCAAAGGAGGGTGAGGCATTGCCTCACTCAGGAAGTGGAAGGGGTCAGGGAGTTCCCTTTCCTAGTCAAAGAAAGGGGTGACAGACAGCACCTGGAAAATTGGGTTACTCCCACCCTAATACTGCACTTTTCCGATGGGCTTAAAAAACGGCACACCAGGAAATTATATCCTGCACCTGGCTCAGAGGGTCCTACGCCCATGGAGTCTAACTAATTGCTAGCACAGCAGTCTGAGATCAAACTGCAAGGTGGCAGTGAGGCTGGGGGAGGGGCACCTGCCATTGCCCAGGCTTGCTTAGGTAAACAAAGCAGCTGGGAAGCTCGAACTGGGTGGAGCCCACCACAGCTCAAGGAGGCCTGCCTGCCTCTGTAGGCTCCACCTCTGGGGGCAGGGCACAGAGAAACAAAAAGACAGCAGTAACCTCTGCAGACTTAAATGTCCCTGTCTGATAGCTTTGAAGACAGCAGTGGTTCTCCCAGCATGCAGCTGGAGATCTGAGAATGGGCAGACTGCCTACTCAAGTGAGACCCTGACCACTGACCCCCGAGCAGCCTAACTGGGAGGCACCCCCAGGTAGGGGCAGACTGACACCTCACACAGCCGGGTACTCCTCTGAGACAAAACTCCCAGAGGAACGATCACACAGCAGCATTCGCGGTTCACGAAAATCTGCTGTTCTGCAGCCACCACTGCTGATACCCAGGCAGACAGGGTCTGGAGTGGACCTCTAGCAAACTCCAACAGACCTGCAGCTGAGGGTTCTCTCTGGTAGAAGGAAAACTAACAAACAGAAAGGACATCCACATCAAAAACCCATCTGTACATCACCATCATCAAAGACCAAAAGTAGATAAAACCTCAAAGATGGGGAAAAAACAGAGCAGAAAAACTGGAAACTCTAAAAAGCAGAGCGCCTCTCCTCTTCCAAAGGAATGCAGTTCCTCACCAGCAACAGAACAAAGCTGGACGGAGAATGACTTTGACGAGTTGAGAGAAGAAGGCTTCAGATGATCAAACTACTCTGAGCTACAGGAGGAAATTCAAACCAAAGGCGAAGAAGTTAAAAACTTTGAAAAAAAATTTAGACGAATGTATACCTAGAATAACCAATACAGAGAAGTGCTTAAAGGAGCTGATGAAGCTGAAAGCCGAGGCTCGAGAACTATGTGAAGAGTGCAGAAGCCTCAGGAGCCGATGCAATCAACTGGAAGAAAGGGTATCAGTGATGGAAGATGAAATGAATGAAATGAAACGAGAAGGGAAGTTGAGAGAAAAAAGAATGAAAAGAAACAAACAAAGCCTCCAAGAAATATGGGACTAAGTGAAAAGACCAAATCTACATCTGATTGGTGTACCTGAAAGTCACGGGGAGAATGGAACCAAGTTGGAAAACACACTGCAGGATATTATCCAGGAGAATTTCCCCAATCTAGCAAGGCAGGCCAACATTCAGATTCAGGAAATACAGACAACGCCACAAAAATACCCCTTGAGAAGAGCAACTCCAAGACACATAATTGTCAGATTCACCAAAGTTGAAATGAAGGAAAAAATGTTAAGGGCAGCCAGAGAGAAAGGTCAGGTTGCCCACAAAGAGAAGCCCATCAGACTAACAGTGGATCTCTCGGCAGAAACTCTACAAGCCGGAAGAGAGTGGGGGCCAATATTCAACATTCTTAAAGAAAAGAATTTTCAACCCAGAATTTCATATCCTGCCAAACTAAGCTTCATAAGTGAAGGAGAAATAAAATACTTTACAGACAAGCAAATGATGAGAGATTTTGTCACCACCAGGCCTGCCCTAAAAGAGCTCCTGAAGGAAGCACTAAACGTGGAAAGGAACAACCGGTACCAGCCACTGCAAAATCATGCCAAAATATAAAGACCATCGAGACTAGGAAGAAACTGCATTAACTAATGAGCAAAATAACTAGCTAACATCATAATGCCAGGATCAATTTCAGACATAACAATATTAACTTTAAATGTAAATGGACTAAATGCTCCAATCAAAAGACACAGACTGGCAAATTGGATAAAGAGTCAAGATCCATCAGTGTGCTGTATTCAGGAAACCCATCTCACGTGCAGAGACACACATAGGCTCAAAATAAAAGGATGGAGGAAGATCTACCAAGCAAATGGAAAACAAAAAAAGGCAGGGGTTGCAATCCTAGTCTCTGATAAAACAGACTTTAAACCAACAAAGATCAAAAGAGACAAAGAAGGCCATTACATAATGGTAAAGAGATCAATTCAACAAGAAGAGCTAACTATCCTAAATATATATGCACCCAATACAGGAGCACCCAGATTCATAAAGCAAGTCCTGAGTGACCTACAAAGAGACTTAGACTCCCACACAATAATAATGGGAGACTTTAACATCCCACTGTCAACATTGGACAGATCAATGAGACAGAAAGTTAATAAGGAGACCCAGGAATTGAACTCAGCTCTGCACCAAGTGGACCTAATAGACATCTACAGAACTCTCCACCCCAAATCAACAGAATATACATTTTTTTCAGCACCACACCACACCTATTCCAAAATTGACCACATACTTGGAAGTAAAGCTCTCCTCAGCAAATGTAAAAGAACGAAAGTATAACAAACTGTCTGTCAGACCACAGTGCAATCAAACTAGAACTCAGGATTAAGAAACTCACTCAAAACCGCTCAACTACATGGAAACTGAACAACCTGCTCCTGAATGACTACTGGGTACATAACGAAATGAAGGCAGAAATAAAGATGTTCTTTGAAACCAACGAGAACAAAGACACAACATACCAGAATCTCTGGGACACATTCAAAGCAGTGTGCAGAGGGAAATTTATAGCACTAAATGCCCACAAGAGAAAGCAAGAAAGATCCAAAATTGACACCCTAACATCACAATTAAAAGAACTAGAAAAGCAAGAGCAAACACATTCAAAAGCTAGCAGAAGGCAAGAAATAACTAAAATCAGAACAGAACTGAAGGAAATAGAGACACAAAAAACCCTTCAAAAAATTAATGAATCCAGGAGCTGGTTTTTTGAAAGGATCAACAAAATTGATAGACAGCTAGCAAGACTAAAAAAGAAGAAAAGAGAGAAGAATCAAATAGATGCAATACAAAATGATAAAGGGGATATCACCACCGATCCCACAGAAATACAAACTACCATCAAAGAATACTACAAACACCTCTACGCAAATAAACTAGAAAATCTAGAAGAAATGGATAAATTCCTGGAAACATACACCCTCCCAAGACTAAACCAGGAAGAAGTTGAATCTCTGAATAGACCAATAACAGGCTCTGAAATTGTGGCAATAATCAATAGCTTACCAACCAAAAAGAGTCCAGGACCAGATGGATCCACAGCCGAATTCTACCAGAGGTACAAGGAGGAAGTGATACCCTTCCTTCTGAAACTATTCCAATCAATAGAAAAAGAGGGAACCCTCCCTAACTCATTTTATGAGGCCAGCATCATCCTGATACCAAAGCCGGGCAGAGACACAACCAAAAAAGAGAATTTTAGACCAGTATCCTTAATGAACATTGATGCAAAAATCCTCGATAAAATATGGGCAAACCAAATCCAGCAGCACATCAAAAAGCTTATCCACCATGATCAAGTGGGCTTCATCCCTGGGATGCAAGGCTGCTTCAATATACGCAAATAAATAAATGTAATCCAGCTTATAAACAAAACCAAAGACAAAAACCACATGATTATCTCAATAGATGCAGAAAAGGCCTTTGACAAAATTCAACAACCCTTCATGCTAAAAACTCTCAATAAATTAGGTATTGATGGGATGTATTTCAAAATAATAAGAGCTATCTATGACAAACCCACAGCCAATATCATACTGAATGGGCAAAAACTGGAAGCATTCCCTTTGAAAACTGGCACAAGAGGGCACAAGACAGGGATGCCCTCTCTCACCACTCCTATTCAACATAGTGTTGGAAGTTCTGGCCAGGGCCATTAGGCAGGAGAAGGAAATAAAGGGTATTCAATTAGGAAAAGAGGAAGTCAAATTGTCCCTGTTTGCAGATGACATGATTGTATAACTAGAAAACCCCATTGTCTCAGCCCAAAATCTCCTTAAGCTGATCAGCAACTTCAGCAAAGTCTCAGGATACAAAATCAATGTACAAAAATCATAAGCATTCTTATACACCAATAACAGACAAACACAGAGCCAAATCATGAGTGAATTCCCATTCACAATTGCTTCAAAGAGAATAAAATACCTAGGAATCCAACTTACAAGGGATGTGAAGGACCTCTTCAAGGAGAACTACAAATCACTGCTCAAGGAAATAAAAGAGGATACAAACAAATGGAAAAACATTCCATGCTCATGGGTAGGAAGAATCAGTATGGTTAAAATGGCCATACTGCCCAAGGTAATTTATAGATTCAATGCCATCACCATCAAGCTCCCAAAGACTTTCTTCACTGAATTGGAAAAAACTGCTTTAAAGTTCATATGGAACCAAAAAAGAGCCCGCATCACCAAGTCAATCCTTAGCCAAAAGAACAAAGCTGGAGGCATCACGCTACCTGACTTCAAACTATACTACAAGGCTACAGTAACCAAAACAGCATGGTACTGGTACCAAAACAGAGATATAGACCAATGGAACAGAATAGAGCCCTCAGAAATAACGCCGCATATCTACAACTATCTGATCTTTGACAACCCTGAGAAAAACAAGCAACGGGGAAAGGATTCCCTATTTAATAAATGGTGCTGGGAAAACTGGCTAGCCATATGTAGAAAGCTGAAACTGGATCCCTTCCTTACACCTTATACAAAAATTAATTCAAGATGGATTAAAGGCTTAAACGTTAGACCTAAAACCATAAAAACCCTAGAAGAAAACCTAGGCATTACCATTCAGGACATAGGCATGGGCAAGGACTTCATGTCTAAAACACCAACAGCAATGGCAACAAAAGCCAAAATTGACAGATGGGATCTAATTAAACTGAAGAGCTTCTGCACAGCAAAAGAAACTACCATCAGAGTGAACAGGCAACCTACAAAATGGGAGAAAATTTTTGCAACCTACTCATCTGACGAAGGACTAATATCCAGAATCTACAATGAACCCAAACAAATTTACAAGAAAAAAACAAACAACCCCATCAAAAAGTGGGCAAAGGATATCAACAGACACTTCTCAAAAGAAGACATTTATGCAGCCAAAAAACACATGAAACAATGCTCACCATCACTAGCCATCAGAGAAATGCAAATCAAAACCACAATGAGATACCATCTCACACCAGTTAGGATGGCAATCATTAAAAAGTCTGCAAACAACAGGTGCTGGAGAAGATGTGGAGAAATAGCAACACTTTTACACTGTTGGTGGGACTGTAAACTAGTTCAACCATTGTGGAAGTCAGTGTGGCGATTCCTCAGGGATCCAGAACTAGAAATACCATTTGACCCTGCCATCCCATTACTGGGTATATACCCAAAGGACTATAAATCATGCTGCTATAAAGACACATGCACACGTATGTTTATTGCGGCACTATTCACAATAGCAAAGACTTGGAACCAACCCAAATGTCCAACAATGATAACCTGGATTAAGAAAATGTGACACATATACACCATGGAATACTATGCAGCCATAAAAAATGATGAGTTCATGTCCTTTGTAGGGACATGGATGAAATTGGAAATCATCATTCTCAGTAAACTATCGCAAGGACAAAAAACCAAACACTGCATGTTCTCACTCATAGGTGGGAATTGAACAATGAGAACAGGTGGACACAGGAAGGGGAACATCACACTCTGGGGACTGTTGTGGGGTGGGGGGAGGGGGGAGGGATAGCATTAGGAGATATACCTAATGCTAAATGACGAGTTAATGGGTGCAGCGCACCAGCATGGCACGTGTATACATATGTAACTAACCTGCACATTGTGCACATGTTCCCTAAAACTTAAAGTATAATAATAATAAAATAAAATAAGAAAAGCAAATTCTTACATTTTAATGCAAATTAAACATTGTAATATGATTGACAGTGTTATATATTTATATAGATTATAGGCTTAAGTTCTAAGGTCTACTAATGACAGTGGATTTAATAAATTTAACAATATTTAGAGATTTTCTATATTGAAATACATTAGGCAGTTATTGTTTGTACACTAATACCAAAGGTGCCATTCTGCAAGGTATAATTCTCTTGATAGCCAGTTGGGTTGATTTTATGACCTATTCTCTCCCTGAACATAGAAACTGAAGTCAGAGATCAAAAAGGAAAGTAAATTTTTAACCTTGGTATTAGTGACTGGCAATAAAAAAACTGCAAAGTTTGAACCACTAGCAATAATTACTCCTTTAATCTGAATCCAGTACGGTGGTCATCACTGTTAAATTGTTCATAATTTCTATTGCTTAAAATTGTAATTCAATATTTGATGTTACCTTCTTTATTATAATAGGAAGTTATAAAAATAGAAGTGCAAACAATATCAGGAACTTTTTAACTCAATTCCAAGAGTAAAGATAAGATACAAGTTGCTATAGATTCCAACACTATTTTAAGTTTTATAACTAGTTAAATGTTTTTAAAATGAAATATTAAATTATAATCAACTGATACTAAAAGGCTAATCCAAAGGTAAATTCATTTCAAATATGCTGTATTACCAAAGCTAGGAAAACAAGATTAAACCAGAAATTTGATTTTAAATTTTTACATACCTGTGGCTGGTTATTTTCATATTCTTCAAGCCTCTTTTGCTCTCCCTCTGATGCCATTTCTAAGTCTTGTTCTGCTAAAAAAAATTATATATTTAGTTAAAATGAGCTACACAGAACAGTTAGATAAAAGCCATGGTCAGCGGTGGCTCACGCCTGTAATCCCAGCACTTTGGGAGGCCGAGGCAGGTGGATCACGAGGTCAGGAGATCGAGACCATCCTGGCTAACAAGGTGAAACCCCGTCTCTACTAAAAAATACAAAAAATTAGCTGGGCGTGGTGGTGGGCGCCTGTAGTCCCAGCTAGTCGGGAGGCTGGTGCAGGAGAATGGCGTGAGCCCGGGAAGTGGAGCTTGCAGTGAGCTGAAGATCTCACCACTGCACCTCCAGCCTGGGTGGCAGAGCGAGACTGTGTCTCAAAAAAAAAAAAAAAAAAAAAAGTCTTTCTAAAACCAGAAAATAAAAGTGTTTCAACGAAGCTTAATCTTTAGTATAATATTTACTTCTTTAAGAAAGGCTTTTAATCCTCCAAAACTTCAGCAAACCACTTGGGGAGGCACTAGATGTCACCAGGTTCAAGCCATGCAAACGTGGTCAAAGATTCACTCACAAATTCACCCACCCAACATCAATGAACGAAACCATCAGAAATAAAACAAAATGTAAAAATCCAATAGAAACAGAAAAAGTAACAGCACACTGTTCTTTACTTCACAATAGTACCTTTAGAACAGCACTTTGAGCCTGCTGTTCATTATTAATCATTTCCAAAATGACTGCTACTGTTTACACTTTCATCAGTGTACAGTCTCTTCTTTATATCTAAAATATTTTCCTCAACTATTCTGACAGATTTCTTTCATAATTTAAGACTCAGACAGCTATGTGAAGTCTTCCTTGATTCTGGCTATCTTTCCTCAGATAAACGGTTTTATTTAATACAGGTTTTATAACATATGTAGTTAAGGTTTCTAAAGTGAGATTATGTCTCAACTAACTATAACTGAAATAGAAGAGTGTATCTATTCCAATGTAAACATGTTGACTGATAATGAGAAAAATGATCCTTATAAAGAATAGCAAATCATGATCCTGAGAGAGTAAGTATCAAAGCTGATGGGAGGATGCTATGGCCTATCTTTAATGCAATACTTCAGATTCAATTACACCATTATACTACAAGCATTTATCATGTCCAACTGTTTTTCCTATTATTTAGGAAGTACAAAATTGTGAGGACACTTCCAATAAATATACAATTTATTTCTCATCAGAGAAACTGTTTAAAATTAATCAGCTTAGATAGACAGTTGTAGAATAAAAATTAATAAAACTATTCATTTTTTTCATTCCTAGGTAGGCTACTGCTATGTCTACATTGCTTGTATCCTGCAGTTTGGCCCTGTCAAGAACTTTCTGAATCCACTCATGTAAGAAGATATGTAAACCACATCAAAAATAGTGTATAGGCTGGGTGTGGTGGCTCACGCCTGTAATCACAGCACTTTGGGAGGCTGAAGCAAGTGGATCACAAGGTCAGGAGGTCAAGACCAGCCTGACTAACATGGTGAAACCCCATCTCTACTCAAAATACAAAAATTAGCTGGGCATGGTGTCATGTGCCTGTAATCTCAGCTACTCAGGGGGCTGAGGCAGGAGAATCGCTTTAACCCGGGAGGTGGAGGTTGCAGTGAGCCGAGATTGTGCCATTACACTCCAGGCTGGGAGACAGAGCAAGACTCTGTCTCAAAAAAAAAAAAAAAAGTGTATAATAAGCTTTCAATATGTAAATAATTGTCAAAAATGAAAAAATTAAATTTCCACAGACTTATTAATAACATTTTATACTTCAAAATCAGTGCAATGTTCACTGATTATTTTGGTTTTGTTATTCAAAGAATGAATGCTATAACTTTTTGTTTCTAAAATTAGTTTGATTTGATATACCATGCTAATCTCTAAGACACTTTCATGGAACTGTGATCTTATTTAAAAAAATAGGTTTCTTAGTAAAATCAGTCAAAGTTTCTTAGTTCAAATAAATTTCATTTGATTAACTAATATCAACACTTCTATATAACTCTCATAAATTATTCCCACCACAAATAAAGAGGAAAGCCTCTTAATTTAGCAGTAGTACCTTACATGTATAATTTCTATTTCCTAAATTTGTGTTCCTTTCCCTCTGGCTAGAAACATGCTCAGAAATAGTAGCAAAATGATACTGTTATGTTTCAAACTGCTATCAGATGGCAAACAGGTATATGGAAAGGTGCTCGATGTCACTGATCATCACAGAAATGCAAATCAAAGCTACAATGAGGTATCATCTCACCTCAGTTAAAATGGCTTTTATCCAAATGGCAGGCATTAAGAAATGCTGGTGAGGATGTGGAGAAAGCAGAACCCTCGTACACCATTGGTGGCATTATGAATTAGTACAGCCACTATGGAGAACAGTATAGAGTCCTCAAAAAATTAAAAATACAGCTACCCACATGATCCAGCAATCCCATTGCTAGGTAACTACTCAAAAGCAAGAAAATCAGTATTATAAAAGAGAAATCTGTCCTGACATGTTTATTGCAGCACTTTCCACAATAGCCATAATTTGGAATCAATCTAAATGTATATCAACAGAAAAATGGGTTCTAAAAATGTGATACATATATGGCTCAGCCATATGAAAGAATAAGATCCTCTCATTCACATGACATGGATGGAACAGGAGGACATTATGTCAAGTAAAATAATCCAGGCAAAGAAAGGAAGGCTTCACATGTTGTCAGTCCTTTGTGGGTGTGAGAAATTTCAAAAATAGAGCTCATGGAGATGAAGAGAAAAATCACCATTACCACAGTCTAGGAAGGGTGTGGGGGTGGTAGGAAATGAGGATGCTTAATAAGTACAAACTATAGTTAGAAACAATGAATAAAATGTAGCATTTTATAGCACAAAAACATGACTACAGTCAGCAATAACTTGTCCATTTTAGCATTACTGAGGAAGTACAAATTAAAAGACAGCACAAAGAAATGGTTAACGCTTGAGGTGATGGATAACCCATTAACCATGGTGTCATTATTACACATTGTATGCCTGTATCAAACTATCTCATCTACTCCATAAACATAAACACCTACAATTTACTCATTAAAATTAAAAACAAAAAAATAAAGAAACACACACAGTGTGCTAATCAGAACATCTGATTGGCTTAATATAATAAGTGTAACAAAATTGACCAGAACCAATAAAAGTTAAAACAAAACAAATGTTACAAAATAAAACATTTCATTAGCTAAAAGCCATAATTTTAATTGACTTTTAAAGCAAAACAAATATTTTACAGTATCAAAATTGATCTCTTTAATTCGCTAAAAACTATTGAAATTCCAAATTGGAAACTTCAGAGTATCAAAATGTAAAAGTAGAAACATCTGAATAAAACCTTATATTTTTAGGCCAGGCATGGTGGTTCACACCTGTAATCCCAGCACTTTGGGAGGGCGAGGCGGGAGGATCACCTGAGGTCGAGAGCTCAAGACCAGCCTGACCAACATGGAGAAAGCCTGTCTCTACTAAAAATACAAAATTAGCCGGGCATGGTGGGGCATACCTGTAATCCCAGCTACTCGGGAGGCTGAGGCAAGAGAATTGCTTGAACCAGGAAGGTGGAGGTTGTCGTGAGTTACAATTGAGCCATTGCACTCCACCCTGGGCAACAAGAGCAAAGCTCTGTCTCCAAAAACAAAAAACAAAACAAAACAAAAAACAAAACAAAACAAAAACCTTATGTTTTAAAAATATATTTTCCTTATGCATGTAAATCTCATTTTTGAAAATATAAAAATGATAACAGCTGCATTATTTAGATGAAATCCTGAAATAAAATATAAAAAGTGAAATAATTGAGAATAGAAAGACTATGAGCATTACAAACAGATTAATGTACTTCTTTCCAGAGTTAAATCTACAATGCAAAGTTTACCTGGTGTGGATGTTTGTACATCTTTCATTTTGGTGGCTGTATTCAGAACAGAATTTTTATTTTCAATTGTAGCCTGAATGGGTTTTAAAACAAAGTGATTAGCACATGATGTATATTGGTATAGGTTATGCAGTTAATAATTAAAAATATAAATGTAAGAGTAATTACCTTCAAGGTGGGCAGATTCTCAGGATACTCTAACAAGCAAGAGAAATATATAATCAATCATATGTAAATATGGTAAGGCCAACCATACATTTGTGGAGTGTTAACATCAAACTGAATACTCTTGCCTGTATTAGTGTAGGGTTTCATGTTTTTCTAGTTTGTTTCTTTGGGACAGTAATATGATAGAAATGCAATGAAGAAAATAGGAATACAAGCTTCAAAAACATACAGTTACAAGTTAAAAAGTGAGATTATGCACCACATCTATTGCTAAAAAGAAGTGTTAATATCAATGTGGATATACTGATTAACAAGGAGAAATGTGATCTAAAATCAGAGGAGCAAGTCATAACCCTAGAAATAAGTGTAAAAGCTGGTGCTAACTGCGACTGCATGACTTTCATACAAGACATCAGAAGGCTTTATACCAGTATAACATAAACATTCATCATGCTCTTTAGCTTGTCTGATAACTGAGAAGGTACACAATTACAATGACACTTCAGTTGAACATACACTTCACGTGTCTTCAGTGTAAGTGTCCTGAATTGATCTGCTTGGATATATGTTTGGTGAATCCTAGTAGTTAATATTCATTATTTATCATGCCCATGTGGTGTAATAATCTGCCTACATTTCTTATATCCTCTAGTTTAGCCTTCAGAAACTTTCTTCATCCACTAATGGCAAGAAGGTATAATATATAAACCCCATCAAAAAGTATAATAAATTATACATATTTATACAAAATGGAATTGCTCCAGGCATTAGATATTAATAAACTTATACATTTGGAAATCAGTCCAATATTCATTGAAAATAATCACTTTAGGATTCAATTAATGAATTCAACATTATTTTTGTCTGTAAAATTAGTCTGCTCTGGAATATCACTTTACTATAAAGAATTTTCATTAAATAGCTATTTTAACAAGACAGCCAGCACTTTGGAAAAAAACTAAATATTCATATTAAACTTCAACTCATTTGAATAACTAATAAAAAATATATGTGTGATGTCTGATACTAATAAACATGAATAATGAGGCACTGTGGTTTATCCCAATTCTAGCACTCCTTCTTGATTCCAGTAGTCATTGGAGCAGCCAGAAATCAGATGATCCGGTATGCAAATATTCAAAATGCATCTGAAGTGAGTTCACTCAGGCTTCCTCAGCAGAAACCCCAAAATTACCTAAATAACTTCTTCCTTCCCCTCTTTCTTGCCTTGCAATCCCTCTTTCTTGATGAAAATAATTACTACATCAGTGGTCACCTTGCTCCTCATTCTCCAGTGTTTATGGGTTATTATGACAACTTCCTCCCTCTGGTTTAAGTAGTACCATCTGACATCTATAATTTCTATTACTTTTTTCTCTTTCTCCTTCCCCTTTCCATAGAAACATGCTCTGAAATAAGAGCAAAATTATGCTGTCCCCGGATCCTCTTATCTCTTATATCTTGAACTGTTTTCCAACGGTTCTTCTACACAATTTCCATGTAGGGAAGTCTATAAGCTTGTTACTAAGATCATGGCCAAGGACCAGCAGCATCAACAACACCTGACAACTCAGTAGAAATGCACAATCTCAGGCCTGCTGAATCAGAAAGTGCATTTTCAATGAGCCCCCTGCTGATCTATTCAGGGGTGGGACATTGTCTTCTATCTTGAGTGCACATGACATTAAATGTATATTGCTAAATTACCTGTTCCAGATTTCCAACCGCCCGTTATTCTTGTGGCAATATTCAAAAGAGAAACTTTCTTTTTAAATATAACCTGAATGGAAAGAGAAACAAAATAGTCAATACATAATATATATTTCATAGGCTATGCAATAAATAATTCAAAATATAAATGAAAGAGTAACTACCTTCTGGGCCGATTGTTTCTGAGGAGACACTGAAAAGTAAAAGAAATATATAATCCATCATATGTAAATATGATAAAGTTATCCATACATTCATGCAGTGTTAGCATCAAGCTGTATCCTCCTGCCTGTACTAGTGTAGGATTTGATGTTTTACAGTTTGTGTCTTTGGGACAGGAACATGAGGAAATACACTGAAGAAAATAGGAATACACGCTTCCAGAAAATATACAGTCAGAAATTACAAAGAGGTATTATGCGTCATGTGTGTATTACTGAAATAAAAAGTGTCAATATCAATGTGGATATACTGAATGATGAAAAGAAATGTGATCTAAAATCAGAGGAGCAACTCATACACCCAGGAATCAATGTCAAAGAAGGTACTAAATGCTACTGCATGTTTTTCATGCAAGACATCAGAAGGATTTATACCATTGTACTGCAAGTATTCATCATGCTCTTTAACTTGCCTGGTAATTGAGGAGGTACACAATGACAATGACACTTTAGTAGAATGTACACTTCACAAGTCCTCAGTGGAAGTGTCGCAGCTTCATCAGCTTGGATATAGGTTTGGATAATCCTGTATACAATATTCTTCATTTCTCAAACCCACGTGGTGTAATAATGTGCCTACATTTGTTGTGTCCTCTAGTTTATGCTACAGAAAGGTTCTTCATCCACTCATGGCAACAAAGTATAATATATAAACCATATCAAAAAGTATAATAAATGATCAAATTTGACATACTTATACAAAATAAAGTTGCTACAAGCATTAGATATGAATAACCTTTTACATTTGGAAATTACTCCAATATTCATTGAAAATAACAATTTTAAAAGTCAATTAATGAATTCAAATTAATTTTGTTTCTAAAATAGTCTGGTTTGAAGTATCATGCTACTCTCTAAAGCATTTTCATTAAATTGCTATTTTATCCAAAGTTAGCTAATTGAAAAGCAAAGCCAATATATGTATATTCATGTTTATTTCACTTGAATAACTAATATCAACAAAACATATATCTCTGATGCCCAAGAGTAACAAAGAGGAGTAATGAGTCACTGTGGTTTATCCCAATTCTAGGAGTCCTTCCTGCTTCCATTGGTTCCTAAAGCAGCCAAAATCAAATCTTCTTTTAGGAAAATATTTGAATATGCATCTGAACTCACGTTTCCTCAGAAGAAACAACAAAATTACCTAAATAACTTCTTATTTTCCCTCCTTTCTGCCTGACAATCCCTCTTCCTTGAGGAAAGTAATTTCTACATCAGCGGTCTCGTTAGTTCTTGTTCTACAGTGTTTATGGGTTATTATGATCACTTTTCCGTCTGTTTTTAGGAACACGATGTAATGTCTGTAAAATCTATACTTCATCTCTATCTCCTACCACCCTTGGTGAAAACATGCTGTAGAATTAAAGCAAAATTATGCTGTACCCTGAGCCCCTTGTGTCTTGACATGCTCTCCAATGTTTCTTCTTCCCAATTTCAATGTGGGGAAGTCTATAATCTTACTTCGAAGATCACGTCCAAGACCAGCAGCATCAGCGTCACCCGAGAACTTATTACAAATGAAGAATCTCAGGTCTGCAGAATCAGAATGTGCAGCTTCGACGAGCCCTCCGTTGATTTATTTGGGAAGAGAAGTTCTTTTCTATCTGGACTGAACATGACATTAAATGTGTTTTGCAAAATTACCTGTCCCAGATTTTTCTCCATCCTTTATTTCTCTGGCTATATTCGAAACAGAATCTTTCTCATCACCTGTAGCCTGAATGGAATTTGAAACAAAATAATAAATCAATAAAGTATGTTTCATAGACTATACAATTACTAGTTCACAATATAAATAAGAGTTTAATTACCTTCAAGGCTGGTTGTCTCTGAGAAGACACTGAAAAGCAAAAGGGATACATAATCACCCACATGCACGTATGATAAAGTTATTCATACATTCATGCAGTGTTAGCATCAAGCTGTATCCTTCTGCCTGTATTAGGGTAGGATTTGATGTTTCCTACTTTGTGTCTGGGGATTGGAACATGACAGAAATACACTGAAAAAAGTAATACAGCCTTCATGAAAAATATACTTACAATTTCAAGCATGGTATGATTTGTCATATGTCTAAAACTAAAATAAAACCCTGTCAATGTCAACGTGGATATGCTGAGTGATGAGGACAAATGTGATCTAAAATCAGAGGATCAACTCATACAATTGAGAATCAATGTCAAAGCAGATGGTACTTGATCCCACAGGTCTTTCATGCAAGAAATCAAAAGGATTTACACCATTATACTACAGACATTCATCATGCTCTTTAACTTGCCCGATAACAGAGAAGGTACACAATTACAATGACACTTCAGTTGAATGTACACTTCACGTCTCTTCAGTGGAAGAGTCCTAAATTGATCACCTTGGATATCTGTTTGCTGAAACTGAGTAGATAATATTTATTATTCCTCACACCCACGTGGTGTAATAATTTGCCTAAGTTTCTTGTATCCACTCGTTTAGCTTTCCAAAATTTCTTCATCCATTCATGGCACCAAAGGATAATATATTAGCCTCAATAAAAATATCATCAATTATCAATTTTGACATACTTCTACAGAGTAAAACTGCTACAAGCGTTAGATATTAATATGTTTTACATTCACAAATCACTCCAATATTCATTGAAAATGACCACTTTAGGAGTTAATTAGAATTCCACATACTTTTTGTTTCTATAATAGTCTTGTTGGGAGTATCATGCTATTCTCTAAAGAAGTTTCATCCAATAGCTATTTTACCCAAGAGTTAGCTCCTTGAACAATGAAGCCAATGTATTCATATTCAAGTTTATCTCATTTTTATAACTAAAATCAACAAAACGTGTATCTCTGATGCCTAACAGTAACAAAGAGGAGTAACGAGTCAGTGTGCTTTATCCCAATTCTAGCATTGTTTCCTGCTTCCAGTAGTTCTTGGAGAAGCCAAAATTTAATATTCTTTTATGCAAATATTCCAAATTTATCTGAAGTGAGTTCACTCAGCTTTCCTCAACAGAAACCCCAAAATTACATAAATAACTTCTTCTTTTCTCTCCTTCCTGCCTCACAATCCCTCTTCCTTGTGGAAAATAATTGCTACTTCAGTGATCTTGTTTGTTCTCATTCTACGCTGTTTTTGAGGTATTAGGATCACTTTTCCCTCCGTTTATAACAATATGATCTGACGCCTATAATATCTATTACTTCGTCTCGTTCTCCTTCCCCTCTTGATGGAAACTTGCTGTAGAATTAAAGCAAAATGATGCTGTCCCCTGAGGCTGTTATGTGCTGAACCGCTCTCCTATGGCTCTTCTTCCCAATTTCAATGTAGGGAAGTCTACAATCTTACTACTCAGATCATGGTCAAGGACCAGCACCATCAGGGTCACCCGAGGACTTATTACAAATGAAGAATCTCAAGCATGCTGAATCCAAACATAAAGCTTCAATGAACCCCCCGCTGATTTATTTGGGGAAGTGAATTTCTCTTCTATTTGATCGAACATTACATTAAAGGTGTATTCCAAAATACCTGTCCCACGTATTTGTCCATCCTTTATCTCTGTGGCTATATTCGAAACAGAATCTTTCTTGACACTTGTAGCCTGAATGGGATTTGAAACAAAATAATCAATACATAAAGTATATATTCATAGACTATACAGTTAATAGTTCAAAATATATATGAGTGTTTAATTACCTTCCAGGCCAGTTGTTTCTGAGAAGACACTGAAAAGCAAAACAGATACATAATCACTCATATGTGCATATGATAAAGTTATTCAAACATTCATGCAGTGTTAGCATCAAGCTGCCTCTGTCTGCAGTTATTAGTGTAGGCTTTGATGCTTTATACTTTGTGTTTTGGGATGGGAACATGACAGAAATACACTGAAGAAAACAGGAATACAGGTTTCAAGAAATATACACTAAGCATTTCAAATGTAGTATGATTTGTCATATGACTAAAACTAAAATAAAAGTGTCAATTTCAATAAGGATATGCCGAGTGATGAGGACAAATGTGGTCTAAAATCACAGAAGAAACTAATCACCTGGAAATCAATGTCAAAGCAGGTGGTACATGCACCCGCATGACTTTCATGCAAGATATCCGAATGATTAAACCATTATACTGCAAACATTCAACATGCTCTTTAACTTGCCCAATAACTGAGAAGGTACACAATTACAATGACACTTCACTTGAACATACACTTCACATCTCTTAAGTGGAAGGGACCTAAATCGATCAACGTGGATGTATGTTTCCTGAATCCAAGTAAATAATTCATTATTTCTCACACCCATGTGCTGTAATAATTTGCCTAAGCTTCTTGTATTCTCTAGTTTAGCCTTTTGAACATTTCTTCATCCACTCGTGGCAACAAAGTATAATATATAACCTCAATAAAAGGCATCATCAATTATCAATTTTGACATAATTCTACTAAATAAAACTGCTACAAGTATTGGATATTAATAAGCTTTTACACTTGGAAATCACTCCAATATTCATTGAAAATTACCATTTTAGGAGTCAGTTGTTGAATTCAACATTATTTTTGTTTCTAAAATAGTCTTGTTAGGAGTATCATGCTATTCTCTAAAGAATATTCATTAAATACCTATTTTATCCAAGAGTCACCTCTTTGATCAATGAAGCCAATGTATTCATATTCAAGTTTATCTAACTTCTATAACTAAAATCAACAAAACGTGTAAGTCTGATACCTAATAGTAACAAAGAAGAGTAATTAGTAAATGAAGTTTATCCCAATTCTAGCATTATCTCCTGCACCCAGTAGTTCCAGCAGCTGCCAAAATCAAATCTTCTTTATGCAAATACGCTAAATGCCTCTGAAGTGAGTCCACTCAGGTTTCCTCAGCAGAAACCCCAAAATTACATAAATAACTTCTTCTTTTCCCTCCTTCCTGCCTCACAATCCCTCTTCCTTGGGAAAAATCATTGCTATATCAGTGGTCTCCTTAGTTCTCATTCTACAGTGTCTACAGGTTATTAGGATCACTATTCTGTCTTTTTTATAGCAGTATGATGTGACATCTATAAAATCTATACTTCATGTCTTTCTCCTTCTACCCTTATTGAAAACATGCTGTAGAATTAAAGCAAAATTATGCTGTTCCCCTGAGCCCCTTATGTCTTGAACTGCTCTCCATATTTCTTCTTCCCAATTTCGATGTGGGGAAGTCTATAATCTTACTGCAAAGATCGTGTCCAAGACCAGCAGCATCAGCGTCACCCAAGAACTTATTAAAAATGAAGAATGTCAGGCCTGCTGAATCAGAATGTGCAGTTTTGATGAGCCCCGCACTGATTTGTTCGGGGAAGAGAAGTACTTTTCTATCTGGACTGAACATGACATTAAATGTGTTTTGTGAAATTACCTGTTCCAGATTGTTGTCCATCCTTTATTTCTGTGGGTATATTCGAAACAGAATCTTTCTTGTCACTTGTAGCCTGAATGGAATTTGAAACAAAATAATGAATACATAAACTATGTTTCATAGACCACACAGTTAATAGTTCACAATATAAATGACAGTTTAATTACCTTCAAGGCTGGTTGTTTCTGAGAAGACACTGAAAAGCAAAAGGGATACATAATCACTCATATGTAAATATGATAAAGTTATCCATACATTCATGCACTGTTGGCATCAAGATGTATCTTCCTGCCTGTATTAGTATAGGCTTTGATGTTTTCTACTTTGTGACTGGGGACTGGAATATGACAGAAATACACTGAAAAAGGTGAATACAGGCTTCACAAAATATACTTACAATTTCAAACATGGCATGATTTGTCATATGTCCAAAACTAAAATAAAACCATGTCAATATCAATGTGGATATGCCAAGTGATGAGGACAAATGTGATCTAAAATCAGAGGAGCAACTCATACACTTGAGAATCAATGTCAAAGCAGGTTCTACATGATGCCACGTCTTCCATGCAAGAAATCAAAAGGATTTACACCATTATAGTACAAACATTCATTGTGCTCTTTAACTTGCCCAATAACTGAGAAGGCACACAATTACAATGATATTACAGTTGAATGTACACTTTACGTCTCTTCAGTGGAAGTGTCCTAAATTGATCAGCTTGGATTATGTTTGCTGAAACCTAGTAGATAATATTCATTATTTCTCACACCCCTGTGGTGTAATAATTTGCCTAAGTTTCTTGTATCCACTCGTTTAGCCTTCTGAAAGTTTCTTCATCCACTCATGGCACCAAAGGATAATATATTAGCCTCAATAAAAATATCATCAATTACCAATGTTGACATACTTCTACAATGTAAAACTGCTACAAGCATTAGATATTAATAAGTTTTACATTCAGAAATCAATCAAATATTCATGGAAAGGACCACTTTAGGAGTTAATTAGAATTCAACATATTTTTTGTTTCTAAAAAGTCTTCTTTGGAGTATCATGCTATTCCCTAAAGAAGTTTCATTCAATAGCTATTTTATCCAAGACTTAGCTCCTTGAACTTTGAAGCCAATGTATTCATATTCGTTTATCTCAGTTTTATAACTGAAATCAACAAAACAAGTATCTCTGATGCCTAATAGTAAATTACTCCTAAAGAGGAGTAATGAGTCACTGTGGTTTATCCCAATTCTAGCATAGTTTCCTGCTTCCAGTAGTTCCTGAAGCACCCAAAATCAAATCTTCTTTTATGCAAATGTTCCAAATGTATTGAAGTGAGTTCACTGAGGTTTCCTCAGCAGAAATCCCAAATTACATAAATAACTTCTTCTTCTCCCTCCTTCCTGACTCACAATCCCTATTCCTTGAGGAAAATAATTGCTACATCACTGCTCTTGTTACTTCTCATTCTACAGTGTTTTTGTGGTATTAGGATCACTTTTCCCTCTGTTTATCACAATACAATCTGACGCCTCTAATATCTATTACTTCATCTCTTTCTCTTTCCCCTCTTGATGAAAACATGCTGTAGAATTAAAGCAAAATGATGCTGTCCCCTGAGCCTGTTATGTGTTGAATTGCGGTCAGATGGTTCTTTTTCCCAATTTCAAAGTACAGACATCTAAAATCTTAGTACTTTCATCATGGCCAAGGACCACAGCATCAGGGTCACCTGAGAACTTATTACAAATGAATAATCTCAGGAATACTGAATCAGAACATGAAGATTTGACGAACCCCCCGCTGCTTTATTTGGTGAAGAGAAGATCTCTTCTATCTTGAACGAACATCCTATTAAATGTGTTTGCAAAATTACCTGTCCCAGATATTTGTTCATCCTTTGTTTCTGTGGCCATATTCGGAACAGAATTTTCCTTGTCACTTGTAGCCTGAATGGAATTTGAAACACAACAGTCAATAAATAAAGTATGTTTCATAGACTATACAGTTAATAGTTCAAAATATAAATGAGAGTTTAATTACCTTCAAGGCTGGTTGTTTATGAGAAGACACTGAAAAGCAAAAAGGATACATAATCACTCATACGTAAATATGATAAAGTTATTCATACATTCATACAGTGTTAGCATCAATCTCTGTCCTCCTGCCTGTATTAGTGTAGGCTTTGATGGCTTCTATATTGTGTCGGGGACAAGAACATGACAGAAGTACACTGAAAAAAGGGAATACAGGCTCCATGAAATATATCCTTACAATTTTAAAGATGCTATGATCTGTCATATGTCGAAAACTAAAATAAAGCCCTGTCAATATCAATGTCGATATGCCGAGTGATGAGGACAAAGTGATCTAAAATCAGGGGAGCAATTCATACACCTGAGAATCAATGTCAAAGCAGGTGCTACAGGATCCCACATGTGTTTCATGTAAGAAATCAAAGGATATACACAATTATAGTACAAACATTCATCATGCTCTTTAATTTGCCCAATAACTGAGAAGGCACAGAATTACGACATTTCAGTTGAACGTACACTTCACATCTCCTCAGTGGAAGTGTCCTAAATTGATGACTTTGGATATCTGCTTGCTGATACCTAGTAGATAATATTCATTACCTCTCACACCCATGTGGTGTAATAATTTGCCTAAGTTTCTTGCATACACTAGTATAGACTTCTGAAAGTTTCTTCATCCACTCTTGGCACCAAAGGATAATATATTAGCCTCAATAAAGATATCATCAATTATCAACTTTGACATAATTCTTCAAAGTAAAACTGCTACAAGCATTAGATATTAATCAGTTTTTCATTCAGAAATCACTGCAATATTCATTGAAAATGACCATTTTAGGAGTTAATTAGAATTCAACATCATTTTTGTTTCTAAAATAGACTTTTTGGGAGGACCATGTTATTCTTTAAAGAAGTTTCATGAAATAGCTATTTCATCCAAGGGGTAGCTCCTTGAACAAGGAAGCAAATTTATTCATAATCAAGATTACCTCATTTTTATAACTACAATCAACAAAATACGTATCTCTGATACCTCCTAGTAAGAAAGAGGAGTAATGAGTCAGTGTGGTGTATTCCAATTATACCATTGTTTCCTGCTTCCAGTAGTTCCTGGAGCAGCCAAAATCAAATATTTGTTATGAAAATATTCCAAATGCATCTGAAGTGAGTTCACTCAGGTTTCCTCAGCAGAAACCCCAAAATTATATAAAAGAATTCCTCTTTTTCCACCTTCCTGCCTCACAATCCGTCTTCCTTAGGAAAATAGTTGCTACACCAGGGGTCTCCTTAGTTCTCCTAACAGTGTCTACGGGTTGTTACAACAAGCTTTCTGTCTTTTCTTGGCAGTACAATCTGAAGTGTGTAAATTCTATACTTCCTCTCTTTCTCCTTCCACCCTTACTGAAAACAAGCTGGAGAATTAAAGCAAAATTATGTTGTTTCCCAGAGCCCCTTATGCCTTGAACTGCTCTCCATATTTCTTCTTCCCACTTTCAATGGGGGGAAGTGTATACTCTTACTGCGAAGATCATGTTCCAGAGCAGCAGCATCATCATCACCCAAGAACTTATTTGAAATGAAGAATCTCAGGACTGCTGTATCAGAATGTGCAGCTTCAACGAACCCCCCGCTGATTTATTCAGGGAAGAGAATTTCTTATCTATCTGCACTGAACATGACATTAAATCTCTTTTCAAAATTACCTCTCCTAGTTTTTTCTCCATGCTTTTTTCCTCTGGCTATATTCAAAACAGAATCTTTCTCGTCACTTGTAGCCTGAATGGAATTTGAAATGAAATAATAAATTAATAAAGTATGTTTCATAGACTATACATTTACTAGTTCACAATATAAATGACAGTTTCATTACCTTCAAGCCTGATGGTTTCTCAGAAGACACTGAAAAGTAAAAGGGATTCATAATCACTCATATGTAAAAATGACAAAATTATCCACACATTCATGCAGTGTTAGCATCAACCTCTGTCCTCCTGCCTGTATTAGCGTAGGCTTTGATGGCTTCTACTTTGTGTCTGAGGACTAGAACATGACAGAAATACGCTGAGAAAAGGGAATACAGGCTCCATGAAATATAGTTTTAGTATTTCAAACATGGTATGATTTGTCATATGTCGAAAACTAAAATAAAACCGTGTCAATATCAACGTGGATATGTCGAGTGATGAGGACAAAGTGATCTAAAATCAGAGGAGCAACTCATACACGTGAGAATAAATGTCAAAGCAGGTGCTACATGATCCCACATGTCTTTCATGCAACAAATCAAAAGGATTTACACCATTATACTACAAACATTCATCATGCTCTTTAACTTGCCCAGTTAATGAGAAGGCACACAATTACGATAACAATTCAATTGAATGTACCCTTCACATCTCTTCAGTGGAAGTGTGCTAAATTGATCACTTTGGATATCTGTTTAATGATACCTCGTAGATAATATTCATTATCTCTCACACCCATATGGTGTAATAATCTGCCTAAGTTTCTTCTATCCACTACTTTAGCCTTCCGAAAGTTTCTTCATCCAGTCGTGGCACCAAAGGACAATATATTAGCCTCAATAAAAATATCATCAATTATCAATTTTGACATACCTATACAAAGTAAAGCTGCTACAAGCATTAGATATTGACCAGTTATTCATTCAGAAATCACTGCAATATTCACTATAAATGACCATTTTAGGAGTTAATTAGAATCCAGCATAATTTTTGTTTCTAAAATAGCCTTGTTGGGAGTATCACGTTGTTCTCTAAAGAAGTTTCATGAAATAGCTATTGTATCCAAGAGGTAGCTCCTTGAACAAGGAAGCCAATGTATTCAGATTCAACTTTGTCTCATTTCTATAACTAAAATCAACAAAACATGTATCTCTGATGCCTAATAGTAACAAAGAGGAGTAATGAGTCAGTGTGTTTTTATGCCAATTCTAGGATTGTTTCCTTCTTCCAGCAGTTCCTGCAGCAGCCAAAATCAAGTATTTTTTATTAAAATATTCCAAATGCATCTGAAGTGAGTTCACTCAGGTTTCCTCAGCGGAAACCCCAAAATTATATAAATGACTGCCTCTTTTCACACCTTCCTGCCTCACAATCCGTCATCCTTGGGAAAATGATTGCTACACCAGGGGTCTCCTTAGTTCTCCTACAGTGTGTACGGGTTATTACAAGTTTTCTGTCTGTTTTTAGCAGTACGATGTGACGTCTGTAAAATCGATACTTCCTCTCTTTCTCCTTCCACCCTTACTGAAAACAAGCTGGAGAATTAAAGCAAAACTATGCTGTTCCCCAGAGCCCCTTATGTCTTCAACTGCTCTCCATATATCTTCTTTCCAACTTCAATGTGGGGAACTGTATAATCTTACAGCCAAGGTCATGTTCCAGACCAGCAGCATCAGCATCACCCAAGAACTTACTACAAATGAAGAATCTCCGGCCTGCTGAATCAGAAAGTGCAGCTTCGACGAGCCCCCCGCTGATTTATTTGGGGAAGGGAACTTCTTATCTATCTGGACTGAACATGACATTAAATCTGTTTTCAAAATTACCTGTTCTAGATTTTTCTCCATCCTTTTTTTCTCTGGCTATATTCAAAACAGAATCTTCCTCGTCACCTGTAGCCTGAATGGAATTTGAAATGAAATAATAAATAAAATATGTTTCATAGACCATACATTAACTCGTTCACAATATAAATGAGAGTTTCATTACCTTCAAGGCTGGTGGTTTCTGAGAAGACACTGAAAAGCAAAAGGGATTCATAATCACTCATATGTAAATATGACAAAGATATCCATAGATTCATGCAGAGTTAGCATCAAACTCTGTCCTCCTGCCTGTATTAGCGTAGGCTTTAATGGCTTCTACTTTGTGTCTGGGGACTAGAACATGACAGAAATACACTGAGAAAAGGGAATACAGGCTCCATGAAATATACCCTTGCAATTTCAAACATGGTACGATTTCTCATATGTCAAAAACTAAAATAAAACCGTGTCAATCTCAATGTGCATAGGCCGAGTGATGAGAACAAATGTGATCTAAAATCAGAGGAGCAACTCACACACCTGAGAATCAATGTCAAAGCAGGTGCTACATGATCCCACATTTCTTTCATGCAACAAATCAAAAGGATTTACACCATTATACTAAAAACATTCATCATGCTCTTTAAACTGCCAATAACTGAGAAGGCACACAATTGCAATGATACTTCAGTTAAACTTACACTTCACATCTCTTCAGTGGAAGAGTCCTGAATTGATCACATTGGACACCTGTTTGCTGATACCTAGTAGATAATGTTCATTATCTCTCACACCCATGTGGTATAAAAATTTGCTTAAGTTTCTTGTATCCACTAGTTTAGCCTTCCAAAAGTTTCTTCATCCACTCATGGCACCAAAGGATAATATATTAGCCTCAATAAAAATATCATCATTTATCAACTTTGACATATTTCTACAAAGTAAAACTGCTACAAGCATTAGATATTGATAAGATTTACATTCAGAAATCATTCCAATATTCATTGAAAATGATCACTCTAGGACTTAATTAGAATGCAACATAATTTTTGTCTCTAAAAGAGCCTTGTTGGGAGTATCATGTTATGTTCTAGAAAAGTTTCATTAAACAGCTATTTTATACAAGAGGTAGCTCTTTGAAGAAGGAAGCCAACGTATTCATATTCACGTTTATCTCATTTCTATAACTAAAATCAACAAAACATGTATCTCTGATGCCTAATAGTAACAAAGAGGAGTAATGAGTCATTGTGTTTTTATGCCAATTCAAGAAATGTTTCCTGCTTCCAGAAATTGCTGGAGCTGCCAAAATCAAATATTGTTTATGGAAATGTTCCAAATGATCTGAAGTGAGTTCACTCAGGTTTCCTCAGCAGTAACCCCAAAATTATATAAATGACTTCCTCTTTTCCCACCTTCCTGCCTCACAATCCGTCTTCATTCGGAAAATAATTGCTACATCAGGGGTCTCCTCAGTTCTCCTTCTACAGTGTCTACGGCTTATTATGAACAGTTTTCTGTCTGTTTTTAGCACTATCATGTGACATCTGTAAAATCTGTACTTCCTCTCTTTCTCCTTACACCCTTAATGAAAAGATGCTCCAGAAATAAAGCAAAATTATGCTGTGCCCAAGAGCCCCTTATGTCTTCAACTGCTCTCCATATTTCTTCCTCCCAATTGCAATGTGGGGATGTGTATAATCTTACAGCAAAGATCATGTTCCAGACCAGCAGCATCAGCATAACCCAAGAACTTATTAGAAATGAAGAATCTCAGGCCTACTGAATCAGAATGTGCAGTTTCGACCAGCCCCCCACTGATTTATTCGGGGAAGAGAACTTCTTATCTGGACTGAACATGACATTAAATGTGTTTTGCAAAGTTACCTGTCCTAGATGTTTCTCCATCCTTTCTTTCTCTGGTTATATTTGAAAAAGAATCTTTCTCATCACTTGTAGCCTGAATGGAATTTGAAACAAAATAATAAATAAGGTATGTTTCATAGGCTTTACATTTACTAGCTCACAATATAAATGAGAGTTTTATTACCTTCAAGGCTGCTTTTTTCCGAGAAGACACTGAAAAGCAAAAGGGATACATAATCACTCACATGTAAATATGATAAAGTTATCCATACATTCACACAGTGTTAGCATCAACCTCTGTCCTCCTGCCTGTATTAGTGGAGGCTTTCATGGCTTCTACTTTGTCTCAGGGGACCAGAAGGTGACAGAAATACACTGAAAAAAGGGAACACAGGCTCCATGAAATATACCCTTACAATTTCAAACATGGTATGATTTGTCATGTGTCGAAACCCAAAATAAAACCGTGTCAATATCAATGTGGATATGATGAGCGATGAGGACAAATGTGATCTGAAAACAGAGGAGCAACTCATACACGTGAGAATCAATGTCAAAACAGGTGCTACATGATCCCACATGTCTTTCATGCAACAAATCAAAAGGATTTACACCATTATACTAAAAACATTCATCATGCTCTTTAACTTGCCCAATAACTGAGAAGGCACACAATTACGATGACACTCCAGCTGAACGTACACTTAACATATCTTCAGTGGAAGTGTCCTGAATTGATCACCTTGGATATCTGTTTGCTGATACCTAGTAGATAATATTCATTATCTCTCACACCCATGTAGTGTAATAATTTGCCTAAGTTTCATGTATCCACTAGTTTAGGCTTCCGAAAGTTTCTTCATCCACTCTTGGCACCAAAGGATAATATATTAGCCTCAATAAAAATATCATCAATTGTCAACTTTGACATACTTCTACAAAGTCAAATGGCTACAAGCATTAGATATTAATCAGTTTTTCATTCAGAAATCACTGCAATATTCATTGAAAATGACCATTTTAGGAGTTAGTTAGAATTCAACATCATTCTTGTGTCTAAAATACTCTTGTTGGGAGTATCGTGTTATTCTCTAAAGAAGTCTCATTAAATAGCTATTTTATCCAAGAGGTAGCTCCTTGAACAAGGAAGCAAATTTATTCATATTCAAGATTATCTCATTTTTATAACTAAAATCAACAAAACATGTATCTCTGATGCCTCCTAGTAACCAAGAGGAGTAATGAGTCAGTGTGGTGGTGTATTCCAATTATACCATTGTTTCCTGCTTCCAGTAGTTCCTGGAGCAGCCAAAATAAAATATTTGTTATGAAAATATTCCAAATGCATCTGAAGTGAGTTCACTCAGGTTTTCTCAGCAGAAACCCCAAAATTATATAAATGACTTCCTCTTTTCACACCTTCCTGCCTCACAATCCATCTCCCTTAGGAAAATAGTTGCTACACCAGGGGTCTCCTTAGTTCTCCTAACAGTGTCTACGGGTTGTTACAACAAGCTTTCTGTCTTTTCTTGGCAGTACGATCTGAAGTGTGTAAATTCTATACTTCCTCTCTTTCTCCTTCCACCCTTACTGAAAACAAGCTGGAGAATTAAAGCAAAATTATGTTGTTCCCCAGAGCCCCTTATGCCTTGAACTGCTCTCCATATTTCTTCTTCCCAATTTCAATATGGGGAAGTGTATAATCTTACGGCGAAGATCACGTTCCAGACCAGCAGCATCATCATCACCCACAAACTTATTTGAAATGAAGAATCTCAGGACTGCTGAATCAGAATGTGCAGCTTCAACGAGCCCCCCGCTGATTTATTCACGGAAGAGAATTTCTTATCTATCTGGACTGAACATGACATTAAATCTCTTTTCAAAATTACCTCTCCTAGTTTTTTCTCCATGCTTTTTTCCTCTGGCTATATTCAAAAGAGAATCTTTCTCATCTCTTGTAGCCTGAATGGAATTTGAAATGAAATAATAAATTAATAAAGTATGTTTCATAGACTATACATTTACTAGTTCACAATATAAATGACAGTTTCATTACCTTCAAGCCTGGTGGTTGCTCAGAAGACACTGAAAAGTAAAAGGGATTCATAATCACTCATATGTAAAAATGACAAAATTATCCACATATTCATGCAGTGTTAGCATCAACCTCCGTCCTCCTGCCTGTATTAGCGTAGGCTTTGATGGCTTCTACTTTGTGTCTGGGGACTAGAACATGACAGAAATATGCTGAGAAAAGGGAATACAGGCTCCACGAAATATAGTCTTAGAATTTCAAACATGGTATGATTTGTCATATGCCAAAAACTAAAATAAAACCATGTCAATATCAACGTGGATATGCCGAGTGATGAGGTCAAAGTGATCTAAAATCAGAGGAGCAACACATACACCTGAGAATCAATGTCAAAGCAGGTGCTACATGATCCCACTTACCTTTCATGCAACAAATTAAAAGGATTTACACCATTATAATACAAACATTCATCGTGCTCTTTAACTTGCCCAATAACTGAGAAGGCACACAATTACGACGACAATTCAGTTGAACGTACACTTCACATCACTTCAGTGGAAGTGTGCTAAATTAATCACCTTGGATATCTGTTTGCTGATACCTAGTAGATAATATTCATTATCTCTCTCAACCATATGGTGTAATAATCTGCCTAAGTTTCTTGTATCCACTAGTTTAGCCTTCCGAAAGTTTCTTCATCCAGTCGTGGCAACAAAGGATAATATATTAGCCTCAATAAAAATATCATCAATTATCAATTTTGACATACATATACAAAGTAAAACTGCTGCAAGCATTAGATATTGATCAGTTTTTCATTCAGAAATCAGTGCAATATTCATTGAAAATGACCATTTTAGGAGTTAATTAGAATCCAGCATAATTTTTGTTTCTAAAATAGCCTTGTTGGGAGTATCATGTTGTTCTCTAAAGAAGTTTCATGAAATAGCTATTGTATCCAAGAGGTAGCTCCTTGAACAAGGAAGCCAATGTATTCAGATTCAACTTTGTCTCATTTCTGTAACTAAAATCAACAAAACATGTATCTCTGATGCCTAATAGTAACAAAGAGGAGTAATGAGTCAGTGTGTGTGTTTTTATGCCAATTCTAGGATTGTTTCCTTCTTCCAGCAGTTCCTGCAGCAGCCAAAATCAAGTATTTTTTATTAAAATATTCCAAATGCATCTGAAGTGAGTTCACTCAGGTTTCCTCAGCGGAAACCCCAAAATTATATAAATGACTGCCTCTTTTCACACCTTCCTGCCTCACAATCCGTCATCCTTGGGAAAATGATTGCTACACCAGGGGCCTCCTTAGTTCTCCTACAGTGTATATGGGTTATTACAACAAGTTTTCTGTCTGTTCTTAGCAGTACGATGTGACATCTGTAAAATCGATACTTCCTCTCTTTCTCCTTCCACCCTTACTGAGAACAAGCTGGAGAATTAAAGCAAAACTATGCTGTTCCCCAGAGCCCCTTATGTCTTCAACTGCTCTCCATATATCTTCTTCCCAACTTCAATGTGGGGAACTGTATAATCTTACAGCCAAGGTCATGTTCCAGACCAGCAGCATCAGCATCACCCAAGAACTTACTACAAATGAAGAACCTCCAGCCTGCTGAATCAGGAAGTGCAGCTTCGACGAGCCCCCCGCTGATTTATTTGGGGAAGGGGACTTCTTATCTATCTGGACTGAACATGACATTAAATCTGTTTTCAAAATTACCTGTTCTAGATTTTTCTCCATCCTTTTTTTCTCTGGCTATATTCAAAACAGAATCTTCCTCGTCACTTGTAGCCTGAATGGAATTGGAAATGAAATAATAAATAAAATATGTTTCATAGACCATACATTAACTCGTTCACAATATAAATGAGAGTTTCATTACCTTCAAGGCTGGTGGTTTCTGAGAAGACACTGAAAAGCAAAAGGGATTCATAATCACTCATATGTAAATATGACAAAGATATCCATACATTCATGCAGAGTTAGCATCATACTCTGTCCTCCTGCGTGTATTAGCGCAGGCTTTGATGGCTTCTACTTTGTGTCTGGGGACTAGAACATGACAGAAATACACTGAGAAAAGGGAATACAGGCTCCATGAAATATGCCCTTGCAATTTCAAACATGGTACGATTTCTCATATGTCAAAAACTAAACTAAAACCGTGTCAATCTCAATGTGCATAGGCCGAGTGATGAGAACAAATGTGATCTAAAATCAGAGGAGCAACTCACACACCTGAGAATCAATGTCAAAGCAGGTGCTACATGATCCCATATTTCTTTCATGCAACAAATCAAAAGGATTTACACCATTATACTAAAAACATTCATCATGCTCTTTAAATTGCCAATAACTGAGAAGGCACACAATTGCAATGATACTTCAGTTAAACTTACACTTCACATCTCTTCAGTGGAAGAGTCCTGAATTGATCACATTGGACACCTGTTTGCTGATACCTAGTAGATAATATTCATTATCTCTCACACCCATGTGGTATAAAAATTTGCTTAAGTTTCTTGTATCCACTAGTTTAGCCTTCCAAAAGTTTCTTCATCCACTCATGGCACCAAAGGATAATATATTAGCCTCAATAAAAATATCATCAATTATCAATTTTGACATACTTCTACAAAGTAAACCTGCAGCAAGCGTTAGATATTGAGCAGTTTTTCATTCAGAAATCACTGCAATATTCATTGAAAATGACCATTTTAGGAGTTAATTAGAATTCAACATAATTTTTGTTTCTAAAACATGATACTTCTTGGGAGTATCATGTTAGTCTCTAAAGAAGTTTCATGAAATAGCTATTTCACCCAAGAGGTAGCTCCTGGAACAAGGAAGCCAATGTATTCATATTCAAGTTTATCTCATTTTTATAAGTAAAGTCAACAAAACATGTATCTCTGATGCCTAATAGTAACAAAGAGGAGTAATGAGTCATTGTGTTTTTATGCCAATTCAAGAAATGTTTCCTGCTTCCAGAAATTGCTGGAGCTGCCAAAATCAAATATTGTTTATGGAAATGTTCCAAATGCATCTGAAGTGAGTTCACTCAGGTTTCCTCAGCAGTAACCCCAAAATTATATAAATGACTTCCTCTTTTCCCACCTTCCTGCCTCACAATCCGTCTTCATTCGGAAAATAATTGCTACATCAGGGGTCTCCTCAGTTCTCCTTCTACAGTGTCTACGGCTTATTATGAACAGTTTTCTGTCTGTTTTTAGCACTATCATGTGACATCTGTAAAATCTGTACTTCCTCTCTTTCTCCTTACACCCTTAATGAAAAGATGCTCCAGAAATAAAGCAAAATTATGCTGTGCCCAAGAGCCCCTTACGTCTTCAACTGCTCTCCATATTTCTTCCTCCCAATTGCAATGTGGGGATGTGTATAATCTTACAGCAAAGATCATGTTCCAGACCAGCAGCATCAGCATAACCCAAGAACTTATTAGAAATGAAGAATCTCAGGCCTACTGAATCAGAATGTGCAGTTTCGACCAGCCCCCCACTGATTTATTCGGGGAAGAGAACTTCTTATCTGGACTGAACATGACATTAAATGTGTTTTGCAAAGTTACCTGTCCTAGATGTTTCTCCATCCTTTCTTTCTCTGGTTATATTTGAAAAAGAATCTTTCTCATCACTTGTAGCCTGAATGGAATTTGAAACAAAATAATAAATAAGGTATGTTTCATAGGCTTTACATTTACTAGCTCACAATATAAATGAGAGTTTTATTACCTTCAAGGCTGCTTTTTTCCGAGAAGACACTGAAAAGCAAAAGGGATACATAATCACTCACATGTAAATATGATAAAGTTATCCATACATTCACACGGTGTTAGCATCAACCTCTGTCCTCCTGCCTGTATTAGTGGAGGCTTTGATGGCTTCTACTTTGTCTCTGGGGACCAGAAGGTGACAGAAGTACACTGAAAAAAGGGAACACAGGCTCCATGAAATATACCCTTACAATTTCAAACATGGTATGATTTGTCATGTGTCGAAACCCAAAATAAAACCGTGTCAATATCAATGTGGATATGCTGAGTGATGAGGACAAATGTGATCTAAAAACAGAGGAGCAACTCATACACGTGAGAATCAATGTCAAAACAGGTGCTACATGATCCCACATGTCTTTCATGCAACAAATCAAAAGGATTTACACCATTATACTACAAACATTCATCATGCTCTTTAACTTGCCCAATAACTGAGAAGGCACACAATTACGATGACACTCCAGCTGAACGTACACTTAACATATCTTCAGTGGAAGTGTCCTGAATTGATCACCTTGGATATCTGTTTGCTGATACCTAGTAGATAATATTCATTATCTCTCACACCCATGTAGTGTAATAATTTGCCTAAGTTTCATGTATCCACTAGTTTAGGCTTCCGAAAGTTTCTTCATCCACTCTTGGCACCAAAGGATAATATATTAGCCTCAATAAAAATATCATCAATTATCAACTTTGACATACTTCTACAAAGTCAAATGGCTACAAGCATTAGATATTAATCAGTTTTTCATTCAGAAATCACTGCAATATTCATTGAAAATGACCATTTTAGGAGTTAGTTAGAATTCAACATCATTCTTGTGTCTAAAATACTCTTGTTGGGAGTATCGTGTTATTCTCTAAAGAAGTTTCATTAAATAGCTATTTTATCCAAGAGGTAGCTCCTTGAACAGGGAAGCAAATTTATTCATATTCAAGATTATCTCATTTTTATAACTAAAATCAACAAAACATGTATCTCTGATGCCTCCTAGTAACCAAGAGGAGTAATGAGTCAGTGTGGTGGTGTATTCCAATTATACCATTGTTTCCTGCTTCCAGTAGTTCCTGGAGCAGCCAAAATCAAATATTTGTTATGAAAATATTCCAAATGCATCTGAAGTGAGTTCACTCAGGTTTTCTCAGCAGAAACCCCAAAATTATATAAATGACTTCCTCTTTTCACACCTTCCTGCCTCACAATCCGTCTCCCTTAGGAAAATAGTTGCTACACCAGGGGTCTCCTTAGTTCTCCTAACAGTGTCTACGGGTTGTTACAACAAGCTTTCTATCTTTTCTTGGCAGTACGATCTGAAGTGTGTAAATTCTATACTTCCTCTCTTTCTCCTTCCACCCTTACTGAAAACAAGCTGGAGAATTAAAGCAAAATTATGTTGTTCCCCAGAGCCCCTTATGCCTTGAACTGCTCTCCATATTTCTTCTTCCCAATTTCAATATGGGGAAGTGTATAATCTTACTGCGAAGATCATGTTCCAGACCAGCATCATCATCATCACCCACAAACTTATTTGAAATGAAGAATCTCAGGACTGCTGAATCAGAATGTGCAGCTTCAACGAGCCCCCCGCTGATTTATTCACGGAAGAGAATTTCTTATCTATCTGGACTGAACATGACATTAAATCTCTTTTCAAAATTACCTCTCCTAGTTTTTTCTCCATACTTTTTTCCTCTGGCTATATTCAAAAGAGAATCTTTCTCGTCTCTTGTAGCCTGAATGGAATTTGAAATGCAATAATAAATTAATAAAGTATGCTTCATAGACTATACATTTACTAGTTCACAATATAAATGACAGTTTCATTACCTTCAAGCCTGGTGGTTGCTCTGAAGACACTGAAAAGTAAAAGGGATTCATAATCACTCATATGTAAAAATGACAAAATTATCCACATATTCATGCAGTGTTAGCATCAACCTCTGTCCTCCTGCCTGTATTAGCGTAGGCTTTGATGGCTTCTACTTTGTGTCTGGGGACTAGAACATGACGGAAATATGCTGAGAAAAGGGAATACAGGCTCCACGAAATATAGTCTTAGAATTTCAAACATGGTATGATTTGTCATATGCCAAAAATTAAAATAAAACCATGTCAATATCAACGTGGATATGCCGAGTGATGAGGACAAAGTGATATAAAATCAGAGGAGCAACACATACACCTGAGAATCAATGTCAAAGCAGGTGCTACATGATCCCACTTACCTTTCATGCAACAAATTAAAAGGATTTACACCATTATACTACAAACATTCATCGTGCTCTTTAACTTGCCCAATAACTGAGAAGGCACACAATTACGACGACAATTCAGTTGAACGTACACTTCACATCACTTCAGTGGAAGTGTGCTAAATTAATCACCTTGGATATCTGTTTGCTGATACCTAGTAGATAATATTCATTATCTCTCTCAACCATATGGTGTAACAATCTGCCTAAGTTTCTTGTATCCACTAGTTTAGCCTTCCGAAAGTTTCTTCATCCAGTCGTGGCAACAAAGGATAATATATTAGCCTCAATAAAAATATCATCAATTATCAATTTTGACATACATATACAAAGTAAAACTGCTACAAGCATTAGATATTGATCAGTTTTTCATTCAGAAATCAGTGCAATATTCATTGAAAATGACCATTTTAGGAGTTAATTAGAATCCAGCATAATTTTTGTTTCTAAAATAGCCTTGTTGGGAGTATCATGTTGTTCTCTAAAGAAGTTTCATGAAATAGCTATTGTATCCAAGAGGTAGCTCCTTGAACAAGGAAGCCAATGTATTCAGATTCAACTTTGTCTCATTTCTGTAACTAAAATCAACAAAACATGTATCTCTGATGCCTAATAGTAACAAAGAGGAGTAATGAGTCAGTGTGTGTGTTTTTATGCCAATTCTAGGATTGTTTCCTTCTTCCAGCAGTTCCTGCAGCAGCCAAAATCAAGTATTTTTTATTAAAATATTCCAAATGCATCTGAAGTGAGTTCACTCAGGTTTCCTCAGCGGAAACCCCAAAATTATATAAATGACTGCCTCTTTTCACACCTTCCTGCCTCACAATCCGTCATCCTTGGGAAAATGATTGCTACACCAGGGGCCTCCTTAGTTCTCCTACAGTGTGTATGGGTTATTACAACAAGTTTTCTGTCTGTTCTTAGCAGTACGATGTGACATCTGTAAAATCGATACTTCCTCTCTTTCTCCTTCCACCCTTACTGAGAACAAGCTGGAGAATTAAAGCAAAACTATGCTGTTCCCCAGAGCCCCTTATGTCTTCAACTGCTCTCCATATATCTTCTTCCCAACTTCAATGTGGGGAACTGTATAATCTTACAGCCAAGGTCATGTTCCAGACCAGCAGCATCAGCATCACCCAAGAACTTACTACAAATGAAGAACCTCCAGCCTGCTGAATCAGGAAGTGCAGCTTCGACGAGCCCCCCGCTGATTTATTTGGGGAAGGGGACTTCTTATCTATCTGGACTGAACATGACATTAAATCTGTTTTCAAAATTACCTGTTCTAGATTTTTCTCCATCCTTTTTTTCTCTGGCTATATTCAAAACAGAATCTTCCTCGTCACTTGTAGCCTGAATGGAATTGGAAATGAAATAATAAATAAAATATGTTTCATAGACCATACATTAACTCGTTCACAATATAAATGAGAGTTTCATTACCTTCAAGGCTGGTGGTTTCTGAGAAGACACTGAAAAGCAAAAGGGATTCATAATCACTCATATGTAAATATGACAAAGATATCCATACATTCATGCAGAGTTAGCATCATACTCTGTCCTCCTGCGTGTATTAGCGCAGGCTTTGATGGCTTCTACTTTGTGTCTGGGGACTAGAACATGACAGAAATACACTGAGAAAAGGGAATACAGGCTCCATGAAATATGCCCTTGCAATTTCAAACATGGTACGATTTCTCATATGTCAAAAACTAAACTAAAACCGTGTCAATCTCAATGTGCATAGGCCGAGTGATGAGAACAAATGTGATCTAAAATCAGAGGAGCAACTCACACACCTGAGAATCAATGTCAAAGCAGGTGCTACATGATCCCATATTTCTTTCATGCAACAAATCAAAAGGATTTACACCATTATACTAAAAACATTCATCATGCTCTTTAAATTGCCAATAACTGAGAAGGCACACAATTGCAATGATACTTCAGTTAAACTTACACTTCACATCTCTTCAGTGGAAGAGTCCTGAATTGATCACATTGGACACCTGTTTGCTGATACCTAGTAGATAATATTCATTATCTCTCACACCCATGTGGTATAAAAATTTGCTTAAGTTTCTTGTATCCACTAGTTTAGCCTTCCAAAAGTTTCTTCATCCACTCATGGCACCAAAGGATAATATATTAGCCTCAATAAAAATATCATCAATTATCAATTTTGACATACTTCTACAAAGTAAACCTGCAGCAAGCGTTAGATATTGAGCAGTTTTTCATTCAGAAATCACTGCAATATTCATTGAAAATGACCATTTTAGGAGTTAATTAGAATTCAACATAATTTTTGTTTCTAAAACATGATACTTCTTGGGAGTATCATGTTAGTCTCTAAAGAAGTTTCATGAAATAGCTATTTCACCCAAGAGGTAGCTCCTGGAACAAGGAAGCCAATGTATTCATATTCAAGTTTATCTCATTTTTATAAGTAAAGTCAACAAAACATGTATCTCTGATGCCTAATAGTAACAAAGAGGAGTAATGAGTCATTGTGTTTTTATGCCAATTCAAGAAATGTTTCCTGCTTCCAGAAATTGCTGGAGCTGCCAAAATCAAATATTGTTTATGGAAATGTTCCAAATGCATCTGAAGTGAGTTCACTCAGGTTTCCTCAGCAGTAACCCCAAAATTATATAAATGACTTCCTCTTTTCCCACCTTCCTGCCTCACAATCCGTCTTCATTCGGAAAATAATTGCTACATCAGGGGTCTCCTCAGTTCTCCTTCTACAGTGTCTACGGCTTATTATGAACAGTTTTCTGTCTGTTTTTAGCACTATCATGTGACATCTGTAAAATCTGTACTTCCTCTCTTTCTCCTTACACCCTTAATGAAAAGATGCTCCAGAAATAAAGCAAAATTATGCTGTGCCCAAGAGCCCCTTATGTCTTCAACTGCTCTCCATATTTCTTCCTCCCAATTGCAATGTGGGGATGTGTATAATCTTACAGTGAAGATCATGTTCCAGACCAGCAGCATCAGCATAACCCAAGAACTTATTAGAAATGAAGAATCTCAGGCCTACTGAATCAGAATGTGCAGTTTCGACCAGCCCCCCACTGATTTATTCGGGGAAGAGAACTTCTTATCTGGACTGAACATGACATTAAATGTGTTTTGCAAAGTTACCTGTCCTAGATGTTTCTCCATCCTTTCTTTCTCTGGTTATATTTGAAAAAGAATCTTTCTCATCACTTGTAGCCTGAATGGAATTTGAAACAAAATAATAAATAAGGTATGTTTCATAGGCTTTACATTTACTAGCTCACAATATAAATGAGAGTTTTATTACCTTCAAGGCTGCTTTTTTCCGAGAAGACACTGAAAAGCAAAAGGGATACATAATCACTCACATGTAAATATGATAAAGTTATCCATACATTCACACGGTGTTAGCATCAACCTCTGTCCTCCTGCCTGTATTAGTGGAGGCTTTGATGGCTTCTACTTTGTCTCTGGGGACCAGAAGGTGACAGAAGTACACTGAAAAAAGGGAACACAGGCTCCATGAAATATACCCTTACAATTTCAAACATGGTATGATTTGTCATGTGTCGAAACCCAAAATAAAACCGTGTCAATATCAATGTGGATATGCTGAGTGATGAGGACAAATGTGATCTAAAAACAGAGGAGCAACTCATACACGTGAGAATCAATGTCAAAACAGGTGCTACATGATCCCACATGTCTTTCATGCAACAAATCAAAAGGATTTACACCATTATACTACAAACATTCATCATGCTCTTTAACTTGCCCAATAACTGAGAAGGCACACAATTACGATGACACTCCAGCTGAACGTACACTTAACATATCTTCAGTGGAAGTGTCCTGAATTGATCACCTTGGATATCTGTTTGCTGATACCTAGTAGATAATATTCATTATCTCTCACACCCATGTAGTGTAATAATTTGCCTAAGTTTCATGTATCCACTAGTTTAGGCTTCCGAAAGTTTCTTCATCCACTCTTGGCACCAAAGGATAATATATTAGCCTCAATAAAAATATCATCAATTATCAACTTTGACATGCTTCTACAAAGTGAAATGGCTACAAGCATTAGATATTAATCAGTTTTTCATTCAGAAATCACTGCAATATTCATTGAAAATGACCATTTTAGGAGTTAGTTAGAATTCAACATCATTCTTGTGTCTAAAATACTCTTGTTGGGAGTATCGTGTTATTCTCTAAAGAAGTTTCATTAAATAGCTATTTTATCCAAGAGGTAGCTCCTTGAACAAGGAAACAAATTTATTCATATTCAAGATTATCTCATTTTTATAACTAAAATCAACAAAACATGTATCTCTGATGCCTCCTAGTAACCAAGAGGAGTAATGAGTCAGTGTGGTGGTGTATTCCAATTATACCATTGTTTCCTGCTTCCAGTAGTTCCTGGAGCAGCCAAAATCAAATATTTGTTATGAAAATATTCCAAATGCATCTGAAGTGAGTTCACTCAGGTTTTCTCAGCAGAAACCCCAAAATTATATAAATGACTTCCTCTTTTCACACCTTCCTGCCTCACAATCTGTCTTCCTTAGGAAAATAGTTGCTACACCAGGGGTCTCCTTAGTTCTCCTAACAGTGTCTACGGGTTGTTACAACAAGCTTTCTGTCTTTTCTTGGCAGTACGATCTGAAGTGTGTAAATTCTATACTTCCTCTCTTTCTCCTTCCACCCTTACTGAAAACAAGCTGGAGAATTAAAGCAAAATTATGTTGTTCCCCAGAGCCCCTTATGCCTTGAACTGCTCTCCATATTTCTTCTTCCCAATTTCAATATGGGGAAGTGTATAATCTTACGGCGAAGATCATGTTCCAGACCAGCAGCATCATCATCACCCAAGAACTTATTTGAAATGAAGAATCTCAGGACTGCTGAATCAGAATGTGCAGCTTCAACGAGCCCCCCGCTGATTTATTCACGGAAGAGAATTTCTTATCTATCTGGACTGAACATGACATTAAATCTCTTTTCAAAATTACCTCTCCTAGTTTTTTCTCCATGCTTTTTTCCTCTGGCTATATTCAAAAGAGAATCTTTCTCATCTCTTGTAGCCTGAATGGAATTTGAAATGCAATAATAAATTAATAAAGTATGTTTCATAGACTATACATTTACTAGTTCACAACATAAATGACAGTTTCATTACCTTCAAGCCTGGTGGTTGCTCAGAAGACACTGAAAAGTAAAAGGGATTCATAATCACTCATATGTAAAAATGACAAAATTATCCACATATTCATGCAGTGTTAGCATCAACCTCTGTCCTCCTGCCTGTATTAGCGTAGGCTTTGATGGCTTCTACTTTGTGTCTGGGGACTAGAACATGACAGAAATACGCTGAGAAAAGGGAATACAGGCTCCACGAAATATAGTCTTAGAATTTCAAACATGGTATGATTTGTCATATGCCAAAAACTAAAATAAAACCATGTCAATATCAACGTGGATATGCCGAGTGATGAGGACAAAGTGATCTAAAATCAGAGGAGCAACACATACACCTGAGAATCAATGTCAAAGCAGGTGCTACATGATCCCACTTATCTTTCATGCAACAAATTAAAAGGATTTACACCATTATACTACAAACATTCATCGTGCTCTTTAACTTGCCCAATAACTGAGAAGGCACACAATTACGACGACAATTCAGTTGAATGTACACTTCACATCACTTCAGTGGAAGTGTGCTAAATTAATCACCTTGGATATCTGTTTGCTGATACCTAGTAGATAATATTCATTATCTCTCTCAACCATATGGTGTAACAATCTGCCTAAGTTTCTTGTATCCACTAGTTTAGCCTTCCGAAAGTTTCTTCATCCAGTCGTGGCAACAAAGGATAATATATTAGCCTCAATAAAAATATCATCAATTATCAATTTTGACATACATATACAAAGTAAAACTGCTACAAGCATTAGATATTGATCAGTTTTTCATTCAGAAATCAGTGCAATATTCATTGAAAATGACCATTTTAGGAGTTAATTAGAATCCAGCATAATTTTTGTTTCTAAAATAGCCTTGTTGGGAGTATCATGTTGTTCTCTAAAGAAGTTTCATGAAATAGCTATTGTATCCAAGAGGTAGCTCCTTGAACAAGGAAGCCAATGTATTCAGATTCAACTTTGTCTCATTTCTGTAACTAAAATCAACAAAACATGTATCTCTGATGCCTAATAGTAACAAAGAGGAGTAATGAGTCAGTGTGTTTTTATGCCAATTCTAGGATTGTTTCCTTCTTCCAGCAGTTCCTGCAGCAGCCAAAATCAAGTATTTTTTATTAAAATATTCCAAATGCATCTGAAGTGAGTTCACTCAGGTTTCCTCAGCGGAAACCCCAAAATTATATAAATGACTGCCTCTTTTCACACCTTCCTGCCTCACAATCCGTCATCCTTGGGAAAATGATTGCTACACCAGGGGCCTCCTTAGTTCTCCTACAGTGTGTACGGGTTATTACAACAAGTTTTCTGTCTGTTCTTAGCAGTACGATGTGACGTCTGTAAAATCGATACTTCCTCTCTTTCTCCTTCCACCCTTACTGAGAACAAGCTGGAGAATTAAAGCAAAACTATGCTGTTCCCCAGAGCCCCTTATGTCTTCAACTGCTCTCCATATATCTTCTTCCCAACTTCAATGTGGGGAACTGTATAATCTTACAGCCAAGGTCATGTTCCAGACCAGCAGCATCAGCATCACCCAACAACTTACTACAAATGAAGAATCTCCGGCCTGCTGAATCAGAAAGTGCAGCTTCGACGAGCCACCCGCTGCTTTATTTGGAGAAGAGAACTTCTTATCTATCTGGACAGAACACGACATTAAATCTGTTTTCAAAATTACCTGTCCTAGATTTTTCTCCATCCTTTTCTTCTCTGGCTATACTCAAAACAGAATCTTCCTCGTCACTTGTAGCCTGAATAGAATTTGAAACGAAATAATAAATAAATAAAGTATGTTTCATAGACCATACATTAACTCGTTCACAATATAAATGAGAGTTTCATTACCTTCAAGGCTGGTGGTTTCTGAGAAGACACTGAAAAGCAAAAGGGATTCATAATCACTCATATGTAAATATGACAAAGATATCCATACATTCATGCAGCGTTAGCATCAAACTCTGTCCTCCTGCCTGTATTAGCGCAGGCTTTGATGGCTTCTACTTTGTGTCTGGGGACTAGAACATGACAGAAGTACACTGAGAAAAGGGAATACAGGCTCCATGAAATATACCCTTACAATTTCAAACACGGTACGATTTCTCATATGTCTAAAACTAAAATAAAACCGTGTCAATCTCAACGTGCATAGGCCAAGTGATGAGAACAAATGTGATCTAAAATCAGAAGAGCAACTCAGACACCTGAGAATCAATGTCAAAGCAGGTGCCACATGATCCCACATGTCTTTCGTGCAACAAATCAAAAGGATTTACACCATTATACTACAAACATTCATCATGCTCTTTAACTTGCCCAATAACTGAGAAGGCACACAATTGCGACGATACTTCAGTTGAACTTACACTTCACATCTCTTCAGTGGAAGTGTCCTAAATTGATCACTTTGGATACCTGTTTGCTGATACCTAGTAGATAATAATCATTATCTCTCACACCCATGTGGTGTAATACTTTGCTTAAGTTTCTTTCATCCACTAGTTTAGCCTCCCAAACGTTTCTTCATCCACTCATGGCACCAAAGGATAATATATTAGCCTCAATAAAAATATCATCAATTATCAATTTTGACATATTTCTACAAAGTAAAATGCTACAAGCATTAGATATTAATAAGTTTTACATTCAGAAATCATTCCAGTATTCATTGAAAATGATCACTCTAGGACTTAATTAGAATGCAACATAATTTTTGTTTCTAAAATAGCCTTGTTAGGAGTATCATGTTATTTTCTAAAGAAGTTTCATTAAACAGCTATTTTATCCAAGAGGTGGCTCCTTGAACAAGGAAGCCAACGTAGTCATATTCAAGTTTATCTCATTTCTATAACTAAAATCAACAAAACATGTATCTCTGATGCCTAATAGTAACAAAGAGGAGTAATGAGTCATTGAGTTTTTATGCCAATTCAAACACTGTTTCCTGCTTCCAGCAGTTGCTGGAGCTGCCAAAAACAATTACTGTTTATGCAAATGTTCCAAATGCATCTGAAGTGAGTTCACTCAGGATTCCTCCGCAGTAACCCCAAAATTATATAAACGACTTCCTCTTTTCCCACCTTCCTGCCTCACAATCCGTCTTCATTCGGAAATTAATTGCTACATCAGGGGTCTCCTCAGTTCTCCTTCTACAGTGTCTATGGGTTATTATGAACAGCTTTCTGCCTGTTTTTAGCACTACGATGTGACGTCTGTAAAATCTGTACTTCCTATCTTTCTCCTTACACCCTTGATGAAAAGATGCTACAGAATTAAAGCAAAACTATGCTGTACCCCAGAGCCCCTTATGTCTTCAACTGCTCTCCATATTTCTTCCTCCCAATTGCAATGTGGGGATGTGTATAATCTTACAGTGAAGATCATGTTCCAGACCAGCAGCATCAGCATAACCCAAGAACTTATTAGAAATGAAGAATCTCAGGCCTGCTGAATCAGAATGTGCAGCTTCGACCAGCCCCCCACTGATTTATTCGGGGAAGAGAACTTCTTATCTGGACTGCACATGACATTAAATGTGTTTTGCAAAATTACCTGTCCTAGATGTTTCTCCATCCTTTTTTTCTCTGGTTATATTCGAAAAAGAATCTTTCTCATCACTTGTAGCCTGAATGGAATTTGAAACAAAATAATAAATAAGGTATGTTTCATAGGCTTTACGTTTACTAGCTCACAATATGAATGAGAGTTTCATTACCTTCAAGGCTGGTTTTTTCCGAGAAGACACTGAAAAGCAAAAGGGATACATAATCACTCACACGTAAATATGATAAAGTTATCCATACATTCGCACAGTGTTAGCATCAACCTCTGACCTCCTGCCTGTATTAGTGGAGGCTTTGATGGCTTCTATTTTGTGTCTGGGGACCAGAACGTGACAGAAACACACTGAAAAAAGGGAACACAGGCTCCATGAAATATACCCTTACAATTTCAAACATGGTATGATTTGTCACGTGTCGAAACCCAAAATAAAACCGTGTCAATATCAATGTGGATATGCTGAGTGATGAGGACAAATGTGATCTAAAATCAGAGGAGCAACTCATACACGTGAGAATCAATGTCAGAACAGGTGCTATATGATCCCATATGTCTTTCATGCAACAAATCAAAAGGATTTACACCATTAGGCTACAAACATTCATCATGCTCTTTAACTTGACCAATAACCGAGAAGGCACACAATTACGATGACACTTCAGTTGAATGTACACTTCACATCTCTTCAGTGGAAGTGTCCTGAATTGATCACCTTGGATATCTGTTTGCTGATACCTAGTAGATAATATTCATTATCTCTCACACCCATGTAGTGTAATAATTTGCCTAAGTTTCATGTATCCACTAGTTTAGGCTTCCGAAAGTTTCTTCATCCACTCTTGGCACCAAAGGATAATATATTAGCCTCAATAAAAATATCATCAATTATCAACTTTGACATGCTTCTACAAAGTGAAATGGCTACAAGCATTAGATATTAATCAGTTTTTCATTCAGAAATCACTGCAATATTCATTGAAAATGACCATTTTAGGAGTTAGTTAGAATTCAACATCATTCTTGTGTCTAAAATACTCTTGTTGGGAGTATCGTGTTATTCTCTAAAGAAGTTTCATTAAATAGCTATTTTATCCAAGAGGTAGCTCCTTGAACAAGGAAGCAAATTTATTCATATTCAAGATTATCTCATTTTTATAACTAAAATCAACAAAACATGTATCTCTGATGCCTCCTAGTAACCAAGAGGAGTAATGAGTCACTGTGGTGTATTCCAATTATACCATTGTTTCCTGCTTCCAGTAGTTCCTGGAGCAGCCAAAATCAAATATTTGTTATGAAAATATTCCAAATGCATCTGAAGTGAGTTCACTCAGGTTTCCTCAGCAGAAACCCCAAAATTATATAAATGACTTCCTCTTTTCACACCTTCCTGCCTCACAATCCGTCTTCCTTAGGAAAATAGTTGCTACACCAGGGGTCTCCTTAGTTCTCCTACAGTGTCTATGGGTTGTTACAAGCTTTCTGTCTTTTCTTGGCAGTATGATCTGAAGTGTGTAAATTCTATGCTTCCTCTCTTTCTCCTTCCACCCTTACTGAAAACAAGCTGGAGAATTAAAGCAAAATTATGTTGTTCCCCAGAGCCCCTTATGCCTTGAACTGCTCTCCATATTTCTTCTTCCCAGTTTCAATGTGGGGAAATGTATAATCTTACAGCGAAGATGATGTTCCAGACCAGCAGCATCAGCATCACCCAAGAACTTATTTGAAATGAAGAATCTCAGGACTGCTGTATCAGAATGTGCAGCTTCAACGAGCCCCCCGCTGATTTCTTCAGGGAAGAGAATTTCTTATCTATCTCGACTGATCATGACATTAAATCTCTTTTCAAAATTACCTCTCCTAGTTTTTTCTCCATCCTCTTTTCCTCTGGCTATATTCAAAACAGAATCTTCCTCGTCACTTGTAGCCTGAATGGAATTTGAAATGAAATAATAAGTTAATAAAGTATGTTTCATAGACTATGCATTTACTAGGTCACAATATAAATGACAGTTTCATTACCTTCAAGCCTGCTGGTTTCTCAGAAGTCACTGAAAAGTAAAAGGGATTCATAATCACTCATATGTAAAAATGACAAAATTATCCATACATTCATGCAGTGTTAGCATCAACCTCTGTCTTCCTGCCTGTATTAGCGTAGTCTTTGATGGCTTCTACTTTGTGTCTGGGGACTAGAACATGATAGAAATACGCTGAGAAACGGGAATACAGGCTCCATGAAATATAGTCTTAGAATTTCAAACATGGTATGATTTGTCATATGTCGAAAACTAAAATAAAACCGTGTCAATCTCAATGTGCATAGGCCGGGTGATGAGAACATATGTGATCTAAAATCAGAGGAGAAACTCACACACCTGAGAATCAATGTCAAAGCAGGTGCTACATGATCCCACATGTCTTTCACACAGGAAATCAAAAGGATTTACACCATTATACTACAAACATTCACCATGCTCTTTAACTTGCCCAAAAACTGAGAAGGCACACAATTCCGATGATACTTCAGTTGAACTTACACTTCACATCTCTTCAGTGGAAGTGTCCTAAATTGATCACTTTGGATACCTGTTTGCTGATACCTAGTACATAATATTCATTATCTCTCACACCCATGTGGTGTAATACTTTGCTTAAGTTTCTTTCATCCACTAGTTTAGCCTTCCAAACGTTTCTTCATCCACTCATGGCACCAAAGGATAATATATTAACCTCAATAAAAATATCATCCATTATCAATTTTGACATATTTCTACAAAGTAAAACTGCTACAAGCATTAGATATTAATAAGTTTTACATTCAGAAATCATTCCAGTATTCATTGAAAATGATCACTCTAGGACTTAATTAGAATGCAACATAATTTTTGTTTCTAAAATAGCCTTGTTAGGAGTATCATGTTATTTTCTAAAGAAGTTTCATTAAACAGCTATTTTATCCAAGAGGTAGCTCCTTGAACAAGTAAGCCAACCTATTCATATTTAAGTTTATCTCATTTCTATAACTAAAATCAACAAAACATGTATCTCTGATGCCTAATAGTAACAAAGAGGAGTAATGAGTCATTGTGTTTTTATGCCAATTCAAGCACTGTTTCCTGCTTCCAGAAATTGCTGGAGCTGCCAAAATCAAATATTGTTTATGGAAATGTTCCAAATGCATCTGAAGTGAGTTCACTCAGGTTTCCTCAGCAGTAACCCCAAAATTATATAAATGACTTCCTCTTTTCCCACCTTCCTGCCTCACAATCCATCTTCATTCGGAAAATAATTGCTACATCAGGGGTCTCCTCAGTTCTCCTTCTACAGTGTCTACCGGTTATTATGAACACTTTTCTGTCTGTTTTTAGCCCTATGATGTGACGTCTGTAAAATCTGTACTTCCTCCCTTTCTCCTTACACCCTTAATGAAAAGATGCTACAGAATTAAAGCAAAATTATGCTGTGCCCCAGAGCCCCTTATGTCTTCAACTGCTCTCCATATTTCTTCCTCCCAATTGCAATGTGGGGATGTGTATAATCTTACAGCGAAGATCATGTTCCAGACCAGCAGCAACAGCGTAACCCAAGAACTTATTAGAAATGAAGAATCTCAGGCCTGTTGAATCAGAATGTGCAGCTTCGACCAGCCCCCCACTGATTTATTCGGGGAAGAGAACTTCTTATCTGGACTGAACATGACATTAAATGTGTTTTGCAAAATTACCTGTCCTAGATATTTCTCCATCCTTTTTTTCTCTGGTTATATTCGAAAAAGAATCTTTCTCATCACTTGTAGCCTGAATGGAATTTGAAACAAAATAATAAATAAGGTATGTTTCATAGGCTATACGTTTACTAGCTCACAATATAAATGAGAGTTTCATTACCTTCAAGGCTGGTTTTTTCCGAGAAGACACTGAAAAGCAAAAGGGACACGTAATCACTCACTCGTAAATATGATAAAGTTATCCATACATTCACACAGTGTTAGCATCAACCTCTGAACTCCTGCCTGTATTAGTGGAGGCTTTGATGGCTTCTACTTTGTGTCTGGGGACTAGAACATGACAGAAATACACTGAAAAAAGGGAACACAGGCTCCATGAAATATACCCTTACAATTTCAAACATGGTATGATTTGTCATGTGTCGAAAACTAAAATAAAACCGTGTCAATATCAAGGTGGGTATGCTGAGTGATGAGGACAAATGTGATCTAAAATCAGAGGAGCAACTCATACACGTGAGAATCAACGTCAAAACAGGTGCTACGTGATCCCACATGTCTTTCATGCAAGAAACCAAAGGATTTACACCATTACACTACAAACATTCATCATGCTCTTTAACTTGCCCAATAACTGAGAAGGCACACAATTCCGATGACCCTTCAGTTGAATGTACACTCACATCTCTTCAGTGGAAGTGTCCTAAATTGATCACCTTGGATATCTGTTTGCTGATACCTAGTAGATAATATTCATTATCTCTCACACCCATGTGGTGTAATAATTTGCCTAAGTTTCTTGGATCCACTAGTTTAGCCTTCCTATAATTTCTTCATCTAGTCGTGGCACCAAAGGATAATATTTTAGACTCGATAAAAATATCATCAATTATCAATTTTGACATACGTATACAAAGTAAAACTGCTACAAGCGTTAGATATTGAGCAGTTTTTCATTCAGAAATCACTGCAATATTCATTGAAAATGACCATTTTAGGAGTTAATTAGAATCCAGCATTTTTGTTTCTAAAATAGCCTTGTTGGGAGTATCAGGTTGTTCTCTAAAGAAGTTTGATGAAATAGCTATTGTATCCAAGACGTAGCTCCTTGAACAAGGAAGCCAATGTATTCATATTCAAGTTTATCTCATTTTTATAAGTAAAGTCAACAAAACATGTATCTCTGATGCCTAATAGTAACAAAAAGAAGTAATGAGTCAGTGTGCTTTATCCCAATTCTAGCATTGTTTCCTGCTTCCAGTAGTTCCTGGAGCTGCCAAAATCAAATATTTTTTAAGCACATATTCCAAATGCATGTGAAGTGAGTCCACTCAGATTTCCTCAGCAGAAACCCCTAAATTATATAAATAACTTCTTTTCCCTCCTTCCTGTCTGACAATCCATCATCCTTTGGAAAATAATTGCTACATCAGGGGTCTCCTTAGTTCTCATTCTACAGTGTCTATGGATTATTACTATCAGTTTTCTGTCTTTTCTCAGCAGTACGATGTGACGTCTGTAAAATCTATACTTCCTCTCTTTCTCCTTCCACCCTTAGTGAAACCATGCTGTAGAATTAAAGCAAAACTATGCTGTTCCCCAGAGCCCCTTATGTCTTGAACCTCTCTCCATATTTCTTCTTCCCAATTTCAACGTGGGGAAGTGTATAATCATACTGCAAAGATCACGTTCCAAGCCAGCAGCATTAGCGCCACCCAAGAATTTATTACAAATGAAGACTCTCAGGACTGCTGGATCAGAATGTGCAGCTTTGGCGAGCACCCCCAACCGCCCTCCGCTGATTTATTCAGGGTAGAGAAGTTCTTTTCTATCTGGATTGAACGTGACATTAAATGTCTTTTGCAAAATTACCTGTCCCAGATTTTTCTCCGTCCTTTATTTCTGTGGCTATAATCGAAACAGAATCTTCCTCGTCAGTTGTAGCCTGAATGGAATTTGAAAGAAAATAATAAATAAATAAATCAATGAAGTATGTGTCATAGAATACAATGTAAATGAGAGTTTAATTACCTTCAAGGCTGGTTGTTTCTGAGAAGACACTGAAAAGCAAAAGGGATACATAATCACTCATGTGTAAATATGATAAAGTTATCCATACATTCACACAGTGTTAGCATCAAGCTGTATCCTTCTGCCTGTACTAGTGTAGGCTCTGATGTCTTCTACTTTGTGTCTTGGGACTGGAACATGACAGAAGTACACTGGTAAGAGGGAATACAGGCTCCATCAAATATATCCTTACAATTTCAAACACGGTATGATTCGTCATACGTCGAAAACTAAAATAAAACCGTGTCAATCTCAATGTGGATATGCCGAGTGATGAGGACAAACTGATCTAAAATCGGAGGAGCAACTCATACATGTGAGAATCAATGTCAAAGCAGGTGCTACATGATCCCACATGTCTTTCATGCAGGAAATCAAAAGGATTTACACCATTATACTACAAACATTCATCATGCTCTTTAACTTGCCCAATAACTGAGAAGGCACACAGTTACCATGACACTTCAGTTGAACATACACTTCACATCCCTTCAGTGGAAGTGTCCTAAATTGATCACCTTGGATATCTGTTTGCTGATACCTAGTAGATAATATTCATTATCTCTCACACCCATGTGGTGTAATAATTTGCCTAAGTTTCTTGGATCCACTAGTTTATCCCTCCAAAACTTTCTTCGTCAAGTCGTGGCACCAAAGGGTAATATATTAGCCTCAATAAAAATATCATCAATTATCAATTTTGACATACTTCTACAAAGTAAACCTGCAGCAAGCGTTAGATATTGAGCAGTTTTTCATTCAGAAATCACTGCAATATTCATTGAAAATGACCATTTTAGGAGTTAATTAGAATTCAACATAATTTTTGTTTCTAAAACATGATACTTCTTGGGAGTATCATGTTAGTCTCTAAAGAAGTTTCATGAAATAGCTATTTCACCCAAGAGGTAGCTCCTGGAACAAGGAAGCCAATGTATTCATATTCAAGTTTATCTCATTTTTATAAGTAAAGTCAACAAAACATGTATCTCTGATGCCTAATAGTAACAAAAAGGAGTAATGAGTCAGTGTGCTTTATCCCAATTCTAGCATTGTTTCCTGCTTCCAGTAGTTCCTGGAGCTGCCAAAATCAAATATTTTTTAAGCACATATTCCAAATGCAAGTGAAGTGAGTTCACTCAGATTTCCTCAGCAGAAACCCCTAAATTATATAAATAACTTCTTTTCCCTCCTTCCTGCCTGACAATCCATCATCCTTGGGAAAATAATTGCTACATCAGGGGTCTCCTTAGTTCTCCTTCTACAGTGTCTATAGGTTATTAATATCAGTTTTCTGTCTTTTCTTAGCAGTACGATGTGACGTCTGTAAAATCTGTACTTCCTCTCTTTCTCCTTCCACCCTTAGTGAAACCATGCTGTAGAATTAATGCAAAACTATGCTGTTCCCCAGAACCCCTTATGTCTTGAACTGCTCTCCCTATTTCTTCTTCCCAATTTCAATGTGGGAAAGTGTATAATCTTACTGCAAAGATCATGTTCCAGGCCAACAGCATTAGCGTCTCCCAAGAAATTTATTACAAATGAAAAATCTCAGGCCTGCTGAATCAGAATGTGCAGCTTCGGCGACTCCCCCCACCCACCCTCCGCTGATTTATTCGGGATAGAGAAGTTCTTTTTTATCTGGATTGAACATGACATTGAATGTGTTTTGCAAATTACCTGTCTCAGATTTTTCTCCATCCTTTATTTCTGTGGCTATATTCAAAACAGAATCTTCCTCGTCAGTTGTAGCCTGAATGGAATTTGAAAGAAAATAATAAATAAATAAATCAATGAAGTATGTGTCATAGACTACAATGTAAATGAGAGTTTAATTACCTTCAAGGCTGGTTGTTTCTGAGAAGACACTGAAAAGCAAAAGGGATACATAATCACTCATATATAAATATGATAAAGTTATCCATACATTCACACAGTGTTAGCATCAAGCTGTATCCTTCTGCCTGTACTAGTGTAGGCTCTGATGTCTTCTACTTTGTGTCTTGGGACTGGAACATGACAGAAATACACTGGTAAGAGGGAATACAGGCTCCATCAAATATATCCTTACAATTTCAAACATGGTATGATTCATCATACGTCAAAAACTAAAATAAAACCGTGTCAATATCAACGTGGATATGCCGAGTGATGAGGACAAACTGATCTAAAATCGGAGGAGCAACTCATACACGTGAGAATCAATGTCAAAGCAGGTGCTACATGATCCCACATGTCTTTCGTGCAACAAATCAAAAGAATTTACATCATTATACTACAAACATTCATCATGCTCTTTAACTTGCCCAATAACTGAGAAGGCACACAGTTACCATGGCACTTCAGTTGAATGTACACTTCACATCCCCTTCAGTGGAAGTGTCCTAAATTGATCACCTTGGATATCTGTTTGCTGATACCTAGTAGATAATATTCATTATCTCTCACACCCATGTGGTGTAATAATTTGCCTAAGTTTCTTGTATCCACTAGTTTATCCCTCTGAAACTTTCTTCATCATGTCATGGCACCAAAGGATAATATATTAGCCTCAATAAAAATATCATCAACTATCAATTTTGACATACTTCTACAAAGTAAAACTGCTACAAGCATTAGATATTGAGCAGTTTTTCATTCAGAAATCACTGCAATATTCATTGAAAATGACCATTTTAGGAGTTAATTAGAATTCAACATAATTTTTGTTTCTAAAACATGATACTTCTTGGGAGTATCATGTTAGTCTCTAAAGAAGTTTCATGAAATAGCTATTTTATCCAAGAGATAGCTCCTGGAACAAGGAAGCCAATGTATTCATATTCAAGTTTATCTCATTTTTATAAGTCAACAAAACATGTATCTCTGATGCCTAATAGTAACAAAAAGGAGTAATGAGTCAGTGTGCTTTATCCCAATTCTAGCATTGTTTCCTGCTTCCAGTAGTTCCTGGAGCTGCCAAAATCAAATATTTTTTAGGCACATATTCCAAATGCATGTGAAGTGAGTTCACTCAGATTTCCTCAGCAGAAACCCCTAAATTATATAAATAACTTCTTTTCCCTCCTTCCTGTCTGACAATCCATCTTCCTTGGGAAAATAATTGCTACATCAGGGATCTCCTTAGTTCTCATTCTACAGTGTCTATGGGTTATTACTATCAGTTTTCTGTCTTTTCTCAGCAGTACGATGTGATGTCTGTAAAATCTATACTTCCTCTCTTTCTCCTTCCACCCTTAGTGAAACCATGCTGTAGAATTAAAGCAAAACTATGCTGTTCCCCAGAGCCCCTTATGTCTTGAACCTCTCTCCATATTTCTTCTTCCCAATTTCAACGTGGGGAAGTGTATAATCATACTGCAAAGATCACGTTCCAAGCCAGCAGCATTAGCGTCACCCAAGAATTTATTACAAATGAAGACTCTCAGGCCTACTGAATCAGAATGTGCAGCTTCGGCGAGCCCCCCCACCTGCCCTCCACTGATTTATTCGGGGTAGAGAAGTTCTTTTCTATCTGGATTGAACATGACATTAAATGTCTTTTGCAAAATTACCTGTCCCAGATTTTTCTCCATCCTTTATTTCTGTGGCTATATTCGAAACAGAATCTTCCTCGTCAGTTGTAGCCTGAATGGAATTTGAAAGAAAATAATAAATAAATAAATAAATGAAGCATGTTTCATAGACTATAGATTCACTAGTTCACAATATAAATGAAAGTTTAATTACCTTCAAGGCTGGTTGTTTCTGAGAAGACACTGAAAAACAAAAGGGATAATCACTCATATGTAAATATGATACATTTTCCATACATTCATGCGGTGTTAGCATCAAGCTGTATCTGCCTGCCTGTATTAGTGTAGGCTTTGATGTTTTCTACTTTATGTCTTAAGCCAGGAGCATGACAGAAATATACTAAAGAAAACAGGAATTGATGTGTCACGATATATTCCTAACTATTTCAAACATAATATGATTTCTCGTATATCTAAAAGAAAAATAAATCAGTGTGAATATCAAAAAGGGTATGCCAAGTGATCACGACAAATGTGATCAAAAATCAGAGGGGAAACTCAATCACCTGGGAAAATCTCAAAGCAGGTGGCACATGCACCCACTTGTCTTTTATGCAAGATATCCAAATGATTTACACCATTATACTGCAAACATTCATCATGTTCATTAACTTGCCCAGTAACTGAGAAGGTACACATTTACAGTGACACTTCAGTTGAATGTACACCTCATGTCTCTGTCTCTTCAGTGAAGTGTCCTAAATTGCTCAGCTTGGATATATGTTTCCTGAATCCGAGTAAATAATATTCATTATTTCTCATATCCATGTGGTGCAACAATTTGCCTAAGTTTCCTGTATTCTCTAGTTTAGCCTTCCCAGACATTTCTTCATCCACTCATGGCAACAAAGTATGATATATAAACCTCAATAAAAAGCATCATCAATTATCAATTTTGACATACTTCTACTAAATAAAACTGCTAAAAGCATTGGATATTGATAAGCTTTTATATTTGGAAATCACTCCAATATTCATTGAAAATGACCATTTTAAGAGTCAGTTGATGAACTCAACATTATATTTGTTTTTAAAATTGTCTTGTTAGGAGGATCATACTATTCTCTAAATAATATTCATTAAATAGTTATTTTATCCGTGAGATAGCTCTTTGATGAAAGAAGCCAATGTATTGATATTCAAGTTTATCTAATTTTTATAACAAAAATCAACAAAAGATATATGTCTTATGCCTAATAGTAGCAAAGAGAAGTAATTAGTCAATGTGGTTTATCCCAATTCTAGCTTTCTTTGCTTCATCCAGTAGTTCCTGGAGCTGCCAAAATCAAATCTTTTTTGTGTAAATATGCTAAATGCATCTGAAGTGAGTTCACTCAGGTTTCCTCAGCAGAAACCCCAAAATTACATAAATAACTTCTTCTTTTCCCTCTTTCCTGCCTCACAATCCCTCTTCCTTGAGGAAAATCATTGCTACATCAGTGGTCTCATTAGTTCTCGTTCTACAATTTTTACTGGTTATTATGATCACTTTTCCATCTGTTTTTAGCAATACGATGTGACGTCTGTAAAATCTATACTTCAACTCATTCTCCTTCCACCCTTGGTGAAAACATGCTGTAGAATTAAAGCAAAATTATGCTGTACCCTGAGCCCCTTATGTCTTGATCTGCTCTCCAATGTTTCTTCTTCCCAATTTCAATGTGGGGAAGTCTATAATCTTACCGCGAAGATCATGTCCAAGACCAGCAGCATCAGCGTCACCCGAGAACTTATTACAAATGAAGAATCTCCGGCCTGCTGAATCAGAATGTGCAGCTTTGATGAGCCCCCCGCTGATTTATTCAGGGAAGAGAAGTTCTTTTCTATCTGGACTGAACATGACATTTAATGTGTTTTGCAAAATTACCTGTCCCACATTGTAGTCCATCCTTTATTTCTGTAGCTATATTCAAAGCAGAATCTGTCTTGTCACTTGTAGCCTGAAAGTAATTTGAAGCAAATTATCAATAAAGAAAGTATGTTTCATGGACTATACAGTTACTAATACAAAATATAAATGAGAGTTTAATTACCTTTGAGGGTGGTTGTTTCTGAGAAGACACTGAAAAGCAAAAGGGATACATAATCACTCATATGTAAATATGATAAAGTTATCTATACATTCATGAAGTGTTAGAATCAAGCTGTATGCTCCTGCCTGTATTAGTATAGGCTTTGATTTTTGTGTCTGGGGACTGGAACATGACAGAAATACACTGAAAAAAAAGAAATACAGGTTTCACAAAATAAACCCTTACAATGTCAATCATGGTATGATTTTTCATATGTCTAAAACTAAAATGAAACAGTGTTAGTATCAATGTGAATATGTCGAATGATGAGGACAAATGTGATCTAAAATCAGAGGAGCAACTCATACACCTGAGAATCAATGTCAAAGCAGGTGCTACATGATCCTCCATGTCTTTCATGCAAGCTATCAAAAGGATTTACACTAGTATACTACAAACATTCATCATGCTCTTTAACTTGCCTGATAACTGAGAAGGTACACAATTACAATGACACTTCAGTTGAATATACACTTCATGTCTCTTAAGTGGAAGGGACCTAAATTGATCAGCTTGGATATATGGTTGGTGAATCCTAGTAGATAGTATTCATTATTTATCATACACATGTGGTGGAATAATCTGCCTACATTTCTTGTATCCTCTAGTTTAGCCTTCAGTAATTTTCTTCATCCACTAATGGCAAGAAGGTATAATATATAAACCTCATCAAAAAGTACAATAAATTACACATATTTATACAAAATGCAATGGCTCCTGGCATTAGATATTAATAAACTTTTACGTTTGGATATCAGTCCAATATTCATTGAAAATAACCATTTTAGGATTCAATTAATACATTTAACATTATTTTTGTCTGCAAAATTAGTCTGCTCTGGAATATCATTGTATTATAAAGAATTTTCACTAAATAGCTATTTTAATGAAAAAGCCAGCACTTTGGAAAAAAGCTAATATAGTCGTATTAAATTTTAACTCATTTGAATAACTAATAAAAAATATATGTCTGATGTCTGATACTAATAAACAGGAATGAGGCACTGTGGTTTATCCCAACTCTAGCACTCCTTCCTGATTCCGGTAGTCATCGGAGCAGTCAGAAATCAAATCTTCTGGTATGCAAACATTCTAAATGCATCTGAAGTGAGTTCACTCAGGTTTCCTCAGCAGAAACCCCAAAATTACCTAAATAACTTCTTCCTTCCCCTCTTTCTTGCCTTGCAATCCCTCTTTCTTGATGAAAATAATTACTACATCAGTGGTCACTTTGTTTCTCATTCTCCAGTGTTTACAGGTTATTATAACAATTTCCTCCCTCTGGTTTTAGCAGTACCATCTGACATCTATAATTTCTGTTACTTCTTCTCTTTCTCCTTCCCCTCTCCATAGAAACATGCTCTGAAATAAGAGCAAAATTATGCTGTCCTCCGATCCTCTTATGTCTTGAACTGTTTTCCAATGGTTCTTCCATCCAAATTCAATGTAGGGAACTCTACAAGCTTGTTACTAAGATCATGGCCAAGGACCAGCAGCATCAGCACCACCTGACAACTTACTAGAAATGCACAATCTCAGGCCTGCTTAATCAGAAAGTGCATTTTCAATGACACTCCACTGATCTATTCAGGGGTGGGACGTTCTCTTCTGTCTTGAGTGCACATGACATTAAATGTGTATTGCCAAATTACCTGTTCCAGATTTCCCACCGCCCGTTATTCTTGTGGCAATATTCAAAAGAGAAACTTTCTTTTTAAATATAACCTGAATGGAAAGAGAAACAAAATAGTCAATACATAATATATATTTCATAGGCTATGTAATAAATAATTCAAAATATAAATGAAAGAGTAACTACCTTCCAGGCTGATTGTTTCTGAGGAGACACTGAAAAGTAAAAGAAATATATAATTCATCATATGTAAATATGATAAAGTCGTCCACACATTCATGCAGTGTTAGCATCAAGCTGTATCCTCCCACCTGCACTAGTGTAGGATTTGATGTTTTACAGTTTGTGTCTTTGGGACAGGAACATGAGGAAATATGCGAAGAAAATAGGAATACACGCTTCCAGAAAATATACAGTCAGAAATTACAAAGAGGTATTATGTGTCATGTGTGTATTACTGAAATAAAAAGTGTCAATATCAATGTGGATATGCCGAATGATGAAAAGAAATGTGATCTAAAATCAGAGGAGCAACTCATACACCCAGGAATCAATATCAAAGAAGGTACTAAATGCTACTGCATGTTTTTCATGCAAGACATCAGAGGGATTTATACCATTATACTGCAAGTATTCATCATGCTCTTTAACTTGCCTGGTAATTGAGCAGGTACACAATGACAATGACACTTTAGTAGAATGTACACTTCACAAGTCCTCGGTGGAAGTGGCCCAGCTTCAACAGCTTGGATATAGGTTGGGATAATCCTGTATATAATATTCTTTATTTCTCAAACCCATGTGGTGTAATAATGTGCCTACATTTGTTGTGTCCTCTAGTTTACGCTACAGAAAGGTTCTTCGTCCACTCATGGCAACAAATATAATATATAAACCTTATCAAAAAGTATAATAAATGATCAAATTTGACATACTTATACAAAATAAAGTTGCTACAAGCATTAGATATGAATAACCTTTTACATTTGGAAATCCCTCCAATATTCATTGAAAATGAGAATTTTAAAAGTCAATTAATGAATTCACCATTATTTTTCTTTCTAAAATAGTCTGGCATAAAATATCATGTTATTCTCTAAAGCATTTTCATTAAATTGCTATTTTTATCCAAAAGTTAGCTAATTGAAAAGCAAAGCCAATATATGCATATTCATGTTTATGTCATTTGAATAACTAATATCAACAAAATGTATATCTCTGATGCCCAACAGTAACAAAGAGGAGTAATGAGTCACTGTGGTTGATCCCAGTTCTAGTACTCCTTCCTGCTTCCACTGTTTCCTAAAGCAGCCAAAATCAAAGCTTCTTTTACAAAAATGTTTGAATATACAACTGAACTCAGGTTTCCTCAGAAGAAACCCCAAAATTACATAAATAACTTCTTATTTTCCCTCCTTCCTGCCTGACAATCCTCTTCCTTGAGGAAAGTCATTGCTACATCAGTGGTCTCCTTAGCTCTCGTTCTACAGTGTTTATGGGCTATTACCATAATTTCTCCATCTGTTTTTAGCAATACGATGTGATGTCTGTAAAATCTATACTTCATCTCTTTCTCCATCCACCCTTGGTGAAAACATGCTGTAGAATTAATGCAAAATTATGCTGTCCCCTGACTCCTTTTGTCTTTAATGGCTCTCCAACGTTTATTCTTCCCAATTTCAATGTGGGGAAGTCTATAATCTTACTGCAAAGATCATGTCAAAGACCAGCAGCATCAGTGTCACCTGAGAACTGAAGAATCTCAGGCCTGCTGAATCAGAATGTGCAGCTTCAATGAATCCCCCGCTGATTTATTCCAGGGAAGAGAAGTACTTTTCTATCTTGACTGAACATGACATTAAATGTGTTTTGCAAAATTACCTGTCCCAGATTGTTGTCCCTCCTTTATTTCTGTGGCTATATTTGAAACAGAATCTTTCTCATCACTTGTAGCCTGAATGGGATTTGAAACAAAATAATCAATACGTAAAGTAGGTTTCATAGACTATACAGTTAATAGTTCAACATATAAATGAGTCTTTAATTACCTTCTCAGCTGGTTGTTTCTGAGAAGACACTGAAAAGCAAAAGGGATACATAATCACTCACATGTACATATGATAAATTTATCCATACATTCATGAAGTGTTAGCATCAAACTATATCTTCCTGCCTGTACTAGTGTAGGCTTTGATGTTTTCTACTTTTTGTCTGGAGACTGGAACACGACAGAAATACACTGAAAAAAAAGGAATACAGCCTTCACAAAATATACCCTTACAATTTCAAACATGGTATGATTCGTGATATGTCTAAAACTAAAATAAAACCGTGTCAATATCAATGTGGATATGCCGAGTGATGAGGACAAATCAGAGGAGTAACTCACACACCTGAGAATCAATGTCAAAGCAGGTGGTACATTATCCCACATGTCTTTCTTGCAAGAAATCAAAAGGATTTACACCATTATACTACAAACGTTCATCATGCCCTTTAACTTGCCCAATAACTAGAAGATACACAATTACGATGACAATTCAGTTAAATGTACACTTCACGTCTCTTCAGTGGAAGTGTCCTAAATTGATCACCTTGGATATATGTTTCCTGAAATCTAGTAGATAATATTATTTCTCACACCCATGTGGTGTAATAATTTGCCTAAGTTTCTTGTATCCACTAGTTTAGCCTTCTGAAAGTTTCTTCATCCACTCTTGGCAACAAACGATAATATATTAGCCTCAATAAAAATATCAATTACCAATGTTAACATACTTCTACAAAGTAAAACTGCTACAAGCATTAGATATTAATAAGTTTTACATTCAGAAATCACTCCAATATTCATTGAAAATCACCACTGTAGGAGTTAATTAGAATTCAACATCATTTTTGTTTCTAAAATAGCCTTGTTGGAAGTATCATGTTAGTCTCTAAGGAAGTTTCATTAAATAGCTATTTTATCCAAGAGTTAGCTCCTTGAACAAGGAAGCCAATGTATTCATATGCAAGTTCATCTCATTTTTATAAGTAAAGTCCAGAAAACATGTATCTCTGATGCCTAATAGTAACAAAGAGGAGTAATGAGTCACTGTGGTTTATCCCGATTCTAGCACTCTTTCCTGCTTCCAGTAGTTCTTGGAGCAGCCAAAATCAAATCTTCTTTTATGCAAATATTCTAAATGCATCTGAAATGAGTTCACTCAGGTTTCCTCAGCAGAAACTCCAAAATTACATAAATACCTTCTTTTTCCTCCTTCCTGCCTCACAATCCCTCCTTCTTGAGGAAAATAATTGCTACATCAGTGGTCTTCTTAGCTCTCATTCTACAGTGTTTATGGAGTTATTAGGATCACTTTTCCCTCTGTTTATAACAATATGATATGATGCCTATAATATCTATTACTTCATCTCGTTCTCTTTCCCCTCTTGGTGGAAACATGCTGTAAAATTAAAGCAAAATTATGCTGCTCCCTGAGCCTGGTATGTGTTGAACTTCTCTCCAATGGTTCTTCTTCCCAATTTCAATGTAGGGAAGTCTACAATCTTACTACTCAGATCATGACCAAGGACCAGCAGCATCAGGGTCACCTGAGAACTCACTACAAATGAAGAATCTCAGGCATACTGAATCAGAACATGCAGCTTAGACGAACTCCCCACTGATTTATTTGGGGAAGGGAAGTTCTCTTCCATCTTGATTGAACATGACATTAGAAGTGTTTTGCAAAATTACCTGTCCCAGATATTGGTCCCTCCTTTATTTCTGTGGCTATATTTGAAACAGAATCTTTGTCGTCACTTGTAGCCTGAATGGGATTTGAAACAAAATAATCAATATGTAAAGTAGGTTTCATAGACTATACAGTTAATAGTTCAACATATAAATGAGACTTTAATTACCTTCTCAGCTGGTTGTTTCTGAGAAGACACTGAAAAGCAAAAGGGATACATAATCAATCATATGTAAATATGATAATGTTATCCATACATTAATGCATGGATAGCATGTTAGCATCAAGTTTTGTACTCCTGCCTGTATTACTGTAGGCTTTGATATTTTATACTTTGTTTCTTGGGACTAAACATGAAGGAAATACACTGAAGAAAATAGGAATACAGGCTTCAAGAAATATACACTGACAATTTCAAATGTGATATGACTTTCTCCATATGTCTAAAACTAAGATAAAACCATGTCAATATCAATGTGGATATGCTGAGTGATGAGGACAAATGTGATCTAAAATCAGAGTCCAACTCATACACCTGGGAATCAACGTCAAAGCAGGTGATACATGCACCCGCATGTCTTTCATGCAAGATATCAGTATGATTTGGAACATTTTACTGCAAACATTCATCATGCTCTTTAACTTGATTGATCAGTGAGAAGGTACACAATTATAATGACACTTTAGTTGAAATCTCTTCAGTGGAAGTGTCCTAACTTAATCAGCTTGGATATATGTTTGGTGAATTCTAGTATGTAATATTCATTATTTTTCACACCCATATGGTGTAATAATGTGCCTATATCTCTTGTATCTTCTAGTTTAGCCTTCCAAAAGTTCCTTCATCCACTCATTGCAACAAGGTATAATATATAAACTTCATCAAAAAGTGTAATAAATTAGCAAATTTGACATACTTATACAAAATAAAGTTTCTACAAGCATTAGATATGAATAAGCTTTTACATCTGGAAATCACTCCAATATTCCTTGAAAATAACCATTTGGGATTCAAGTAATGAATTCAACATTATTTTCACTTCTAAAATAGTCTGGTTAAAGTATCATGTTATTCTCTAGAGAATTTTTATTAAGTTGCTATTTTATCCAATAGCTCCTTGAAAAACAAAGCCAATGTATGCATATTCATGTTTATCTCATTTGAATAACCAATGTCAACAAAACATATACCTCTGGTGCCCAATGGTAACAAAGAGGAGCAATGAGTCACTGTGGTTTATCCCAATTCTATCACTCTTTCCTGCTTCCAGTAGTTCCTGGAGCAGCCAAAAATCAAATCATCCCTTATGCAAATATTCTAAATGCATCTGAAGTGAGTTCACTTAATCTAAGAGTTATAATTTAAAAAATCATTTTATTTATACTCATGAAGACTCCTGATGTTTCTACATTTCCTGGATTCAGCAGTTCAACTTTCTCACTGTCTCTTCGTCCACTTTTGCAAAAACATACACATCAATGAAATAATGTGTAATCAGATTCCTATGAAAATAAACTAAACAAAGTTTCTAAATCACTAGAGACTTCTTTTCTTATAAATAACCAACCAATATGACATAATACATATATATACATATGTCATGATTGTCATGATTATTGGCAGTTATCTGTTTAGTACTCTTAAAATACATTCTTTGATTCCTTTTTTTTAAAATCTAGTTTCACATGATATACCATCGGGGTCTCTCAGGTTGTTTTACAAAATAACTACCTCAGCAAACACAGCTTTCCAAAAAAAAAACAAAAAACAAAAATCTGATGTGAACGAAGCATGTATCATTGATGTGCAAAACTTCTAGGGAGAAGAAATGAGACCCTGTGGGTTACCCTCATCCTTCTAACTTCTGCTTCTGCTTTCCATTAAGGGACTTGCCACAAGTCGCCTCATCAGAAACCTCCAAATTACCTCACTAGCTGCTTTCTTTGTTTACACCTGCCCAATTTGACATACATTCTTTTTTGTTCATAAATCTAATATCCATATTGGTGGACTTGATTCTTTGACCTCCACATTAGTTTCTTCATTATTTTCACCACCACTGTATTGTGACATCTGTACAATCCCATTCTGACACATGTGAAGATAAGGTTTTGCTTTATTAAAATGTTAAATATGTCAGACACTTGACTAACATGTACAAATTCCTTCTTCACAAAAGCAGCCCCATTGCCTCCTCTCTCCCATAGACACTCTTTCACAGCTGTTCTTCACTCACATCGGTTTGAGTATCTATCATCTCTCATTTTGTCTCTATGCTTTCACCTCATATTATGAGTTATTATCATAGGCTCAGCAGCCTATCCTACCTGTTTTCCTCTCCAGCAGACAGTACTGAGCAATAAACTAGAATTTTCCAGGATATGAACACTTTTATGTACACAACACTTTGTGGAGCTATTTTATGTTTAACTACCCATAACACCACTATGTCTATGCTTTCCAGAGAAACAAGCTCTGAAATTTTATTGAATATAACCTATTTAGAAACTTCTTTAACTACAATGACAGTCTCTCCTTGATGCACCAAAATCTTCAGAAATAACTTGTGAAGACTTGAAAACATGTCAGTAATTGACATGAAAAATGAAGCACTGACATAATTTTTTGCAGGTATAAAAAAGACAAGCTGAGATCCTTACTAGATCCAAGAAGAGCAAAGTACATTAGACAGGAAATAAATATGGAACAGAAACATTTTCATTTGTAATTAAAATTCCTCTATTTACAGTTTTCAGAAGAGAAAAAAATACACACACATACACACACACACACACACATTCACACACAAAAACCAGAGCAATATGGCTTTACGGGGTGTTTCTTCATCAAAGTCCTATTTGCCATTTGACATCTGGGAACACTCTATAGGGATCAACAAAGGGGTTCTAAATTGTGACCTGAGTAGATTAGAGTTTAACATTCATGAAGGGGAGCCAAGAGGACAAGTAACACTTTGACCATTGGCCATTTCCACTCCTTACTGTTAGTCTCTGAAAAGCACACACTGGATTTTCTCAGAGTCAGGACATGTCAAAAAGACATGCTTTAAGGGGGAAACAGTTGCAATCAACACAGCCATGGGAGAGATACAGCTATGCTTGCTAGGATTTCCAATACTTCTGTTTCATTTCTAATATAGTATAAATCAATAAAAGCAACCACGTAAGCATATCCATGTTGGTATGTCATCATATTTAAGTCCATATGGTATCAGCATGAAGAGAGCATAATATGCTGTAGTCATCACATGGCATATCATGAGATCATACAATAAATCAAGAAATACCTCACTGGGTCAATGTGGATAGATCTGAAATATATATCACTGATTTTACAAAGACCAAGTTGCATTCATTAAGTGCACTGCCTGAACTTTTCTACAAGTTTTTAATACACAAAATCAAGTCCTACATGTTATCTATGAATGTGCACATATGTTGTAAGAGGTTTTTAATGTGCATTTGGGTGATTTCTTTTTTTTTAAATTAATTCAAGCTCTTGGTTACATGTCAGCAGTAAGCTTCAGTATTATAGAAAACCCAAAACCGTAACAGCTCAGAATCACCGTCTTAAAAGGCTGTGTCTACCAAAGAGTCAGGAAAGCATGACCACTTACTTTCTTCATTTTTGAAACTCAGAGGTACCTCATGCACACTCCCAAATAAAACCGCACAAGTTCCTTAGTTTAATTAGATCCCATTTGTCAATTTTGGCTTTTGTTGCCATTGCTTTTGGTGTTTTAGTCATGAAGTCTTTGCCCATGCCAATGTCCTGAATGGTATTGCCTAGATTTTCTTCTAGGGTTATTATGGTTTTAGGTCTTACTTAAACGTTTAAGTCTTTAATTTATCTTGAGTTAATTTTTGTATAAGGTGTAAGGAAGGGGTCCAGTGTCAGTTTCCTGCATAAGGCTAGCCAGTTTTCCCAACACCATTTATTAAATAGGTAATCTTTTCCCCACTGATTGCTTTTTGTCAGGTTTGTCAAAGATCATATGGTTGTAGATGTATGGTGTTACTTCTGAGGCCTCTGTTCTGTTCCATTGTTCTATATCGCTGTTTTGGTAGCTGTACCATGCTGTTTTCATTACTATAGCCTTGTAGTGTAGTTTGAAGTCAGGTAGCGTGATGCCTCCAGCTCTGTTCTTTTTGCTTACAATTGTCTCGGCTATATGGGCCCTTTTTTGTTCCATATGAAATTTCCAGTAGTTTTTTCTAATTCTGTGAAGAAAGTCAATGGTAGTCTATAGCATTGAACCTATAAATTACTTTGGGCAGTATGGCCATTTTCATGATATTGATTCTTCCTAACCATGAGCATGGAATGTTCTTCCATTTGTTTGTGTCCTCTCTTATATCCTTGAGCAGTGGTTTGTAGTGTTCCTTGAAGAGGTCTTTCTCATCCCTTGTGAGTTGTATTCCTAGGTATTTTATTCTCTTTGTAGCAATTGTGAATGGGCGTTCACTCATGATGATTTTGCTGTTTGTCTTTTATCGGTGTATAGGAATGCTTGTGATTTTTGCACACTGATTTTGTATCCTGAGACTTTGCTGATGTTGCTTATCAGCTGAAGGAGATTTGGGACTGAGACAATTTGGTTTCCTAAAAATACAATCATGTTATCTGCAGAGACAATTTGACTTCCTTTCTTCCTATTTGAATACCCTTTATTTTTTCCTCTTGTCTGATTGCCCTGGCCAGAACTTCCAATACTATGATCAGAGTGAACAGGCAACCTACAGAACAGGAGAAAATGTTCGCAATCTCTCCATCTGACAAAAGGCTAATATCCAGAATCTAAAAGGAACTTAAACAAATTTATGAGAAAAGAACAAACAACCTCATCAAAAAGTGGGTGAAGGATATGCTCAAAAGAAGACATTTATTCAGCCAGTAAACATATGAAAAAAAGGCTCATGATCACTGATCATTAGAGAAATGCAAATCAAAACCACAATGAGATACCATCTCATGCCAGTTAGAATGGTGATCATTAAAACCTCAGGAAACAACAGATGCTGGAGAGGATGTGGAGAAATAGGAACGCTTTTATATTGTTGGTGGGAGTGTCAATTATTTCAACCACTGTGGAAGACAGTGTGGTGATTCCTCAAGGATGTAGAACCAGAAATACCATTTGACTTAGCAATCCCATTACTGAATACATACCCCAAAGATTAAAAATCATTCTACTATAAAGACACATGCACATCTATGTCTATTGCAGCACTACTCACAATAGCAAAGACTTGGAACCAGCCCGAATGCCCATCAGTGATAGACTGGATAAAGAAAATGTGGCATATACACATCATGGAATACTATGCAGCCATTAAAAAAGGATGAGTTCATGTCCTTTGCAAAGACACGGATGAAGCCTGAAACCATTATTCTCAGCAAACTAACACAGGAAAAGAAAACCAAATGCCACATTTTCTCACTCATAAGTGGGAGTTGAACAATAAGAACACATGGACACAGGGAGGGGAACATCACACACCAGGGCCTGTCAGGGAGATGGGGTCCTAGGGGAGGGACAGTATTAGTAGAAATACCCAATGTAGCTGATGGGTTGATGGGTACAGTAAACCACCATGGCACATGTATGCCTATGTAAAAAACCTGCATGTTCTTCACATGTATCCCAGAACTTAAGGTATAATACAAAGCAAACAAACCAACATTAATTCAGGTTGTTGGTTACCTGTAGGCAATGAATTGTAGTAGTATCAAAGACTCTAAGGCTAAAACAGCTCAGAATCATTGCTTTAAAACCCTGTATCTACCAAAGAGTCACCAAAAAATGATTAATGACTTTACTCATTTTCCAGAATCAGAGGTATCACACACACCCAAACTCACAAACAAAAGCACACACACACATACACATGCAGAAATTCAAGCTGGTAATCAGAGCATGTGATTGGGTGAAGACTCGAAGGTTCTCAGCGTGACAACACCGACATAAAGAAGATGAAGTTCTAACACAATTGTAATGTCAGCTGGTATAGCTTTTCTCTAGGTAAAGGACAGTATTGCAACCAGAAATTGAAGCACTGAAAAATATTTATAGTTTCAAAATTCATCTCCTTGAACCCCTAACATGCATACAAATTCCACACTGGGATCTTTATTACAACCTAAAAGGAAAAGCATCTGAGCTAGAGCTCACATTTTTAAAATTTCTTTTCCTTGTTCTTCTAAATATCATTTTATAAGCATAGACACTAACAGCATCAGCATCATTTAGATCAAATCCTTCTATCTTACTGGGGTAAAAGAAGTAAGAATCAGAAGGCTATGAACATTTCCAGTATATTCATGTCCTTCTTTCCAGATGAAATTTGTATTGGCAAATTTACCTTTTCCTGGAGGTGGTGAATCCTTCCTTCTCATGGCTGCTTTTGAACTGGGATCTGCCTCTTTCAGAGTAAGCTGAATGGGTTTTACAACATAATGATTAATATATCATGTATATATCACAAAGCATTTTGTTAATTAAAAATGAAAATATATTTGTTTACCGTGGATAAAGGAGGTCGCTCAGAAGATTCTACAAAGCAAAAGGGACACATAATTAAGTTTTCATAAAACATGTAGTCCAGATTTCAAGAGAGAGATTAGGTTTCCCATGACTACAACTAACACAGGAAAGTACTTCTACCAATGTGATCCTCTTAACTGAAGCCAAAAAATGTGATGTCAAAAGAAAGGACCAAATAGGACCCCAGAAGGATAAATGTCAAAGCCCATGGTAGAACGCTATGGTGTACCCTGAAGAAAATCACCCAAGAACCATTTATACTATAATACTACAATAGTTCTCCTGTTCTTCATTTTGTCCTCTAACTTAAAAACTATCAATTTCATTAAAATCTATCATTCACTTCTGCTTGCAGGATGTATTCTCAGTTCATTAGTTCAGATATCTACATACAGAAGCATAGTTAACAAAAATACTCATGTTGTCCACAGTCATGCACGCTTCTGGTGTTTTTCCATTTCCTGGATTCTCAACTTTAGCCCTCCTGCCATCTCTTCATTCACTTATGCAAAAAACGTATACATTACACTCCAAATACCTAATGTGTAATTAGATTCCCATAAAACAAATCTAACCAAAATATTTGAAACATCAGAGGCTTTTTTCATGTTAATCACCTTTTATATATCAAAATATTTGCCATGATTATCGACAGTTACATTTTAACAAACCCGCACATTGTGCACATGTACCCTAAAACTTAAAGTATAATAATAATAAAATAAATAAATAAATAAATAATACTCAAGAAATATATTTCTTGATTGTTTTGCTTCCACAGTCAGTTTGACATGCAGTGCATCACATTTTGCTAACATGAAGCACCTGTCCTATTGTTGCTGTGTGACCCCTACAGAGAAAAGAATTGAGTCCCTGTGGTTTACTCTCATTCTTCCACCTCTGCTTCCATTAATCTCTGAAGCAACAATAATCCAATATTCTGTTCGAGTGCGAATATACCAGGTCCACATAAAGTCAGTGTTCTCAGGTTTCCTCATCAGAAACCCCCAAACACCTAGCCAGCTGCTATCTTTATTTACACCATCCCACCCCACTTGTACTCTTTTTTGTTGATAAATCTAATCTCACTATCTGGTCTTCATTCTTTGCCTTCCACATTTTGTTCTTCATTATTCTCACCACCCCTGTGATCAAACCAGTAAAATCTCATTTTTATAAATATGAAGATATGGTTTTCCTTTATTAGAATATAAAAGTTACAGAAAATGGACTAACTTGTACAAATTCCTTCTTCACAACAGCAGCCCCATGTCCTCCTCTCTCCCATAGACACAGTTTCATAGTTTCTATTCACTCACATCAGTTTCATCGAGTATCAACTCTCATTTTATCTTTACGGCTTTATTTTACACTGAGGGTTATTATCAAAGACTCAGCAAACTATGTTACATATTTTCTTCTACACAAGAGATTACTGAGCAGTAAATAAGAATTTCTTTGGATATAAACACTTTTATGTACACAAACTTTTTGTGAAGCTAATTTATGGTTAAATACACATTACACCATTATGTGTTATGTGTTCCAGATAAACAGACTCTAAAATTTTATTAAACATGTTTAATTTTAAAACTTCTGCAATTACAATGACATAGTCTCTGCTCAATGCAGCAACATCTTCAGAAATCACTTGTGAAGACTTGGGAAAATGTCAGTCATTTACGTGAAAAATGAGAGCATTAAGTGACAACACTGCTTGCTGGTATAAACAAGACAAGGCTAGATCCTTACCAGATTCAAAGAGATCAGAGTGCCATGGACAAAAACAAATATATAAAACAGAAAGATTTTCATTTCTACCAAAAATTCGTGTATTTAAAGTTTTCAGAAAAGCACAAAATACAGGAAAACACAGCGGTGAGGCATTATAGAGCATTTCTTCATCTGGAGACTATCATTTGACATCTGGAAACCCTTTATAGGGCCCAACAAAGGGGTCCTAAACTGTGATTTGATCATTCCTGGAGTTCAACATCTATGTAAGGAAGCCAAGGTACCAAATGATACTTTGGCCATTTCTTCTTTCCAATGTCATTCTCTGAAAAGCATACACTGGAGTTTTTCAGAGTCATAACATGATGGAAAAACATGGCTCTAAGGGGTAATGAATGTACTCAATACAGCTATGGCAGTGTATACAGCTATACTATGGGTATCTGAAATACTTCTATTTAATTTCTTTATAGTACAAATCAATAAAGGCAACCACATAAGCAAATCTATGTTGGTATGTCATCATATTTATGTTCATTTTGTATCAGCATGAAGAGACTTTAATTAATTGTGGTGCAGTCATAAAACAAATCAAATATGTGGTGCAGTCATAAAACAAAACAAAGATGACCAAACTGTGTCAACCTGGACAGATCTGAAATATATTCCACTGATTACAAAAGCCGAGTTGCAGCTATTATGTACATTGTGTGAAAGCGTACAGAAGACTTGATACTTGGAAACAGATTCCACATATTACCTATGAAAGTGCAAGTATCTTGTAAAGTATTTTTAATGTGCATTGCAGTGACTTAAAAGTAAAAAACATTAATTCAGGCTGTTGGTTACCTGTAGACAATAAATAGTAGTAGAAGAAAATATTCTAAGGCCAAAACAGCTCAGAATCATTGTTTTAAAACACTGTATCTACCAAAGAGTTACAAAAGAATGATTAATCATTTTATTCATTTTTAATCAGAGATACACACACACATACACATGCAGAAACTCAATCCGGTAATCAGAAGATGTGATTAAGATTCTCAATGTAACAACACTGACATAAAGTCGTTGAAGTTCTAAAACAATTGTAATGTCAGCAGGTATAGCTTTTCTCTAGATGAAGAAGAGAGTATTGCAATCAATTTTGAAGCACTGAAAATATTTAGTGTCAAAATACACCTACTCAAATCCCTAACATGCAAAGGAATTCAACACTGGGATCTTTAAATGATGACAACTTTAAAGGAAAAGCATTTGGGCTAGAGCTCACAGTGTAAAATGTCCGCCTTATGCCTTAAAAATCATTTTATAAACAAAGATATTAACAAGAACATCAGCATATTTACATCAAATCCTTCCATCTCATTTGGATAAAAAGTGGGAATCAAAAAACTACGAGCATTTTCAATATTTTCATCTACATTTTCTAGAATGAAATTTGTAGTGGCAAATTTACCTTCACTGGAAGTTAGTGAATCCATACTTCCTAAGAATCTAGTTGAAATGTGATCACTGTCTTTCACCGTATGCTGAATGGGTTTGACAACATAATGATTAACATATCATGTATATATCACAGAGCATTTTGTTAATAATTAAAGAAAATATGTTTACCGTGAATAAAGGCGGTTGCTCAGGAGACACTACAAAGCAAAAGGAACACATAATTGACTACAGGTAAATATGACACAGCCTACCATCAATCATGCAGTGTTTGTATCCAGCTGAAATCTTCGTGCTTGCCCTTGAAATTGTTACCCATTAGGCTTTGGGTTGTTTTGCTCTTGTTTTGGTTAGCACACAAACATGACAGGAATATACACATGAAAAATCACAATATAGATTCTATAAAACATGCAGTCCAGATTGCAAGGGTGAGATTAGGTTTCACATGACTACAAGTAACATAGAAAAGTATTTCTACCAATGTGAATCTGCTGGATGAAGCCAAAAAAGATGACGTCAAATGAGAGAACCAAAGCGGACCCCAGAAGAATAAATGTTAGAAACTATGAAGTTGCAATGAGAGTGCATGAAAATGTATCATTCGCGGCCGGGCGCGGTGGCTCACGCCTATAATCCCAGCACTTTGGGAGGCCGAGGCGGGCAGATCACGAAGTCAGGAGATCGAGACCATCCTGGCTAACACGGTGAAACCCCGTCTCTACTAAAAATGCATAAAATTAGCCGGGCGTGGTGGCAGGAGCCTGTAGTCCCAGCTACTCAGGAGGCTGAGGCAGGAGAATGGCGTGAATCCGGGAGGTGGAGTTCGCAGTGAGCCGAGATCCCGCCACTGCACTCAAGCCTGGGTGACAGAGCGAGACTCCGTCTCAAAAAGAAAAGAAAAGAAAAGAAAATGTATCATTCGCTTCTGCTGGCAGGAAGTGCTCTCAATCATTAGTTTAGATATCTACTTGGAGAAAAATCGTTTCTAAAAATACTCATGTCATCCACAGTCATGAAGGCTTCTGATATTTTCAGCTTCTGGATTCTCAACTTTAGTTCTCTTGCCATCTTTTCATTCACTTATGCAAAAAAAAAGTATGCATTACACATCAAATAACTAATGAGTACTCAGATTTTCATTTACAAAATGTAACCAAAAATCTCTGAATCACCATTGACTTTTTTTTCATAACAATCAACTTTCTTTTTTTTATTTTTGACATGGAGTCTTGCTCTGTTGCCTAGGCTGGAGTGCATTGGCACAATCTCGGCTCACAGCAACCTCCGCCGCCCGGGTTCAAGTGATTCTCCTGCCTCAGGCTCCCTAGTAGCTGGGACTACAGGCACATACATGCCATCACGCCTGGCTAACTTTTTGTATTTTTAGTAGAGATGGGGTTTCACCATGTTAGCCAGGATGGTCTCCATCTCCTGACCTCGTGATCCTCCCGCCTCAGCCTCCCAAAGTGCTGGGATTACAGCCGTGAGCCACCGCGCCCGGCTTAATCAACTTTTACCTATCAAAATATTTGCCATGATTATTGACAGTTACACTTTTAGTACTCAAGAAATAAATTTCTCGTTTGTTTTTTTCTAAAGTCAGTTTGATATGCTATAGCATAGCAGCCTCTGAGGTACATTTATACAATGGCTATTTCATCAAAAACAGCACTGTTTTTAAAGAAAACTGCCAATGTTTTGATATCCAAGTGCATCCCAGTTCACTAACAAACATGAATGAAGCGCATATCATTGATGTGTAACCCCTATAGAGAGAAGAAATGAGTTCCTGTGGTTTCCTGTCGTTTTTCTACCCTCTGCTTCCAGTAAGCTCCAAAGCAGCAATAATTTAATCTTCTCTTTGAGTGGGAATATACTGAGTCTACATAAAGTGAGTTCCCTCAAGTTTCCTCATCAGAAACCTCCAAATTACCTAGCCAGCTGCTTTCTTAATTTACACCATCCCACCTCACATTTTTTTGTAAATATACTAATGTCCATTTCTCAACAATGAACATTATATTTTGATCTACAAGTTTAAGTGTTCACCAAAGTTTTAAGAAAAAGTATGTTTAAATTAAATTATATTTACTATTAAAAATTAATAAATTATATTTATAATTTAATTAAAATTAGGCTTATAATTTAATGTAATTTAACAATTAATTTAATTTTAAATTTATTTTAAATTATAGTTATATTTATTTTCAAAAATTATATTAAAGCATAGAAAATTATTCAGCTATATTCACTACCTCACCACCTTTGTTTCTTTGTACACAAAAAATAACATTATCATTATTTGATTGCTCTCATGGAGCACTTTTTATAATACCAATACCATTTGCTTTTTGTCCAGTTGCTGGTAGTGCTTTTCCTTCCTATTAAAAAAAAAAAAAAGAAATCTTCAGAAAATGTTATATTTACTACTCAATCGGTCAGTAATTCAAGAAACATTTTCTGTGTCTATAAATTCATAAGGTCTATACTGGAAAATCTGATAATATGAATAAAATACCAATTTTATTTATTTATCAAGTGAAAAAAGAAACATAAAAACAAACAAAAGCAGAAAGACACAATTCATTATTTCTACAATTCAAGTCAATAAAATACAGTGACAGCACAAAGGCAATAACACTTATTTCTACTTGGGAAGCTTCTGAGACACTGTAAATTTAGGGTCCTATTTTTAAAATAGACAAGTGAAGACTAAGAATGTGAAGTGTTTCTAGTGAGGGCAGCATGTGCAAAAAAATGAAACAGCATAGCCAATAAGAACTACCACAATAACGTGGTAAAACTTGGGCACAGACAGAGAAAGTGGAGTGGAGAGATAAAATGGGAGAAACAGGCCAAACCACAAAATAAGTGTTATGCTAGAATGTAAATGTTTCTTTCGTGTAATGAGGGTCCAGCCGTAAGCAGATGAGTTAGATCAAAGTAAACATGTTTAAGAAAGGTCACCCTGAAAGACATATATAGATAGATAAACATGGGGAGAAGAGAGAAACAAAAACGAACATTCCAAAAGTATAGGGCAGACAGTGTATTACAGTAATAAGATACGAGAAATGGTTAAAGGTAGAAAATACAAAATTTGGTGAGTCACTGGATTGGCAATGTGAGGGAAACCTGGAGTGCAGTTTTTCTGCTTCAATGTTTCATTGCTACTTTCTTGGTGTTATTTACTAAAATTGGGACGCCAGATGACAGAGTAGATTACAAAGAGTCAGGAAAGAATCTGGAAGGCAGTTTGAGACCTGTCAAATTTGAGGCACAAAGGGGACTTAGAAGACTGATCTGGGTAAATACATTTGGAGTAGAAATAGATGACCTTACTCAAAAAAACCATATGTTGTTGAGAAGGTCAACATTTGTAAAATATACTAAACTGGTAGGATTCGATAATTTAAACCTATGAAGAACCCTGAAGTTTTGAAAATAAAAAGAAAACAAAATATGGGATTCAAAATTTCAATTATATATTTCTATACTGGATTAAAAGATATAAAATATATTTTCTTAATGTATGCAGATATTTATTTCTGGAATATTATGGTCATCTGCATTTTTGAACTTAATGAAAACAGTTATCTAAACCAATAATTCAAGGTATCCTAAGAAAGCTCATTTTTAAAAAATCATCTTAAAAGTTTTTAACTTGTACGAATGTTTATTCTATTATAGAATTATAAGGCATTTTAAGTACTACTAAAATATAAGAGAGAAATGTAAAACCTATTTTAAAGTTCATATGGTTTTCTGATTCTCCTGTAAATGATATACTAATAGCTCTAATTGCCTACTTATGCCATAAAGATAATAGTTAAAAATCAGAGAAAGGATCAAGTAAAATAATCATATCACCATGCAAGCTGAAGATTTACATGTCTTCAAATACACTATGCCTGTCAGTCAGGACCCAATACTCACATGAAGAGAGAAGAAATTTATTTGAAACATCAAGTCAAAAGGATTCCTGAGTTTTAGAGCTGAATAAATTTATGTGCAAGGTATAACAACTATAAATACTAAAGTTAATAATGCTTCCAGAGAATAATACAAAATGTCCCAACTGTAGGAGATAGTTTTAAAAGTAAAAAGTAATATTCCAGAGATAATTCTGTGTACTCTGTTGGCAATATTTCTTTCCTTACGATTCTATAAAAATAGGTACTTTGTTTAGAAAACAATCATGAGTGTTGACTGCATTCATCACATGTATGTTCTTAAGTACAGATATTATCAGCACAAGGTAAGTCAGACTAGCTCCAGAAATAAGTAATAATTTATTTCTTTAAGAGGGTTCCAGGTTAAAAATATATTTTTTCTCATTCAATGAATATAAATTAGAAACCTCCTATAAAATTAACCAGAAATGGCTAGGCGTGGTGGCTCACGCCTGTAATCCCAGCACTTTGGGAGGCCGAGGCGGGCAGATCACGAGGTCAGGAGATCGAGACCATCCTGGCTAACACAGTGAAACCCCGTCTCTACTAAAAATATAAAAAAAATTAGCCGGGCGTGATGGCGGGCGCCTATAGTCCCAGCTACTCGCGAGGCTGAGGCAGGAGAATGGCGTGAACCCGGGAGGTGGAGCTTGCAGTGAGCCGAGATCGCCCACTGCCCTCCAGCCTGGGAGACAGAGCGAGACTCCGTCTCAAAAAAAAAAAAATTAACCAGAAATTTTAATTTTTATTAATTTATGTATAAATTAATTTTTATTATTTTTTATTATTTAATTATTTATTTTCCCTCTTATTATCAAAAAAGGCTAAAACAGCTCCAAGATTATGGAAAAGTGAAATAAATTAGTTAAGCAACTTAGGAATATACCAAATATTACTTTAAAAAACTTTTAACAAGAGTCAAAAAGTAATGATTCATTCAAAATCTGATATAGCCTAAAACACATTTTATTTTGCATTATCTATGAACACAGCATTCACTAGATAAAATATAAGACATCACTTTACTGAAATTTTAAAAAGTGAGGATGAAATTTTCTTTCCATTTAGAATTTTTAAATTAATAAATAGATGTATATATTTTCAGTGTACGTGTGATGATTTGATCCATCTATATAATCTAATGAGGGTAACAGAGATACACATTACCTTAACTATGTATGTTTTATTTAAACTAGAAATATTCAAGTTATTCTCTCCTGGCTATTTTTAAATGTAAAACAGAATGTTAAATATAGTCACCCATAAATTTTCTTCCAATACTTTATTAAAATCACCCGTAAGTCACTCAGAAGAATCTGAGAATTTTTTAATTACTTGGCTTTCTTTTCTTAATCTATATTTAAAATAATTCTATAATATGATATGGAGACATTCTACTGTCATTTAAATTCACCGCTTTTGAGGTGTTTTATACTAATCTTTGTCATCTTGACACTCTTATTCAACTCTGTATTCTTACTTCTTTCCCCTCCTCACCTTTGTATTTGTGGAGCTGTTCTTTCAGGTTGCTTTCTACTTCTTTCCTTCCCTAATGGCAAACCTAAGAATCATTTACTCCCACAACCTTTTAGGAATCCTAGTCCCATGCATATATTTCCCTTGTTGTCACACTTCTTTTCTATTATTACCTTGAGAACTTCCATTCCTTTATAGGATCCTTGTCATCGTTATAAAGACAGGGAGATGGCAAGTGAATAAAGCATGGGAAAACTATTTTCCAAATAAAACAATTTACCATTGTAAAATTAAAGATCATTAACAGATAAGAGTGAGTTGGTGAACAGGACTGGACTCTGATTATTCTATGTTGGCTTTTAACCACATCTTCATTTACCTTATCAACATTTTGGTCTTCAAACAAGGTTCCATTTTCTGTTTTGTCAATGCCACATGCAGCATCTACTACAGTAAAAACAAAGTCAAGAGTAGATGAAATGCATGTAATTAAGAATCAGTAAATAAGAACCGGGTGTGGGGGCTCACAGCTTTAATCCCAGCAGTTTGGGGGGCCGATGCAGGCAGATCATATGAGGTCAGGTGTTCAAGACCAGCCTGGCCAACATGGTGAAACTCCATCTCTACCAAAAATACAAAAATAGCCAGGTGTGGTGGTGCACACCTGTAATCCCAGCTACTCGGGAGGCTGAGGCAGGAGAATCACTTGAACCCAGGAGGTGGAAGTTGCAGTGACCCAAGATCATGCCACTGCACTCCAGCCTGGGCAACATTGAGTAACACTCTGTCTACAAAAAATAAGAAAGAAAAAGAAAGAAAAAAAAGAATCAGTAGATAATATAATAGTCAGGTTTCAAATAGCTTACACTTTTCTGCAGATTGTTGAGAAATAGTCCTTCTGTTTGTAAAGTATGGTTCTGAAATATTCTAGAAGAAAGACACAATAGGTTTAAGAATAACATGCAGCAAGTTAAAATAATGATAATTGCCACCATTACTACATGATCTAACACAAAAAGGATGGACTTTGAAGTCACTCATATGTAGATTCAAACCTCAAGTCTGCCATTTACTTATCTACATATTCACATGGGATGATGATTATGATTGGTGATACAGATATTCTCAAAATGTTACTCCTTTCAACCCCAGTTGATTATTATACAAATACTATGATATCCATTAGTTTCTTTTATTAACCACAACAAACTGGGACAAAAATTTACTCATCTGTAATTTAGAGTATGACTGAACAAAACTAATAATAAAAAGTCAATTAATCACTTTATTTTTCAAAATACTTAGGCATGATATATATTTGTGTGAATTACTTTCTGCGGGAAAAAATGTGAGAATGTAGTTTTTAGTAGTACTATCTTTAAACAGTGTAAGTTGCTTCTATTCTGTGTGTCAAAAGCTAAAAACAAATTATTGTATAACCTCCGCTCCTTCCAAAAAAGACAGAACAAAGCAACCATCCACCTTATGGAGCAATGATTCATGAATGAAGGCCACACATAGTTACTAAATAGAAAGCTGTAACTAAGTATCCTGACAACAGAAACAGAGGTGAAATGAAAGAATAGACACTAAAGACATGCGGTCTGCAAGGAAAATATTAGACTGAGGTAAGTTATTTTTAAACAAAGGGGAAGGAGGGAGAAACAAACAAAAAAAGAGACATGACCAGTCAATCAAATATCAGCTTAAAAGAAAAGCTTGTGTTCATAATATATGCCTAATAATACTGGTTAGCATTTACTCGACAATTTGTTTTGTGTAAATACTTATGTAATAAAAAGTTTAATTTGTTTACTATAAAATAACACATCCCAAGAATTAACCATGATCATTCACCTGAAAGCTGAAACATTCTTACTACAAACAGAGAGAGAGAGACAGAGAGAGGAAAAAAAAAAAAAAAAAAAAAACAATAAAATTCCAGCAACTTAACACCTGGAGAAAGAATTTTTATTCAGAATTCGAAAGAGTAATGTATGTCCTTGAACAGACACTTCTCAAAAGAAGACATTTATGCAGCCAAAAAACACATGAAAAAATGCTCACCATCACTGGCCATCAGAGAAATGCAAATCAAAACCACAATGAGATACCATCTCACACCAGTTAGAATGGCAATCATTAAAAAGTCAGGAAACAACAGGTGCTGGAGAGGATGTGGAGAAATAGGAACACTTTTACACTGTTGGTGGGACTGTAAACTAGTTCAACCATTGTGGAAGTCAGTGTGGCGATTCCTCAGGGATCTAGAACTGGAAATACCATTTGACCCAGCCATCCCATTACTGGGTATATACCCAAAGGACTATAAATCATGCTGCTATAAAGACACATGCACACGTATGTTTATTGCAGCATTATTCACAATAGCAAAGACTTGGAACCAACCCAAATGTCCAACAATGATAGACTGGATTAAGAAAATGTGGCACATATACACCATGGAATACTATGCAGCCACAAAAAATGATGAGTTCATGTCCTTTGTAGGGACATGGGTGAAATTGGAAATCATCATTCTCAGTAAACTATCGCAAGAACAAAAAACCAAACACCGCATATTCTCACTCATAGGTGGGAATTGAACAATGAGATCACATGGATACAGGAAGGGGAATATCACACTCTGGGGACTGTTGTGGGGTGGGGGTAGGGGGGAGGGATAGCATTGGGAGATATACCTAATGCTAGATGATGGCACATGTATACATATGTTACTAACCTGCACAATGTGCACATGTACCCTAAAACTTAAAGTATAATAATATAAAAAAATAAAAAAATAAAAAAAGAGTAATGTATGTCCTGAAAAATATGTATTTAATAGAACATGGTTGGGGCTTTAAAAATTTAAGAAAATTTAATCTAAAATCCTAATCTAAGCTTCCATTTGGAAGATATTAGAAAACACGCTGTATCCACCTTTCCTATTTCCTTTCCATCTTTTCCAATTTTCATTTTCTTCTATAACATATTTTCTCAGGATAACTCACCTCAACTTATAGATTCTCAACATTAGAACAAAAGATAAATTCAGAACATTCAAGACATTTAATAGATTTAATTATTAGATATCTCAGGCATATTATGTTACCTGTAACATTCCATTTAAAAAAAGCCCATTTCCCTGTTTGTTGATTCACATTAAAAACTAATAAAATGTTTCTTACATGCAAGACATTATTCTGGGTGCTTAAGATACATACAAATAGATTTTCTAGCTTCAAGTGGCTCATAGTAATGCAGGAGTTTTACAATTATTTTTTCAATAACTAAGCACAAAAGCCTCTGAAATTTGAAACTTAGAATGAGATACAAAGACCCTGAGTGGATTATTTTTTAATTACAATGCAAAAACCTTGTGAAATTAAAGTCTGATCATAGAAATATGAAGAGTCTCTGCTTATCAAACAGGTTGTTATTTTAAACAAAATGCATATTCTTCAATTAGATAAAGAGTTTAAAGTATACTCAATAAAAAAGACTTGGAAAACACAGTGTAAGCCCTCTCTACTATAGATGTGAGAACAGAATTTAAATTTCTAATATTCCACAATTTTTTAAATTAGAGATAAGCTCTTGCTGTATTGCCAAGCTTGGTCTTAAACTCCTGGGATTAAGAAATTCTCCTGGCTTGAACTCTTGAATAGGTGGGACTACAGGCACATGATACCATGTCTAGTTAAATTTCCACAATTTGTAATATTATTTTAGCCTAAATATATAGAACCAAGAATAAAAATAAAGAAGTAGCTCTCTGCAAAAATACTGTATGATGTTAAAATAGGTGTACAAGAAATGAAAAGAAACTATATGCTATGTGTAACAGGGTGATTCCATGATTCCCATAATAAGTCATCTGATGTAACAAAGATTCATTTAAACAGAGGTATTATTAGTCATACTCATATGATATACAACTCAGAGTAAAAACACTTACTCAGATAAGCCTAGACCAAAATTTGTATCTCCTCTGTTGTGGGAAAGCGTTCCAGAACCACATTTTTCTGTCACTATGTATTTTCCAGCAATTTTTTTTTCAGATCACACCTCTCAAAGTATTTATCAACTATTTCTTATTTGCAAAGTAAAAAAAAATTAAAATTAACCCCCCCTATTTCTTTAAAATGGTTATCTCTAATAAAAGTTTTAATACTAACATAAAACAATGATAGGTAGACAATTGCTAAGTTTTAGAAGAAAATAATATAAAAAATGAGATTCGGAGTGAGAAAATTAATTTCACAAGAGAGTACTCTACCTCAGATTCCAAAGCAAACTTATCCTTTGTCACAGCCTGTGCAAAACGGTCCAGTAGGTAGAGACACCTACAGAGCAAAAAGATATGAAAAAAATGAGCACGTTCATTTCTTAAAAGAAAACAAAAACCGTCAGTCTATACATGCAGGTCCCCTCCAAAACAAATGGTAAAACAAAGTCTGAGGAAGGTCAGTTATCCTTATATTAAATAATATTTCTTGGTATAATTAAGATATGGCTTCCATTTTAGAAAACATTTCAGTTACCTATTTCTGCTGCCACTTCTCCCAACCTATGAAATATCCAATGCAGACTCACCCTTAAACCCATAACAATTAGTGACAGGCATTATAATGGCACAGCCAGACAATAATTTATCCTTATAAATTATCTACCCTAAAGACTAAACTGAAAATCCAATTGATATCTGTCACAACTTTTGTTACTGAACTGCAGTAAACCTGATAACCTAAAACAAGGTAGAAAAGGCACGGTCTCTTCTCCATTATCTATTTCTGATTCAAAGACTAATCTGTGTCACTGGAAAATGGGAGTCTTAGATCTTCAGCATGTAAGCTACTTAAAGAGGGCCCACTGATTCTCTTCACCCTAGAACACTACAGGGAACCCCCTGAAAAACTGCAAATGTTTGAAAGCTGAGTGTACAAAAGTCAAAGTACAAATGTACTTTGGGAATATTCTTCACAGAAGATTAAAACATTAAAAATTATAAAATCCAATTATTGTCATTATATAGATCCTGCCTTATTCAGGTCCACAAAAACCAGCAAGCTTAAGAACCTTCATAGACACTCAGATACCCAAGAGAGGGACTAGTGGAAAAGTCTCCCTCCTGAGTACTTAGAGCTTCATTTCATTCATCACTATCTAAATATCTTCCTTCCTATGGGCTCCCCCTTCTGGATCCCTCTTCAGCAGGGATCCATGGCAATCCCCAATCTACATCTTCAAATTTGGCTGTCCCCTGCAAATTCCATTCTTATCCACTTTCATTGGGTTCAACAGCTCATTCAATTCTCATCCTCTTCCACTGTGTTCACTAGAGCCACTCCTTCTTTCTAAAACTAAAATCACTCAATGACAGAATGATGTAAAAGAAGACTGCGTTTTGAACTAAGAAACCTGAGTGCAATTCTCATTTCTCTGATTTACTGTATCCAAATAATTTTCTTTCTTTGAATTTCAGGTTCTCCACCTGAACAACCACTTGATCAGGATGTTAAGCAAGGATTCAAGTATAGAAGATATTTTGTTTAGTCTCTAGGATTTCTTAACATTCCAAAATTCTATGCACCTCTGATTTTGTCTATAGGAAAATGGGGACTATTTAGCTGCCTTAAATGAAAACTATAATAGAAGATCATAAACCCTTAGAAAAGCAGAAGAGAAAGTAAAAAGAAATCAAGAAAATATTATTAAAATGTCACAGAAGGAAAAAAGAAGAATCCAGAAAATAAGAAAAAGCTTCAGCAAACTAGGCAGGGTACTCACTTAAAGAGAAAACCTAACTGGTTAGGCAGTAAGTGGAGAAATGAATTAGAAATATCCTTTTAATATATGCTAAATATAGTTAACATAACATGGACTATATTTAGATATTCTCCAAGCACAGTAAAATAATATTTTTCTAGGACTGGCCTGGTCTTGCTTATGAAAAACTTAGGGTCCTGTGGCCACAGATAACTGATAACTGCCTTTAAAATTTGATGGTTAAAAAAAAAAGTAATATGGTTACCACTGCCATTTCAAAATATTTGGACAAACTTTTGGAGTAGCCAGGCTTCTAAATAACACTCTAAAGACAGTTAATATATAACAAAATGTGACTTTCTGAATTGATCTGATGTAAATAAGTACCGTGGCCCCATTGCTGCATAGGCCTCTATCCATCTATGCTTAGGGGCAAATGAAGTGATTTGAGAGCCAGGCAGGATGATGGTCTAATGTTGGGTTGGCTACCTGTTAACTGTGGAATCATGAGCCAATATTTCAACCTCTTTAAAGCAGAGTTGCCTAATTAGTAAAAAAGCAATAATAGCACAAATAGTTTCTAAAGTTGTGTGAAGATGACATGACATGACAAATGTTAAGCATGTAATATGGTGTCTAGCACAGAGTAGAACACTAAACAGATACTAGTTTCTCTTCTCGCTATTCACTTAGTTAACATATCACTTTAAAAAATCTCTGAAATCATACCTGTCAACAGCCTCTTCAACAGGAGGAAGCACTATTAAAGAAAAAGTAAAATGCATTTTAAATCAACAATAGAACACTATAGAATACTAAAAACATAAAAAAGCACAGTGGCTTGTTCCTATAATCCCAGCTACTCAGAAGGCTGAGGCAGAAGTATCACTTGAGAAGCCAAGGAGTTTGAGACCAGCCTGGGTAACATAGCAAGACTCTATCCTTATAAAAATAATAATAATAATCAACAAGGCCTGGTGTGGTGGGTCATGCCTGTAATCCTAGCAGTTTGGGAGGCCTAGGCGGGGGAATCACTTGAGGTCAAAAGTTTGAGACCAGCCTGGACAACATGGTGAAACTCCAAATCTACTAAAAATGCAAAAATTAGCCAGGTGTGGTGGTGCACGCCTGTAATCCCAGCTACTCGGGAGGCTGAGGCAGGAGAATCACTTGAACCCAGGAGATGGAAACTGCAGTGAGCCAAGATCACAGCACTGCACTCCAGCCTGTGCTGCAGACTAGTAAGACTGTGTTTCACAAAGAAAAAAAAAAAAAAAACAAATGAAGAATCAGTAAATACTACAATAGGCAGGCTTCAAATAACTTACCATCTTCTATAGATCGTGGAGAAATAATCTTTCTCTTTGGGATGTATAGTTTTGAAATAATCTAGAAGAAAAACACAATAGGTTTAAGAATAACATGGAGCAAGTTAAAATAAGGATAATACCCACCATTACTACGTGATCTAACAGGAAAAGTATGGACATTGAAATCACTCATATGTAGATTCAAACCTCAAGTCTGCCATTTACTAATCTACAGATTCACATGGGGTGATGGTTATGATTGGTGATACAGATATCTTCAAAATGTTATTCCTTTCAACCCATGTTGATTATTATACAAATACTATGATATCCATTAGTTTCTTTTATTAACCACAACAAACTAGGACAAAAATGTACTCATATGTAATTTAGAGTATTACTGAATAAAACTAATAATAAAAAAAGTAAATTAATCACATTATTTTTCAAAATAGGTATGCATGATGATGTATGTTTGTGCGAATTACTTTCTGTGGGAAAAAATGTGAGAATGTAGTTTTTAGTAGTACTATATTTAAATGGGTTGGCATCAGAAACAGTACAAGTTGCTTCTATTCAGCGTGTCAAAAGCTAAAAACAAATTATAGTATAACTTCAGCTCCTTCCAAAAAAGACAGAAAAAAGCAACCATCCACCTTATGGAGCAATGATTCATGAATGAAGGCCACACATAGCTACTAAATAGAAAGCTGTAACTAAGTATCCTGACAATAGAAACAGAAGTGAAATGAAAGAATAGACACTAAAGACATGTGGTCTGCAAGGAGAAAGTTAGACTGAGGTAAATCATTTTTAAACAAAGGGAAAGGAGGGAGCAACAAACAAAAAAAGAGACATGACCAGTCAATCAAATATGCGCTTAAAAGAAAAGCTTGTGTTCATAATATATGCCTAATAATACTGGTTAGCATTTACTCGACAATTTGTTTTGTGTAAATACTTATGTAACAAAGAGTTTCATTTGTTTACTATAAAATAACACATCCCAAGAGTTAACCATGATGATTGATCTGAAAACTGACACATTCTTACTACAGAGAGAGAGAGAGGGAAAGAAAAAAAAAAACAATAAAATTCCAGCAACTTAACACCTGGAGAAAGAATTTTTATTCAGAATTTGAAAGAGTAATGTATGTCCCAAAAAAAAGGTATTTAATAGAACATGATTGGGGCTTTAAAAATTTAAGAAAATTTAATCTAAAATCCTAAACTAAGCTTCCAGTTGGAAGATATTAGAAAACAGGCTGTATCCACCTCTCCTATTTCCTTTTCATCTTTTCTAAATTTTATTTTCTTCTATATGACATATTTTCTCAACATAACTCACCTCAACTTATACATTCTCAACATTAGAAAAAAAGATAAATTCAAAACATTCAAGACATTTAATAGATTTAATTATTAGATATGTCATGCATATTAGGTTACCTGTAACATTCCATTATGAGAAAGCCCATTTACCTGTTTGCTGATTCACATTAAAAACTATTAAAGTGTTTCTTACATGCAAGACCTTATTCTGTGTATTCCAGGAAACATACAAATAGGTTTTCTAGTTTCAAGTGCCTCATAGTAATGCAGGAGCTTTACAATTATTTTTTCAATAACTAAGCACAAAAGCCTCTGAAATTTGAAATTTAGAATGCGATACAAAGACCCTGAGTGGATTCTTTTTAATTACAATGCAAAAACATTGTGAAATTAAAGTCTGACCATAAAAATATGAAGAGTCTCTGTTTATCAAACAGGTTATTTAAACAAAATGCATATTTTTCAATTAAATAAAGAGTTTAAAGTATACTCTAAATAAAAAAGGCTTGGAAAACACAGTGTAAACTCTCTCTAATACAGATTTGAGCACAGAATTTGAATTTCTAATATTCCACAACTTTTTAAAATTAGAGATAAGCACTTGTTATATTGCCAAGCTTGGTCTTAAACTCCTGGGCTCAAGAAATTCTCCTGACTTGATCTCTTGAATAGGTGGGACTACAGGCACATGATACCATGTCTAGTTAAATTTCCACAATTTCTAATATTATTTTAGTCTAATTACAGAGCCAGGAATAAAAATAAAGAAATAGCTCTCTGCAAAAATACAGTATGATATCAAAATATGTGCACAAGAAATAAAAAGAAACTATATGCTATGTGTAACAGAGTGATTCCATGATTTCTTTGATAAGTCATCTGATGTATTAAAGATTCATTTAAACAGAGGTATTATTAGTCATACTCATATGATATACAACTCAAAGTAAAAACACTCAAATAAGCCTAGACCAAAATTTGTATATCCTCTACTGTGGGAAAGCATTCCCGAACATCATTTTTCTGTCACTGTGTATTTCCCAGCAATTTTTTTTTCAGATCACACCTCTCAAAGTATTTATCAACTATTTCTTATTTGCCAAAGTAAAAAAAATTAAAATTAACCCCTCTCATTTCTTTAAAATGGTTTTCTCTAATAAAAGTTTTAATACTAACATAAAACAATGATAGGTAGACAACTGCTAAGTTTTAGAAGAAAATAATATAAAAAAAGAGATTCAGAGTGAGAAAATTAATTTCACAAGAGAGTACTCTACCTCAGATTCCAAAGCAAACTCATCCTCTGTCACAGGCTGTGCAACAGCATCCGGTCTGTAGAGACTCCTACAGAGCAAAAAGATACAGCAAAAATGAGCACGTTCATTTCTTAAAAGAAAACAAAAACCGTCAGTCTATACATGTATGTCCACTCCAAAAAAATGGTAAAACAAAGTCTGAGGAAACTCAGTTATCTGCATATTAAATAATATTTCTTGGTATAATTAAGATATGGCTTCCGTTTTAGAAAACATTTCAGTTACCTATTTCTGCCTCCAACTCTCCTAACCTATGAAATATCCAATGCAGACTCACCCTTAAACCCATCACAAATAGTGACAGGCATTATAATGGCGTGGCCAGACAATAATTTGTCCTTATAAATTATCTACCATAAAGGCTAAACTGAAAATCCAGTTGATATCTGACACAACTTTTGTTACTGAACTGGAGTCAACCTGATAACCTAAAACAAGGTAGAAAAGGCACGGTCTCTTCTCCATTATCTATTTCTGATTCAAAGACTAATCTGTGTCACTGGAAAATGGGAGTCTTGGATCTTCAGCATGTAAGCTACTTAAAGAGGGCCCATTGATTCTTTTCACCCTAGAACACTACAGGGAGCCCCCCTGAAACACTGCAAATGTTTGAAAGCTGAGTGTACAAAAGTCAAAGTACAAATGTATATGTTGTTAGATTGTTATTGGGAATATTCTTCACAGAAGATTAAAACATTAAAAATTTTAAAATCCAATTATCGTCATTATATAGATCCTGCTTTATTCAGATCCACAAAAACCAGCAAGCTTAAGAACCTTCATAGACACTCAGATGCCCAAGAGAGAGACTGCTGGAAAAGTCTCCCTCCTAAGTACTTATAGCTCCATTTCATTCATCACTATCTAAATATCTTCCTCCCTATGGGCTCCCACTTCTGGATCCCTCTTCTGCAGGGATCTGTGGCAATCTCCAATCTATGTCTTCAGCATAGGAAAGCCCAGATTCCTCAAAAGATGGGCTAACATAATTGAGAGTAGGAGCTCTCTATTCCTCTGCTTCTGGAAAGTAAGTTAGTCTCAGTCATCCACCCCAAGCATATGCATGTTACCAACTACCCAAATGAAGCTTCATTGCTGGTTTGCCGGCCAATCCTACATTTGTCCTACCCTACATGTACATGAGAGAATTGAGAAAAGAGTCAGAAAAAAAGAGACATCCACCCTGGATCACAGATCTATGTACTTAAGCAATCTCCAGCTCCCTAGTTCTTGAGGGATTCTAAGCCCTCTGTAAGCTGGGATGGAAGAAGATGATACCACATTCCTATCTCCTCTGGAGACTCTTTCCAGTGGCTCAAATTCTTTTAACATTTTTCAATAAAACCTTGAAGTTTGTCAGTTCCTCCAGTTAAACAAACAAAAAGGCAGCAAACTCTTCAGAACTCCTTGAATGCCATATTCTAATATGCCTTTCTTGATAGCTCCCAACATCCTGTGTTATCATTTCCCTTATCTTTATCAAACTTGCATTAAACCAAATATTCAGATTTTTCCCTAAAACCCTCATTTCTATCAAACTAAGAGTTTGTTTCTCTTCAAATTTGGCTGTCCCCTGCAAATTCCATTCTTATTCACTTTCATTGGGTTCAACAGCTCATTCCATTCTCATCCTCTTCCACTGTGTTCACTAGAGCCACTCCTTCTTTCTAAAACTAAAATCACTCAATGACAGAATGATGTAAAAGAAGACTGCGTTTTGAACTAAGAAACCTGAGTGCAATTCTCATTTCTCTGATTTACTGTATCCAAATAATTTTCTCTCTTTGAGTTTCAGGTTCTCCACCTGAACAACCACTTGATCAGGATGTTAAGCAAGGATTCAAGCACTAGAGGATACTTTGTTTAGTCTCTAGGATTTCTTAACATTCTGAAATTCTAAGCACCTCTGATTGTGTCTGTAGGAAAATGGGGAATATTTAGCTGCCATACATGAAAACTACAAAAGAAGGTCTTAAACCCTAAGAAAAGTGGTAGAGAAAGTGAAAAGAAATCAAGAAAATACTAAAATGTCATAGAAGGAAAAAAGAAGAATCCAAAAAATAAGAAAAAGCTTCAGCAAACTAGGCAGGGTACTCACTTAAAGAGAAAACCTAACTGGGTAGGGAGTAAGTAGAGAAATGAATTAGAAATATCATTTTAATATATGCTAAATATAGTTATCATAACATGGTCTATATTTAGATATTCTCCATGCACAGTAAAATAATATTTTTCTAGGACTGGCCTAGTCTTGCTTACAAAAAACTTACGGTCTTGTGGCCACAGGTAACTGATATCTGCCTTTAAAATTTTGATGGTTAAAAAAAAAAGTAATATGGTTACCACTGCCATTTCCAAAATATTTGGACAAAGTTTTGGAGTATCCAGGCTTCTAAGGAATACTCTAAAGAGAGTTAATATATAACAAAATGTGACTTTCTGAATTGATCTGAGTTACACCAGTACCGTGATCGCATTGCTGCATAGGTCTGTATCCATCTATGCTTAGGGGCAAATGAAGTGATTAGAGAGCCAGGCAGGATGATGGTCAAATCATGGGTTGGCTACCTGTTAACTGTGGAATCATGAGCCAATATTTCAACCTCTTTAAAGCAGAGTTGCCTAATTAGTAAAAAAGCAATAATAGCACAAATAGTTTGTAAAGCTGTGTGGAGATGACATGACATGATAAATATTAAGCATGTAATACGGTGTCTAGCACAGAGGAGAACACTAAACGGGCACTAGTTTCTATTCTCTCTATTAACTAAGTTAACATATCACTTTAAAAAATCTGTGAAATCATACCTGTTTAAACACTGTTCAACAGCAGGAAGCACTATCAAACAAAAAGTAAAATGCATTTTAAATCAACAATAGGAACCTATAAAATATTAAAAACATAAAAGAGCACAGTGACTTGTTCCTATAATCTCAGCTACTCAAAAGGCTGAGGCAGAAATATCACTTGAGAAGCCCAGGCAATTCAGACCAGCTTGGGCAGCACAGAAACACTCTATCTTTATTTTTAAAAAGTTAAAAAAAAAAATCATGTAGGCAGGGCTCGGTGGGTCACGCCTGTAATCCCAGCACTTTGTGAGGCTGAGGTGAGTGGATAACTTGAGGTCAGGAGTTCGAAACCAACCTGGCCAACATGGCGAAAGCCGGTCTCTAGTAAAAATACAAAAATTACCAGGTTGGTGGTGCACACCTCTAAACTCAGCTACTCAGGAGACTGAGACAGGAGAATCACTTGAACCCAGAAGGTGAAAGTTGAAGTGAGCCAGGATCACGCATGTCTTTCATACAAGACATCAGAAGGATTTAAACCATTATACTACAAATATTCATCATGCTCTTTGACTTGCCTGACAATTCAGCAGGTACACAATGACAATTACACTTTAGATGAATGTACAATTCAAAGCTCCTCAGTGGAAGTGTCCTGAATTGGTCAGCTTGGATATATGTTTGGTGAATCCTATTATATGCTATTCATTATTTTTCATACCCATGTGGTATAATAATGAGCCTACACTTTTGTATTTTCTGGTTTAACCTTCAGAAACTTTTGTCAGTAACTCATGGGAACAAGGTATAATATACAAACCTAATAAAAATGTATAAAAAATTATCAAATTTGATATACTTACACAAAATAAAGTTGCTACAAGCATTACATCTGAATAAGGTTGTCCATTTGGAAATCACTCCAATATTCAATAAAAATAAATATTTTAGGTGTCAATTAAAGAATTTAACATTATTTTTGTTTCTAAAATAGTCTGGTTTGAAGGATCATGTCATTCTCTAAAGTATTTTCATTAAATTGCTATTTTATCCAAAAGTTAGCTCTCTGAACAACAAAGCCAATGTATGCATATTTACATTTATCTCATTTGACTAACTGATAACAACAAAACTTATACCTCTGATGCCCAGTAATAACAAAGAGGGGTAACAGGTGACTGTGGTTCATCACAATTCTAGCACTCTATCCTGCTTCCAGTAGTTCCAGGAGCAGCCAAAATCAAATTTTCCTTTATGCAAACATTCTAAATGCATCTGAAGTGAGTTCCCTCAGGTTTCCTCAGCAGAAACACTAAAATTAAATAAATAACTTCTTTTCCCTTCTTCCTGCCTCACAATCCCTCTTCCCTGAGGAAAATAATTACTACATCAGTGGTCTCATTACTTCTCGTTCTATAGTTTTTATGGCTTTTTACGATCACTTCTTCCCTCCGGTTTTAGCAATGTGATCAGGCGCCTACAATTTCTAGTACTTCATCTTGTTCTCCTTCCTGTCTTGATGGAGATACGCTGTAGAATTAAAGCAAAATTATGCTGTCCCCTCAGCCTGTTGTATCTTGAACTGCTCTCCAATGGTTCTTCTTCCCAATTTCAATGTAGGGAAGTCTATAATCTTACTACTCAGATCATGGACAAAAATCAGCAGAATCACCATCACTCAAGAACTTATTACAAATGCAGAATCTCAGGCCCGCTGAATCAGAATGCGCAGCTTCAATGAGCCCCCTGCTGATTTATTCGGGGAAGGGAAGTTCTCCTCTATCTTCAGTGTACATGGCATTAAATGTGTATTGCAAAATTACCTGTCCCAGATTTTTGTTCATCTTTTATTTCTGTGGCTGTGTTCGAAACAGAATCGTTCTTGTCACTTGTATCCTGAATGGGATTTCAAACAAAATAATCAATACCTAAAGTATATTTCATAGACTATACAGTTAATTATTCAAAATATGAATGAGAGTATAATACCTTCAAGGCCGGTTGTTTCTGAGAAGACACTGAAAACCAGAAGGGATACATAATCACTCATATGTAAATATGATAAAGTTATCCATACTTTCATGCAGTGTTACCATCAAGCTGTATCCTCCTGCCTGAATTAGCATAGGCTTTGATGTTTTCTACTTTGTGTATTGGGACAGGAACATGACAGAATTACACTGTAGAAAACAGAAGTATAGTCTTCACGCAACAAACACTTCCAATTTCATATGTGATATTATTCTTCATATGTCTATTACTGCAATAAAACAGTGTCTATATCAATGTGGATATGCCGAGTGATGAGGACAAATGTGATCTAAAATCAGAGCAGCGACTCATACACTTGGGAATCAATGTCAAAGCAGGTGATTAATGCTCCTGCATGTTTTTCATGTAACACATCAGAGGGATTTATACCATTATACTACAAATATTTATCATGTTCTTAAACTTGCCTGACAATTGAGCAGGTAAACAAGGACAATGGCACTTTAGTTGAATGTACACTTCCCAAGTGCTCTGTGGAAGTGTTCTGAATTGATCAGCTTAAATATATGTTTGGTGAATCCTAGCATATAATATTCCTTATTTCTCACACCGCTGTGGAGTCATAATGTGCCTACATTTCTTCTATCCTCTAGTTTAGCCTTCAGAAAGTTTATTCATCCACTCATGGCAAGAAGGTATAATATATAAACCTCATCAAAAAGTATAATAAACCATCAAATTTGGCATACTTATACAAAATAAAGTTACTGAAAGCATTAGATATGAATAAGCTTTTCCATTTGGAAATTGCTCTCATATTCATTGAAAATAACCACTTTAGGAGTCAATTAATGAATTCAACATTATTTTTCTTTCTAAAATAGTCTGGTTTGAAGGATCATGTCATTCTCTAAAGTATTTTCATTAAATTGCTATTTTGTCCAAAAGTTAGCTCTCTGAACAACAAAGCCAATGTATGCATATTTACATTTATCTCATTTGACTAACTGATAACAACAAAACATATATCTCTGATGCCCAATAATAACAAAGAGGGTTAACAGGTGACTGTGGTTCATCACAATTCTAGCACTCTATCCTGCTTCCAGTAGTTCCAGGAGCAGCCAAAATCAAATTTTCCTTTATGCAAACATTCTAAATGCATCTGAAGTGAGTTCCCTCAGGTTTCCTCAGCAGAAACACTAAAATTAAATAAATAACTTCTTTTCCCTTCTTCCTGCCTCACAATCCCTCTTCCCTGAGGAAAATAATTACAACATCAGTGGTCTTGTTACTTCTCATTCTATAGTGTTTATGGCTTATTACGATCACTTCTTCCCTCTGGTTTTAGCAATGTGATCAGGCGCCTATAATTTCTAGTACTTCATCTTATTCTCCTTCCCCTCTTGATGGAGACATGCTGTAGAATTAAAGCAAAATTATGCTGTCCCCTCAGCCTGTTGTATCTTGAACTGCTCTCCAATGGTTCTTCTTCCCAATTTCAGTGTAGGGAAGTCTATAGTCTTACTACTCAGATCATGGACAAAAATCAGCAGAATCACCATCACTCAAGAACTTATTACAAACGCAGAATCTCAGGCCCGCTGAATCAGAATGTGCAGCTTCAATGAGCCCCCTGCTGATTTATTCGGGGAAGGGAAGTTCTCCTCTATCTTCAGTGAACGTGGCATTAAATGTGTATTGCAAAATTACCTGTCCCAGATTTTTGTTCATCTTTTATTTCTGTGGCTGTGTTCGAAACAGAATCGTTCTTGTCACTTGTACCCTGAATGGGATTTCAAACAAAATAATCAATACCTAAAGTATATTTCATAGACTATACAGTTAATTATTCAAAATATGAATGAGAGTATAATACCTTCAAGGCCGGTTGTTTCTGAGAAGACACTGAAAACCAGAAGGGATACATAATCACTCATATGTAAATATGATAAAGTTATCCATACTTTCATGCAGTGTTACCATCAAGCTGTATCCTCCTGCCTGAATTAGCATAGGCTTTGATGTTTTCTACTTTGTGTATTGGGACAGGAACATGACAGAATTACACTGTAGAAAACAGAAGTATAGTCTTCACGCAACAAACACTTCCAATTTCATATGTGATATTATTCTTCATATGTCTATTACTGCAATAAAACAGTGTCTTTATCAATGTGGATATGCCGAGTGATGAGGACAAATGTGATCTAAAATCAGAGCAGCAACTCATACACTTGGGAATCAATGTCGAAGCAGGTGATTAATGCTCCTGCATGTTTTTCATGTAACACATCAGAGGGATTTATACCATTATACTACAAATATTTATCATGTTCTTAAACTTGCCTGACAATTGAGCAGGTACACAATGACAATGGCACTTTAGTTGAATGTACACTTCCCAAGTGCTCTGTGGAAGTGTCCCGAATTGATCAGCTTAAATATATGTTTGGTGAATCCTAGCATATAATATTCTTTATTTCTCACACCGCTGTGGAGTCATAATGTGCCTACATTTCTTTTATCCTCTAGTTTAGCCTTCAGAAAGTTTCTTCATCCACTCATGGCAAGAAAGTATAATATATAAACCTCATCAAAAAGTATAATAAACCATCAAATTTAGCATACTTATACAAAATAAAGTTACTGTACGCATTAGATATGAATAAGCTTTTCCATTTGGAAAATGCTCTCATATTCATTGAAAATAACCACTTTAGGAGTCAATTAATGAATTCAACATTATTTTTCTTTCTAAAATAGTCTGGTTTGAAGGATCATGTTATTCTCTAAAGTATTTTCATTAAATTGCTATTTTATCCAAAAGTTAGTTCCTTGAAAAACAAAGCCAATATATGCATATTCATGATTAGCCTATTTGAATAGCTAATACCAACAAAACATATATCTCTGATGCCCAATAGTTACAAAGAGGGGTAATGTGTCACTGTGGGTTATCACAATTCTAGCAATCTAGCCTGCTTCCAGTAGTTCCTGGAGCAGCCAAAATCTAATCTTCTTTTATGCAAATATTCCAAATGCATCTGAAGTGAGTCCCATCAGGTTTCTGCAGCAGAAACCCCAAAATTACATAAATAACATCTTCTTTTCCCTCCTTCTTTCCTCTCAATCCCTCTTCCTTGAGTAAAATAATTACCACATCAGAGGTCTGCTTAGTTCTCTTTCTACATTGTTTATGGGTTATTCCAATCAGTTCTTCCATGTGGTTTTAACAATCTGATCTGACACCTATAATTTTTATTACTTAATCTCTTTCTCCTTCCCTTTATGATGGAAACATGCTGTAGAATTAAAGTAAGAATATGCTGTCCCTTAGCCTGTTATATCTTGCACTGCTCTCCAATCATTCCTGCCAATTTCACTGTGGGGAAGAACATAATCTTACTACTCAGATCATGGCCAAGGACCAGTAGCATCGGCGTCACCCAAGAACTTATTACAAAAGCAGAATCTCAGGCCTGCTGAATCAGAATGTGCAGATTCAATGAGCTCCCTGCGATTTATTCAGGGAACAGCAGTTCCCTTCTATCCTGAGTGAACATGACATTAGATGTGTATTCCAAAATACCTGTCCCAGATTTTTGTCCATCCTTTATTTCTGTGGCTATATTCGAGATAGAATCTTCCTTGCCACTTGTAGCCTGAGTGGGATTTGAAACAAAATAATCAATACGTAAAGTATTTTTCACAGACTATATAGTTAATAGTTCAAAACAGAAATGAATGTGTAATTACCTTCAAGGCTGGTTGTTTCTGAGAAGACACTGAAAAGCAAAAGGGATACATCATCAATCATAGGTAAATATGATACAATTATCCATACATTCATGCACTGTTACCATCAAGCTGTATCCTCCTGCCCCTATTAGTTTAGGTTTTTATGTTTTATACTTTGTGTCTTGGGACTGGAACATGACAGAAATACACTGAAGAAAACACCAATACAGGCTTCATGAAAAATACACTTACAATTTCAAACGTGATATGATTTTTCATATGTCTAAAACTAAAATGAAACAGTGTCAGTATCATTGTGGATATATGGAGGGATAAAAACAAATGTGGTCTAAAAACAGAGGAGCAACTCATGCACCTGCGAATCAATGTCAAAGCAGGTGGTACATGCTGTCACATGTCTTTAGTGCAAGAGATGAGAAGGAAATACACCATTATACTACAACCATTCATCATGCTCTTTAACTTGCCTGATAACTGAGAAGGTACACAATTATGATGACACTTCAGCTGAATGTACACTTCACATCTCCTCAGTGGAAGTGTCCTAAATTGATCAGCTTGGATATATGTTTGGTGAATCCTAGTGGACAGTATTCATTATTTCTCAGAACCATGTGGTGTAATAATTGCCCAAGTTTCTTGTGTTCTCTAGTTCAGCCTTCTGAAAGTTTTTTCATCCACTCATGGCAATAAGGTATAATATATAAACCTCAATAAAAAGTATCATCATTTATCAATATTGACATACTTCTACAAAATAAAACTGCTACAAGCATTAGATATTAATAAGCTTTCACATTTGGAAATGACTCCAATATTCATTGAAAATAACCATTTTATTAATCAATTAATGGATTCAACATTATTTTTGTTTCTAAAATAGTCTGGTTTGAAGTATCATGTTATTCTCTGAAGAATTTTCATTAAATTGCTATTGCATCCAAAAGTTAGCTCCTTGAAAAACAAAGCCAATGTATGCACATTCATGTTTATTTCATTTGAATAACTAATATCAACAAAATCTATGTCTCTGATTCCCAATAGTAACAAAGAGAAGTAACGAGTCACTGTGGTTTATCTGAATTCTAGTACTCTTTCCTTCTGCCAGTAGTTTCTGGAGCAGCCAAAATCAAATCATCTTTTATGCAAATATTCTAAATGCATCTGAAGTGAGTTCAGTTATACTTAGAGTCATAATTTAAAAAATCATTTTCTTTGTACTCATGAAGGCTCCTAATATTCCTACATTTCCCGGATTCAGCAGTTCAGCTCTTTTGCCATCTCTTTTTCCACTTTTGCAAAAACATACATGTCAAAGAAATCATGCATAATCAGATTCCCATGTAAATAAGGTAAACAAAATCTCTAAATCACAAGAGACTTCTTTTCTTATTAATAACCAACCAAATATATACATATATAAATATATATATATAAATATATATATATAAATATATATATATATATATATATATATATATATATATATATATGTGTGTGTGTGTCATGATTGCCAAGAATATTGGTAGTTTTTTTTAGTACTCAAGATATACATTCTTTTATTACTTTGTTTCTAAAGCTAGTTTGATATAATATACCATAGGGGTCTCTCAGGTCCTTTTATGAAATAAATACCTCAGCCAACACAGCTTTCCTAAAGAAAAAAAAAAAAACACTTTTTCTAGATTAAGCTGCAACCCAATATGCTAACTGATGTGAACGAAGCACATATCATTGATGTGCAAAACTTCTAGGGAGGAGAAATGAAACCCTGTGGGTCACCCTCATCCTTCTAACTTCCACTTTCCATTAAGTGACTCCCCAAAGTCTCCTCATCAGAAACCTCCAAATTACCTAGCTAGCTGCTTTCTTTGTTCTGCCCAATTTGACATACACTCTTTTTCGTTCATAAATCGAATAACCATATTGGTGGACTTCATTCTTTGCCCTCCACATTCACTTCTTCATTATTCTCACCACTACTGTATGTGACATTTGTACAATCCCATTCTGACACATGTGAAGATAAGGTTTTGCTTTACTAAAATGTTAAATGTATCAGACACTTGACTAACGTGTACAAATTCCTTCTTCACAAAAGCAGCCCCATGGCTTCCTCTCTCCCATAGACACTCTTTCACAGCTGTTCTTCACTCACATTGGTTTGAGTATCTATCATCTCTTATTTTGTCTCTATGCTTTCACATCATATTATGAGTTATTATCATAGGCTCAGCAGCCTATCTTACCTATTTTCCTCTCCAGCAGACAGTACTGAGTAGTAAATTAGAATCTTCCAGGATATGAACCCTTTCATGTACACAAGACTTTGTGGAGCTATTTTATGTTTAACTACACATAAAACCACTATGTCTATGCCTTCCAGAGAAATGGGTTCTGAAATGTTATTGAACATAACCTATTTAAAAACTTCTTTAACTCCAATGACACTGCCTCTCCTCAATGCACCAACATCTTCAGAAATAACTTGTGAAGACTTGAAAACATGTCAGTAATTGACATGAAAAATGAAGAATGGTGTAATTTTTTGCAGGTACAAATAAGACACGCTGAGATCCTTACTAGATCCAAGAAGAGCAGAGTGCCATGAGACAGCAAATAAATATGGAACAGAAATATTTTCATTTGTAATGAAAATTATTCTATTTACAGTTTTCAGAAGAGAAAAAATACACACACACACACAAACACACACACACATTCACACACAAAAACCAGAGCAATACAGCTTTACAGGGTGTTTTTTCTTCAAGGGCCTATTTGTCATTTGACATCCGGGAACACTCTATAGGGATCAACAAAGGGGTTCTAAATTGTGACCTGAGTAGATTAGAGTTTAACATTCATGAGGGGGAGCCAAGAGGACAAGTAACACTTTGACCATTGGCCATTTCCTCTCCTTACTGTCATTCTCTGAAAAGCACACAATGGATTTTCTCAGGGTCATGACATGTCGAAAAGACATGCTTTAAGGGGGAAACAGTTGCAATCAACACAGCCATGGGAGAGATACAGCTATGCTTGCTAGGATTTCCCATACTTCTGTTTCATTTCTAATATAGTACAAATCAATAAAAGCAACCACATAAGCATATCCATGCTGGTATGTCACCATATTTATGTCCATATGGTATCAACATGAAGAGAGCATAATTAAATATGCTGCAGTCATCACATGGCATATCATTAGATCATACAATAAATCAAATACCTCACTGGGTCAACATGGATAGATCTGATATATATATATATCACTGATTTTACAAAGACCAAGTTGCAGTCATTGTGTGTACTGTCTGAACTTTTCTACAAGGTTTTAATACACAAAATCAAGTTCTACATGTTATCTAGGAATATGCACATATGTTGTAAGAGGTTTTTAATGTGCATTTGGGTGATTTCTTTTTCTTTTTTAAAAAAAATTTAATTCAAGTTCTTGGTTACATGTCGTCAATAAGTTTTAGTAGTATAGAGAACCCTAAAACCATAACAGCTCAGAATGACTGCCTTAAAGGCTATGTCTACCAAAGAGTCAGGAAAGCATGACTACTTACTTTCTTCATTTTTAAAACTCAGAGGTACCCCACACACACTCCCAAATAAAACTGCACACAAGTTCTTTAGTTTAATTAGATCCCATTTGTCAATTTTGGCTTTTGTTGCCATTGCTTTTGGTGTTTTAGTCATGAAGTATTTGCCCATGCCTATGTCCTGAATGGTACTGCCTAGGTTTTCATCCAGGGTTTTTATACATTGAGAACTTACTTTTAAGTCTTTAATGCATCTTGAGTTAATTTTTGTATAAAGTGTAAGGAAGGGGTCCAGTTTCAGTTTCCTGCACAAGGCTAGCCAGTTTTCCCAACACAATTTATTAAATAGGGAATCCTTACCCCATTCCTTTTGTCAGGTTTGTCAAAGATCAGATGGTGTCGATGTATGGCATTATTTCTGAGGCCTCTGTTCTGTTCCATTGGTCTATATATCTCTTTTGGTACCAGTACCATGCTGTTTTCATTACTGTAGCCTTGTAGTATATTTTGAAGGCAGGTAGCATGATGCCTCCAAATTTGTTCTTTTTGCTTAGGATTGTCTTGGCTATATGGGCTCTTTTTTTGGTTCCATATGAAATTTAAAGTAGTTTTTTCTAATTCTGTGAAGAAAGTCAATGGTAGCTTGATGGGTATAGCATTGAACCTACAAATTACTTTGGGCAGTATGGCCATTTTCAAGATATTGATTCTTTCTAACCATGAGCATGGAGTGATTTTCCATTTGTTTGTGTCCTCTTATTTCCTTGAGTGGTGGTTTGTAGTTCTCCTTAAAGAGGTCCTTCAAATCCCTTGTGAGTTGTATTCCTTGCTATTTTATTCTCTTTGTAGGAATTGTGTATGGGAGTTCACTCATGATTTAGTGCTCTATTACTGGTGTATAGGAATGCTTGTGAATTTTGCACATTGACTTTGTATCCTGAGACTATGAGGAAGTTGCTTATCAGCTGAAGGAGATTTGGGGCTGAGACAATTTGGTTTTCTAAATATACCATCATGTCATCTGCAAACAGAGACAATTTGATTTCCTTTCTTCCTATTTGAATACCGTTTATTTCTTTCTCTTGCCTGATTACCCTGGCCAGAACTTCCAATACTATGATCAGAGTGAAGAGGCAACCTACAGAATGGGAGGAAATGTTTGCAATCTGTCCATCTGACAAAGGCCTAATATCTAGAATCTACAAGGAACTTAAATAAATTTACAAGAAATGATCTCATCAAAAAGTGGGCAAAGGATATGAACAGACACTTCTCAAAAGAATACATTTATGCAGCCAAGAAACATCTGAAAAAAAGCTCATCATCACTGATCATTAGAGAAATGCAAACCAAAACCACAATAAGATACCATCTCACGCCATTTAGAATGGCAATCGTTAAAAGGTCAGGAAACAACAGATGCTGGAGCAGATGTGGAGAAATACGAATGCTTTTACACTGTTGGTGGGAGTGTCAATTAGTTCAACCATTGTGGAAGACAGTGTGGTGATTCCTCAAGGATCTAGAACCAGAAATACCATTTGAGCCAGTAATCACATTACTGGGCATATACTCGGTGTGTGTGTGTGTGTATATATATATATGTACAGTGGCTCGTTCCTGTAATCTCAGCTACTCAGAAGGCTGAGGCAGAAGTATCACTTGAGAAGCCCAGGAGTTTGAAAACAGACTGGGCAACATAGCAAGACTCTTTATTAAAAAAAAATCATGCAGGCTGGGCACAGTGGCTCATGCCTGTGATCTCAGCATTTTGGGAGGCCAAGGTGGGTGGATCACATGAAGTCAAAAGTTTGAGACCAGCCTGGCCAAACATGGTGAAACCCCATCTCAACAAAAATACAAAAAAAAATTAGCTGAGTGTGGTGGCACACGTATGTAATCCCAGCTACTCGGGAGGCCGAAACATGAGAATCGCTTGAACCCAGGAGGCAGAGGTTGCAGTGAGCCAAGATTGTGCCATTCCACTCCAGCCAGGGTGACAAAGTGAGACTTCATCTCAAAAGAAAAAAAAATCATGAACTTTTGTACATGCCTTAGACCTTGTAGGAAAAAAAGTATAAGACTTTGATGCTTTATTACAGAGACTCTCATGATTTGTTACAAAGCAGTTCTTTAGAAACATACTTGGAGGCTATACTAAAATTATTATTTATACTATTTGTAGGCAACTAATGAATTAAGAACTCTTATTTCCTTTCTTATGTGCTTAGCATATACTTATCAAATGCAAAGAAGAATATATTATCAAAATTTGTTACCTTATATGTGAATTGCAGTATAAAATAGTCATAATTCTAACAGAATCCTATCACACTGACAGAAAATGGCATCATTAGTAGAATCAATATAATGAGCAGGCATTATCAAAGAACATGATTTCTGGACAAATGAACCAGGTGCAGCTAGAACAGCAGTCCCCCTTATCTGCTGTATGTGTAGAAAACACATATTCAACATGATGTTCCTCTTCTCTCACACCGCAACAACAATCATCAACACAGAAGATTTCTGTGACCAAATATGTATTTTTCCCCAGCAACAAGCAAACAATCAATTCCTATGGGTGCCCTGTAATTCTGGCACTATCTACTTGGGGATTGTGTCAGATCCCACAGGTTGAGGGCTTAGTACCACAAGGCTATTCCCCCACAGCAGTTACAAGTCTGGGCCTCCAGAACTTCTAATCAACTTCCAGTTGGACTTCAAGTTGGGTTTCCCAGGACCCCCTCTTTGGTTTGATTAATTTACTAGAGTGGCTCAGAGAACTCATGGAAACATATTTACCAGTTTCTTATAAAGAATATTAAAGGATACAGATAAAGAGATGCATAGTGCAAGATATGGGGGGAAAGTAACATGCTTCCATGTCCTCCCAGGGCACTCACCCTCTGGGAACATCCATGTATTCTCCATATGCCTTCATGTATTGGAGAGGATCCAGGCAGCTGAATACAGCTACCTGGATGCTCTCCAAATCCAATCCTTTTGGGATTTTATGAAAGCTTCATTACATAGGCATGACTGATTAATTGAACATTCAGCCCCTCTCACATCCCAGGAGGTGAGGGGTGGGGCTGGAAGTCCCAACCCTCTAATCACACCCTGATCACTCTGATGATGAGCCCCACCCTGAAGCCATCTGGAGGCTGCCTGCCATAAGTCAATCATTAGCATACAAATGATATCATGTTGGAAATTCTGAGGATTTTAGGAGTTGTATGACAGAAAATGGGGTTGAAGACCAAATATATATTTCATAATATGACATTGGTGGTTTTACTGACTGCAGATTCAGTTACCCATGGTCAACCATGGTCCATAAATAAAATTCCAGATGTATACACATCATAATGTTTAAATTGCCTAAGATTCTGAGTAGTATGACAAAATTTGAGCCATTACATCCCAGTCTGCCCAAGATGTGAATCGTCCCTTTGTCAAGTGCATACACATTATATATGATATCTACTCACTAGTCATTGACATAATCTGTACCTAACATCCAACCAACAATATCGTCATGGTTCACGGATCCAAGATCACGTGAAGCAGATGATCTTCTTTCTGACATATAGTCAAATAGAAGGTCAATAGTAGCCTAAGACTACATGGCAATGCCTACTGCATTTGCCTCACTTATCACATAGCCATTTTATCATCTCACATCAGTGCAGAAAGTAGGGTGACTATAGTACATGATATTTTGTGAGCTCACATTCACATAACTTTTATTACAGTATATTGTTACAATTGATCCACTTTACCATTAGATATTATTAATCTCTTATTGTGCCTAATTTATGCATTAAATTTTATTATAGATATATATATATTTTTATAAATTATTGTACACATAGAGTTCAGCACTATTCATGTTTTCAGGCATTCACTAAGGGTCTTGAAATCTATCCCCCATGTGTAAGAGGAAATTACTGTACTTATTTTGTTGAAACACAACAGTTTCTCCACCTCTTCAGTTTAAACTATTTAGGATAAAGCACTCTAATTCAAAAAATCTAGATCTATGAAAACTGTACTCTGTTCTATGGCAAAACACAGGATACAGAGCAGGGTCAAGGATCCCTGCAAAGACTTTTCAGCTGCCAATGCAGAAGAGCCTAAGAGAGATCAGTGTCCTTACTCTCACTAATCCTCTCCTAGGGAAGATTCTGGTAGTTTGCTTAGTTCTAGCTATTCATTCACCCTATGTAGGGCACAAACAATCCTTAAATTCAGCTTTCATTTTTAGCTCCTTCAAAAAAACACACACAGAGAAAATATCACTCCCTTAAAAGCTTATCCAATCTGAGTCTTGTTTCCTTGTCAGAGAGAAGCTTATAAAGAAATACTGGGAATGGTATGGCAAGTTGCCAGGGAGTACTTTCTAATATATAAAATATATATAAAGGAACCATAAACTCACTGGAGCTACCAAGATGTGCCAACAGTTGTCTCCCTACCTAGTGGGAAAAACAACAACAACAACAACAAATCTTTGTCACTTTATGTAAACAAAAATAGTATGACTCTCTTGGCATTTTTCATGATGGAGAACCTAGTTATAAGTGAGTCATGTTATAATAATATAGACTGTTTTCAAAGTGATCCCTCAAAGAAAGAAGGTGAATAAGAAACATATTTGTATGCCTACAGTATTCACTAGCTGGTCTTATTTCCAACTGCAAGGTAAATAGGAAAGACTTTCTGACTCCAGTTTTATAAAGTACAACCTCTTGAGATTGTCCCTTTCCACTGCTAGTCTATCTGGACCCATCTCACAGAGAAGGATGAACCAGTTAGTGCTGTGTAGTACACAGCATGAAGTCATTTTCCTCAACCCTCCCCATTATGTGGCAAATGTCTATATAAATTATGCTTTTTCAACATGTAAAGCATATGCCATTAAATCCTACATTAATAAACTAAAAGCAAAAAAGCACAATGGATGGCTTAATTGAATACATTCAACTGTCTTGGAAATTATGTTCTGTAATATAGAAAAAGATATCCACTATGTTATCCTTAATATATGACTATGCTGGACATATCAAAACTATGGGGACAGCAAAAATATTAGTAGTTGACAGGGGTTAGTTGTGAGGGAGGAATAAAAAAAGAGAGACAAATTTCAGGGCAGTGAAAGTATTCTAATGGCGGGTACATTTATTATACATTTGTCCAGCTTTATAGAAGGTATATTTAAATATAAATATAAACTATGGACTTTGGGTGATTATTATGATGCAACAATGTAAGCTTCTCAGTTGTAACAAATGTACCACTCAGGTGGGAGATATTGATAATGGGGGGAGCTATGCATGTGAGGGGGGATGGCGTATATCAAAAATCTCTTTAGGTTCTTTTCAATATTGCTGAGAATATAAAACTGCTCTTAAAATAAAGTTATTAATTTTTTAAAAAGATTTTCACTGAATCTTCTATTACTAATATATTGCTATATTACCATATATTATAGCAAGATGTACTCAATTTGAAACACAATATGAATATTCTCTCCAGAATTATAGTATATAAAAGTACATAAAGCAAATAACTTAACTGTATTAACAGGCAAGAAAATAACTGATAAATGATTGATTTTTTTAATTTCATAATTATAAACAGAAATTTAACAAAATATAAAACAAAACTGAACCATCTATATAATTAAAATGAAACAAATTTTTTTATTTTAATTTTAAATGAGAAATCATTACTTATTTTATCTAACCATTTTACTGAAAGGTTAATCGAATAAGAACAGACTATAATTACCTAATATTGCCATAGTAACTTCTGTATAGAAACCTGTTAAATATTCACCAAAATTCCAAAATCTAACAGCACAGAAACTTAGTATTTCATATTAAGTTGCAACTGACGCAAATGAAATAAGCACCATGCTATGTTATATTACCATGTTATTCACTATCAAATAGAATTTTTAAGACACCTAAAATTAAGTTGGGGCTGTAACTGCTGTGAAGAAAATAATTCATATAACAGTCATAAGACTGTCATTCTTAGAAAGGCCTACATGCAAAACTGGCCCTTTGCTGGTGTTTGGAAATTTGCATTTTAAAGGTTTGTCACCATTTCCTGAGAAAAGTAGCTCACTATACCTAAACTGTTTGCATAAACAATGTGGTTGACTCTGAACAGCTGCTTTTCTTCTGGAAGTGTGGAATTTTTGTATATGTGTGAGACAGAATGCCTATGTAACTAGTTTCCATAAGAACCTGGGATACTGTGTAAGTCTCTAGTCAGACTCATACTGGTAGACAATATTGCCCATGTGATGTCAAAATTCGAAGCTACAGGAATTCAGCACATCCTGGTAACTCCACAGGAGAGGGCTCCCGGAAGCTTGTGCCTGGCTTCCCCAAGACTTGCCACATGCCCCTTTGCCCTGAGCCAATTTTACTATGTATTCTTTCACTGTAACAAATCAAAGCCCAGAGTAGCACTGTTTGCTGAGTCCTTCTAAGTGAATCGCCAAACACAGAGGTGGTCTTGGGAAACTCTGACATAGTGGCATTATATGAAATTAGTTTTCTTTAAGGTGATGTGACCTCTGACTACGATCAGAAGGCTGTTTATAAAACACCTTTCCCTAATCTGTTCTCCTTAACAGTTGCCTTTGAGATTCCTGTATTTCCGCATGAATAAATCCATAAAGGAATAGAAATAATTATGCCAAAAAATAATGAAAAACAAGCAGCAATCCTATTTTAACCAGAATAAAAATTTGAGAATATGGATGATTAAAAATATATCCCATAGTATGAAAGCTTCTAGAAGAGAAACAAAAAGATCACAGCCAATTGTCTTCAACTCACCAAGGTTTCTTTTATAATAACTGGGGATCAGGCCAGGTGCAATGACACACACCTGTAGTCCCAACTACTCCAACGGCTGAGGCAGGAAGATTGCTTGAGATCAAAAGTTTGAGGCTGCAGTGGAGATTGTGCCTGTGAACAACCATTGCACTCCAGCCTGGGAAACAGAGTGAGACCCTGTCTCTAAAATGTATTAGTAGGCTGGGGGCGGTGGCTCACACCTGTAATCCAAACACTTTGGGAGGCTGGGGCGGGCGGATCACAAGGTCAGGAGATGGAGACCATCCTGGCTAACACGGTGAAACCCCGTCTCTACTAAAAATATAAAAATTAGCTGGGCGTGGTGGTGCATGCCTGTAGTCCCAACTACTTGGGAGGCTGAGGCAGGAGAAGCGCTTGAACCCAGGAGGCAGAGTTTGCAGTGAGCCAAGATTGTGCCACCGCACTCCAGCCTGGGCAACAGAGCGAGACTCAGTCTCAAAAAAAAAAATCTATTAATAAAAACATACATAAAATAATTTGCATCATTCAGGTCATTGTGATAATTATAGAAATATATGTAGCCATTGGCTATAATACTGTACTATCGATCATAGAGCTCATTTAATTTGTTTCTAATCTTTTTTCTTAAGTTCTTATAAAACTAAAAATATCTATTAAAACTAAAAATCATCTGTTAAGGGCAGTTCTTCATAGAACAGGTCGAAAAGTCAAAAACTGCATTTAAAATGTAGGATGAGTTATCCACTTCTGCTCCCAAACAGTGGGTTTTTCTTATTAAGGGCCAATAGGACTTTAAACTCATTTTGGGGAATAAAGGAAGTTATAGACCAGCACGATGGCTCGTAACTATAATTCCAGCACTTTGGGAGGCTAAGGCAGGAGGATCACTTGAAGCCAAAAGTTTGAGACTGGCCTGGGTAAGAGAGAGAGACCCTTGTCTCTAAAAAATAAAAAATAAAAAAGTTAGCTTGGTGTGGTGGCATATGCTTGTAGCAGTATCAGCGACTTAGGAGGCTGAGGTAGGAGGACCACCTGAACCCAGAAGTTTGAGGCTGCAGTGAGCTATGATCACACTATTGTGCTCTAGCCTGGGAAACAGCAAAAGACTCAATCTCAAAAAAAAAAAAAAATCAAGAAACTTATATATAGATGGTTAAAGGTGTGGTAATCCAACTGACCAAATATTCCAGCTAAGTAACAGATTACCAATATTTGAAGAAATATAATACCAGAAAAGTGTTTTACATTAAAACTATGTCAAGTTTGAAAATTTAAAAGACACCTTAAGTGTCTTAACTTAATTTGAAAATTTAAAAGACATTTAAAGTTTGAAAATTTAAAAGAAACTTAAAATCTTAAAGGAGCAGCATCACTTACACTGTCACTGTGCTAAAGATATAAAGAAGTTTAGCATTAAAGATTAATAGAATACCAGATATACTTTAGAATAGGTAGCTAATTCTCTTAAAAGAAAATCCTATATAGTTGTCAAAAATACCTGTGTTAGAAATGTGTTCTAATAATATTTTCTTTAGGGATGAAATTCAAAAGAAAACAGTAAAAGCAGAGATATTACAAGAGGTCATGAAAAGGGAATTGCACTAAAACAAAGTGTCCCAGAACACAGAGACTTGGTATACTTAGCATATCATCTTACATTTTTCTCCATGATGTTATATAAAAGACGTCAGCTTCTCCAAACTGCTGGTCTGTAGGCTACTTCTTTTTTTTTTATACTTTAAGTTTTAGGGTACATGTGCACAACGTGAAGGTTTGTTACATATGTATACATGTGCCATGTTGGTGTGCTGCACCCAATACCTCATCATTTAGCATTAGGTAGATCTCCTAATGCTATCCCTCCCCCCTCCCCCCACCCCACAACAGTCCCTGGTGTGTGATGTTCCCCTTCCTGTGTCCATGTGTTCTCATTGTTCAATTCCCACCTATGAGTGAGAACATGTGGTGTTTGGTTTTTTGTCCTTGCCATAGTTTGCTTAGAATGATGGTTTCCAGCTTTATCCATGTCCCTACAAAGGACATAAACTCATCATTTCTTATGGCTGCATAGTATTCCATGGTGTATATGTGCCACATTTTCTTAATCCAGTCTATCAGTGTTGGACATTTGGGTTGGTTCCATGTCTTTGCTATTGTGAATAGCTACAAACCACTGCTCAATGAAATAAAAGAGGATACAAACAAATGGAAGAACATTCCATTCTCATGGGTAGGAAGAATCAATATCGTGAAAATGGCCATACTGCCCAAGGTAATTTATAGATTCAATGCCATCCCAGCAACCTACCAATGACTTTCTTCACAGAATTGGAAAAAACTACTTTAAAGTTCATATGGAACCAAAAAAGAGCCCACATCACCAAGTCAATCCTAAGCCAAAAGAATAAAGCTGGAGGCATCACACTACCTGACTTCAAACTATACTACAAGGCTACAGTAACCAAAACAGCATGGTACTGGTACCAAAACAGAGATATAGACCAATGGAACAGAACAGAGCCATCAGAAATAATGCTGCATGTCTACAACTATCGATCTTTGACAAACCTGAGAAAAACAAGCAATGGGGAAAGGATTCCCTATTTAATAAATGGTGCTGGGAAAACTGGCTAGCCATATGTAGAAAGCTGAAACTGGATCCCTTCCTTACATCTTATACAAAAATTAATTCAAGATGGATTAAAGACTTACACGTTAGACCTAAAACCATAAAAACCCTAAAAGAAAACCTAGGCAATACCATTCAGGACACAGGCATGGGCAAGGACTTCATGTCTAAAACACCAAAAGCAACGGCAACAAAAGCCAAATATGACACATGGGATCTAATTAAACGAAAGAGCTTCTGCCCATCAAAAGAAACTACCATCAGAGTGAACAGGCAACCTACAGAATGAGAGAAAATTTTTGCAACTTACTCATCTGACAAAGGGCTAATATCCAGAATCTACAATGAACTCAAACAAATTTACAAGAAAAAAACAAACAACCCCATCAAAAAGTGGGCGAAGGATATGAACAGACACTTCTCAAAAGAAGACATTTATGCAGCCAAAAAAACACATGAAAAAATGCTCATCATCACTGGCCATCAGAGAAATGCAAATCAAAACCACAATGAGATACCATCTCACACCAGTTAGAATGGCGATCATTAAAAAGTCAGGAAACAACAGGTGCTGGACAGGATGTGGAGAAATAGGAACACTTTTACTCTGTTGGTGGGACTGTAAACTAGTTCAACCATTGTGGAAGTCAGTGTGGCGATTCCTCAGGGATCTAGAACTAGAAATACCATTTGACCCAGCCATCCCATTACTGGGTATACACCCAAAGGATTATAAATCATGCTGCTATAAAGACACATGCACATGTCTGTAGACTACTTCTGATTGAAACTTGAAACTCTCGAAATGCGGCTGTGTTATGATTCCATGTTGGAGAGAGTCGGGATGTATGTGCTTTGGACAAGGTGGTTCCAGTTACTGCTGCCAGACTTTTGTTTCAGAATGCATCCAGAAGAACTTATCAGGGGTTTCAGTACAAACTAAGTATTTCCACAAGGAGCAGATAAGAAGACCACAGTTTTTCTCACACATTACCCTTAGGTTTTGACAATTCTGTAAAAGCGTGGGCACATGTACTCAGAAGTCAAGACCATTTTCCCTGACCCTGTGCACGTAGCTTCTGCAGTTACAAAAGGGTTACGCAGGATCTTGGTAGATTTGTTCCTCCATATTTGGACAACAGACATACCAATCATATCAATAGCCCACATTACACCTCAAAAATGGTTCTTTTGAAAAGGGTACCGCCAAAGAGCTTTTAAAAGTTAAATCTAATTGGCTTTTGAGTAATCTTACTTGTTAGAATTCATACTCCCTCCTTAAAATTCTCACTTTTTTTATTTTTGCAACATCACTTCCTCTGACTCCTCTCCTACTTTTCTCTAGCCACTGCTCATTCTCCTTCACCAACTCTTTTTTTCCTGGGGGTGTGGAGGGAAAGTTCACATTCCCAGGGTTTTGTCACAGGATAGCTTCTCATTCTACATCTGCATCATGGACAGCTCATTGAGATCGATGACTTTGCCTAATAATTATAATAACATCATTCTACGTCTGCATCTCCAACCTCAGATTTGGAGGGAAGGGAAGTTATTCTTCCCTGTTGACCAGCTGTACTTCTCCAGTCAGTGAACATGTCCTACTCCTTTCTTGTGTGCAGTATAAAGGCCAGTACACAACCTGGAAACCTATGAATGATCCAAGATTTCTCTCTCCCCACTAATGTTTTACATTCAATGTTCACTAAATCATATTAACTGTACCTCTTTTCTGCTTCTGCTTTATATTTCTACTGCCACCAAATAAATATGTTTATATTTCCTAGATCAACATGGCCTCTTCACTGATGGTTTTCACAGGAAAAAAATTCCCTATCAACTATTATTGTTTTTTTATAAATAAAAAATTAAGTAAAACAAATAAAGAAGGCATACGGGCAAGAAAAAGACCAACATTTTAAAATGAGTAAATGGAGTAAATTTACTTTATTTTACCATGGATGGGTGAACACCTTACACTAGATTGATAGTAGTTCAAGCATCGAACTACAAGCAAACTAAAGCTTCAACTACTGCAAAAGCTTCCTTTCTCTAGCTTACTTTCTTGTATTCAGAATACAATATATAATATATACAACATACCAAATATGTATTTTCAACAGCATGGGGATTGGCAGCACTAAATCCCATGTTGTTCAAGGGCCAACTGTAATTATTGATTCATTTAGTAATTGCAAAGAATTTATTTTACAAATTAAATAGAAGTTCTAATTATATAAAAAGTCTAATTCATTATCATGTGACTATAAAAAAATACAACATAATAACTTAAAAATTTGTTTTCTTATTTACACAAAAAGATCATCTAGAATATTAGGAACCATAATTAAATAATAATTTTTTTCATACAATACTGAGATTATAAATTACCTACAATTAACTTTTTAAATAATTATAAAATCTAGACTACTAAGTATTTTTTAAATGTGTGCAATTTAAACAGTGATTTTTTTAAACTGCTTTTTTGTAATCAAAACATCTTTATTCTTTTTTATCTATGGTAGTACCATCAAGAGTAATTCACTATCAGAAATCTTACCTGGATTGCTATTTATAGAAAGCTCTTCATGTTTCTTTCTTTCATATTCATAAATTAGTTCAAAAATGCTATGCATAAAAATAAATGAAATTAATATTTTAATACTATTATCAAAAACATTTACCAAATATACTAAATTATTAGAGTATCTTGAACAATATCAGGATGTTAATTATCCTATACACTTCTCTTCTGTAAGCTCTACAAACTTCTTAGTACCTTTCTAATTAAATAATAATAACAGGTGAAGTACTCATGAAGTGAAGGCAGTATAGCTCAGCAAACTATCTCACATCAGCTTGACACAATGGAAAGTCACCTTCCTGGCTCTTACTGGAAGGTCCTGGCTCTATAGCCAACAGGTATTTGCTCTTAAACAAGTTGCTTCTCTTAGGCACAATGTCTTCTTCTAGATTTTACTATCTCCTTTCACTAGGTTGTTAAATAGGTTTAATGAAGTAGCATTTTTAACATTCACAGAGAAATAGTAAAGCAGTGGAGCTTGTTCTTGAACTTTATCGCTGAAACTATTTTGAAATCCCAAATCAAACCCAATGTGTATTTTTTCATAGGTTCTAATATTCAAATGCTTCAGTTTAAGAAAAATGTTAAGTCCTAATTTTGCTTATTGTTCTATTATTTGTGGCTTATAATTCAGGTTATCTCAACTATTTCTTAATTCATAAATAAATTAATTTATGAATACATTATTTCATTAAAATAGGTAACACGATTGTTAACTATTATTGAGCTCATCAATTCCAAGGGCAGAAAACTAACAGATGTCAAGATCTGGCTTGGGCTACAACTACTACTTCTCTACAGACTCTAACTGAATGAGCAGATGTTTGCTAGAATGATGGTTCATCTCCATCAGTGATGTTATCTCCAACTGACATGGAAGACAAAACCCTACTTTCATTTTTTTTAAGTTCCATGAAGTAGATGCAAGTTGACATTTTCTCATTTCCAAGATACATACTAATAAAATATTTACACAACACCCCATGTGTTACTTATCTCCATTCTCAGTTTATAGATCACCTTACACAAATGTTTTTGTAGTGAAAAATCACAATTCTAATATAAGGCCACCCATTTTGTTTTGATTCAAACTATGACTTAGCTAGCCAGCAAACAGTCAAATGACCTTCCCGTGACTGCAAAATATGAAATGCTTCACCATGCTAATTTTCTCCATATTGTTCCAATTTTAGTATTTGTGCTGCCAAAGCAAGCACAAAGCCTAACTTTTACATATAACTGCTGATAAGTCATGGATGAGGGTTAGCTCTGTTAAATCTAACTAACCAACTTGAGACTCAGATAATTCCAATGAATGGCTTCCTGTGAAGTAGAATCCGAAAATATTTTATAAACTTGAGATGGTGATGCAAGCAGCTTGAGAGATCTTCATTATTATAGAAAACAGATCACTTGAGGGGCCAACCACAAGTTGAATGCCTACTACTCTAAGGAAGGATGGCATGGAAGCTTCCACTACCTGAGAAAAGCTTTTACACTGTTTATATAAAAAGTCTCAGGGTACAGATCTGGTAGCAATAAAGAAAAAAACTGTGATCTCTTTCTACAACATTATTTGAATATCTGTGACAGTTTAGAACTATCCCAACTAATATTTGCTTTAAAGAGAAAAAAAAGGGACACAAAAAATAACTCACCATGAAGGTCTAGAAGCCCAGGTTAAAATGTGGGCTTTACATCAGGTTTTGAGTGTGGGTGAAAGTGTCAATTTGCTCCGTATGTATGTTGATAAAGTTAGAATATCCAGGTAACAGAGCAAGGTTCTGCTGTTTTGGAAACAATGGCTGAGCATATAAGTATGTGCAACTGAACTAAAAAAAACAGTTGTAACTTTGAAGCCTTTTTATGGATCAACATGAAGATTGAGGGATGTCAAACAGAAAGGGCATCCTGGTGGCAAAGGTTAATCACTACCAGACTGCAAGAGTACTTTCAATTGTAAGAAAGCAACAACAGAATCAATGAAAACAAAGCAATGATTAGAATGTCCTTTCCCCTTCTCCTTCTGACTTGTAGACACTGATTGTCTTCCTTGGACTTAGGGAACCCCTTAGGTTCTTGAAAAATTCCATGATCAGGCTATAGTAGATGGTCCCCAGTGCACAGCACAAGGTTTTTTGATAAACTGGACATTTTGAGACCCAAATAACTAATTAGAAAAATCAAAGATGTGAAACTACTTTATCCTATGCATAGGGGTTATACTGGAAATAAAATGTACAACATTGGAATCCCTAAGGAGAAAAGTCCTGAAAGTTTCAATATCAAGAATCTTGCACCTACTGCTACTTACCTAGCCTTTTTCTTGATTTCTGGCTGATGAAGTTGCACAACTCTCGAAAACTTAAAAACTTGAAAATTTGTCACTTGAAAACTACTTGAATCAAACTATGCAATCTCACCTGATATATAAGATGCAATTGCTACAATTATTTTAAACTTCAATTTAGTGTTCATTAGCCTTTTTATGTAAAGACTTACACTCTGTTCTTAGCCTCGCTGGCATAATCTTCTGCAAGCTTTCCATACACATCTCGAGAAAACACATCAATATTGTGCTGCAGAAGAAGAATGACTATATCTTTTTCTCCAAGAGTAACAGCATGTATGAGGGCTGATCTAAAATAACAGAGAGGTAATTAAAAACTTTAATGACATTTTAAAAGCTTAGTTTATATACTTTATCAACTTAATATGTTGCCTGTCCATGTAGAATTAACCCAATTACATGTACTAAGAAACAAGCATCTTAGGTGCTCAAGGGTATATCTTTGCAAGTTACCACAAAGGTTAAAAGCAAGGAACAAAAAGGAAGCCTCTTGTCCCACTGTGGTATGACATAAAGTTGCTAACTTAAAGTCCTTTGATGGGCAAGAAACTATGCTCAGGCCACCTATCTACAGTAGGCAAATTTAAGTGAAAAATTATTCATTTCTTCCCTAGTCTGATACTATACATTATAATGCAAAATCAGCTGAAGGGTCAGATAAGAGCTATCTGCAGGCTTAAAACAATAATATTAATAGGAATGCTAATAGTAGTAGTCGTAGCTTCAGTTAATGATGCTCATAAGCATGTGCTAGGCATTTAATTAAACATGATATATAAATATATGTATATGGAGGATAATAATATATCCTTCAAGGGTGGTTGTGTATAAGTAACACCACATATATATAAAATATATATTGTATATTATATATAATCTATAAAATATATAATATACATTCTATATTATATATTATCTATAAAATATATAATATATAGTATATTATATATTATCTATAAAATATATATTGTATATATTATATGATATATGATGTTACTTACATTATATTCTTACATACATATGTGTGTATATGTAATATATGCACATACTTATATGCTCAGCCATTGTTTCCAAAACATCAGCACCTTTCTCTGTTAGCTGGACATTCTAACATTATATATATATATATAAAATGTTACTTACACACAACCACCCTTGAAGGATATATTATTACCCTCCTTTTCACAGAAGAAAACATACTTGGTGATAAGTAATGTTACCAAGGTCACACATCTAGCAAGTGGGAAAGCTAGGGATTAAACCCAGTCCTGTGTGAACCTAAAGCTTGTCTTCATTAAAGTAAAGTTTTATCCATTTAAAGCTATCTTTTCTCCCCCTCCCCATATCAATTAAAAGCAACATCAAAACACAGTAGAAATGAAAAACTAACATGAAACCCCTTTAGCTAATGTAAGATCATACAATCAAAAGCATCACATTATTACATTGTAAATAACACCACATCATACTATAAATAACAAACATCTATCAATATACAGAGCTTTCTATATATAGAAGCCTTTTATGTGTATAATGTCTATATAGAGAGATGAATCCTGCTATACACTGTTCTTTATGTTACTCAGTCCAAATAATTGTTTTTCTAACTAAGGGATGATCTGTGTTGATATTTCTCACTATATCCCAATAATTAAAAGTTAGTCTTCTTATTAATGTAAAATTTGTGACTTCAGTGACCGCTACCACTCTAAAATGACACTCAGGTTTAAAAACAACACAATAAGAACTAAGGTCTGTACCTGCCAAGATAATCAACGGCATTTATATTTGCTTTTTTCTTTAATAAAAATTCCACCATTTTCACTTTTCTTTGACTCACAGCAAGGAACAGTGGCGGATATTCATCCTGTAAAATAACAGCAACAATTTATAATCACAAAATTACATATTTATCAACTGAAATGAAAACCTTATGTAAGATCCTGTGAGCTTCAATATATACAATTGAAAGGTCGTAAGAGGTAGTCCCTTTCTTTTCCCTCCTCGGTGCTTTTCTATGTTCTGCTCCTTCCCCTGGAAACAACCTCCTCTGCCTCACCACAAGAACTCTGGTCATCTCCAAAACTCACTTCAAACATTTCCCAGTTCCAAGAATCTTTGCTTCTGTCCCAGCATTTAGCATGGCATGTTTCAAGGATTTAATTGTTTCCCACCTGAACCAAGAGCTTCTTGAGGGCAGCAGCTGTATTTTTTTCTCTATGTCCTCAAACTCTAAGACACAGTAATAAATGTTTCAGGTATTTTTATTAATGATCTAAATTATTATCTATAGAGCGGTGTTTCTTAAACTATTAATATATTCCAAAGGATATTTACTTTACCAGAATTTGAACATTATACCCCAAAAGAGAGACTCCATGATCACCCATGTTTGAAAAATGTTACAAAACTGTGCATTATGTGTCTAGTATTTGAGAAATCTTTTGAACTTCACCTAATCCCTATTTGTAAATACTTATTTTGGAGAATGTTAACATTTGAGAAATGAGTTTCAGGGATACAGTTGTGAGAGCTTACCAGTAAAGGTGGAGGTTTCCTCTGGGTGACACACACTTGCCTCATTCTCTTCTATCGATGGTGTGAGAATCTCAGGTGACAATGTCAGGAGCTCCTGAGCACCTGAGCACCTGACATTGTCACCTGAGATTCTGACACGATTGACAGTTCATTTGAAGCCTCTCTCTCTTTAATTCGGAGAGCCGGGCTCTGAATTAATAGAGATAGGCTTCGAGTAAACTTTCACTGCTTATTATTAAATAGTCCATGGGTTTTCTCTAGTAATATTTTTATCTTAGCTGTCAGAAAGCTCTGTATGAAATGTTATTCTCAATTACAATCTTAGGACCCTGATGCAAATATTTATGTAATTATAATCTTAGGACCCTGGTACATAACTCCTTTAAAAATTTATTTATATTCTAGTTTCCAATTAATTCTTACCTAACTTTTTTTATTTTAGGTAAAATATCAATCAGAAATAAAAACACAATGGCTTATCAATTAAAGCTCTAATAATGACTTATATGTATTATTTATAGCATAGTGAAAGCCACTAAATTATTTGCATCATTTATTTATTTATTTATTTATTTATTTATTTATTTATTTATTTGAGATGGAGTCTCGCTCTGTCGCCCAGGCTGGAGTGCAGTGGTGCCATCTCGGCTCACTGCAACCTCCGCCTCCCGGATTCAAGCACGAGAAATTCTCCTGCCTCAGCCTCCCGAGTAGCTGGGACTACAGGCGTGTGCCACCACACCCAGCTAATTTTTTGTATTTGTAGTAGAGAGGGGGTTTCACCGTGTTAGCCAGGATGGTCTCAATCTTCTGACCTCGTGATCTACCTGCCTCTGCCTCCCAAAGTGCTAGGATTACAGGCGTGAGCCACTGCGCTCGGCCAATTACTTGCATTTTTAGGAGGCAATGCTGAAGAGAAAAATATAATGTTGTCTGCAATATGCATAACCTATGCAACTATACCGTGATTCACCTTAAAAAGCTTACATGCATTCTAATGGGAAGATGATTATTTATGGTATGTATAAAGATAAATAGTTTATAAAACACCACCATCTAAATTCAAAAGTTCAACCCGATTACCAAAGGATTTATATAAAATATAGACTCTACATTTAAATAAATATAAAATGTCTTGAAAACCTTGAAATATTTACTAAAATATATTATAAAACAGGGCTTGTAAAGTCATCCCTACAGAGGCAAGGGAGATGACCTGAGGAAGTGAAGTACCTAGGTAGGCACAGTAGCAAAATGGAGACCACATGCCTCATAGAAAGGGGCAACCTCTGCACAGCATCCAAAACCTGAGATAGGCTCAAGGGACACCAGATTGGATTCTTGAAGAGAAGCCTGGAATCCAGATCTGTGCACGAGTCTCCTAAACTTTCCATGTTGAGACAATTTGTAGAGGCAAACTAAACACATCTATGGGACACATTTGGACTATAGACCTTGTATTTTTATATTTGCTGTGGATATGTCTCCAAGCGATTGTATGTAACGCAAGTATTTTCATGTAAAATACTTCCTTTCTTTAGTTTCAGATTTTTTTTTCCAAAATAGGCCCAAGAATGCAATAAAAATTGTTACTAAGAGTCATAATACCCACTTTGAGCACTTTTACAACATTCATTCATTTATAATTTATGTTTAATTTTCCCAGATTGTTCACCAAATGGATAATTAGTTCATAGGACTGCTGCAACTAAATTATTAAAATAATATTAACTTATAATTCTAGTTTCTATATTGTAACCTCATTTTTTTTATTTTAGGTAAAATATAAATCAGAAATAAAAATACAATGGCTTATCAATTAAAGCTCTAATAATGACCTATATGTATTCTCTGTATTCTTACTAACTTCATGGTTTTCAGTGTTTAAAACTGCTATCCTGATTATGCCACATTTCTAGGTACTTAACTGACATACTGAGGCAGTCCATAATAGAGCTTCAGCTTTAAAAAAAGGTTTAGAATTTTTTACTATTGTAATTGAGAGAACCCCGCTTTTAATAATGATGTATTGACCTAATCACCAGAATGATAACAAAGAGACTCAGAGTCCTGAAAGAGTCAGTCTCTACTTATTAAAAGAGTCCACAATAGCAAATTTCTAATGACCCTATGAATGGCAGTGAATAAGTGATGGTGGCAAAGAAAAGGTGTTATTCTCATGCTGATAGATACTGCAAATAATAGTCCTTTTCACTTCCCAACCACAGAGGTAGAGACAGGTAAAAGTCAGGCCAATATTATTGGAAAGGAGAAATTTAAAGGAAGCAGCACCTATCTCCAGGTCTTCTAGAGATTTTTTGTGTGTTTGAGATATGGGAATTTATATTACACTTATCTATTCAGTGGTTCTTAACCAGCAGCGTATCAGTGTCTCAAGAAATGTTTTATTGTTGTTGTTGTGTTGTTGCTGTTAGAGGCAGTGTCTTAATCTGTTGCTCTGGCTAGAGGCACCACCATGCCCAGCTTCAAGGAAATATTTTAAAACATACATGTCCAGTAATATTTAATAGTAAATATTAGATTTACTATATTAAAATCTTCAGGGGATATCCTAGACTTAGAGATTTGCTTTTAATTTCCCCAGGTTACTGCCATGCACAATTCTAACTGCGAACCAGCACAGTTGATAATCACTTCAGTCTCATCTCTCACTCACATGGCAAATTCCCTTTATCGTTTGGGATTTGGCTGAAAAGAGGAAAGAGCAAAAGATAGAGCCATTCACTGAAAACTTCATTTACTTTTCCTGGGTAGGGGTAGGGAAGAGACTAGTAAGCTCAAAATCCAACTTGATTTTACTATTTATAAGCTCCGTATCTCCCACCTGCCCATCAAGACATTCTGGACTTGAGAGTAGAGTTTAGATGCTTATCTGAGTGGCTGTTTCTGCCAGAATTGAATAATGTCCATTAATTATGTGTTCTTCTCTCTGCTGAACTGTGTGCCGCTTCATCACCACTATTCACTGCCAACCTGGTTTCCTCAGAGTCCTACCAAAATTGATCCCTGGGCAATTTCACAACTCACAAACTCTTTCCCAAAGTAAGAATAATCATCCCCAAAACTGAAGCGATCCTTGTCTAAACATATAAATTGAAAACAAACAACAAAACACACAAAAACACTCTCCACAGTATTTTCCCTCATTACCTAATTTCCAAATTAGCTTGTGCATTTCTGATTGCTCTCCTTTTCTTCATTTTTCCCTCTTAAGCCTTTCCACAGAGGAATCACTTTCAGATGAAATCACCTTCACATACAATACTTGTCAACAGCAACAAGATGTACATTTATTGTGAAATTCTTTAATTTTCTTTGAAATTTAAAATAAAGCCTATTTATAAGGGCCAATTTTACTTTCCTGTGTCACTTCACACTGATTAGAAAAAGAGTAATTTAGTGGAAAAACACTTAACTATTACCTTTCCCAAATTCAGTTGTCATGAATTCCAAATTTATTGTAATTCATGTTTGTATAATTATTTACCATAAGTGCATGAAAAATAGCTGTTCCTTATAATGCTTCTTTAAAAGTTCCAAAATTTAAAGTAAAATCTTAGACAGTTAAGGCATTTCAAAATATTTTCATTCAAGGAATGTTTGAGCTTCCAAATATGAAAAATTGACCCTTACATGTGTCAATGTTAAAATAAATGCATTTCAGATAGTTTGAAAATAACATTGGTTGACCTATACCTCGCTGCATTCTTCAATATTTGCACCATATGAAAGAAGTTTTTCTATCATGGATGTATCTTCATTATACACAGCGTAGTGCAGAGCAGTCCTTCCAAAGACATCCGTAATATTTGGATCGGCGCCATTTTGCAGCAGAAGAGTTGCACAAGCCTCCTGCCTCAGTTGTACAGCCTGTCAGTATTAGACCGAGAAACATGCAAATATTGAAAAATCAAAATAAACACTCCGTAGGATTTCCTACTAGTTATATGGTGGTATTCCAATGAGATAAATTCATTTTATCCTATGTACTTCAACCAAATCCATCTCATGCTCAAAAAGAGTCAGCTACTATGTACCTTGATCAGAGGTGTCCTGTCTTCACGGTCGCAGAGGTTAAGCTCACATCTTCTGGACACCAGGAGATGTACCATTTCCGGTTGGCCAGTGGCACAGGCCAAATGTAGGGCGGTCCTGTGAGAGTGACAGGACTTTTTAAAACATGTAACTGTAAGCATTAATTAGCATGTTATTTCTCTGTCTTCAAAACAAATATGTAATTTTCTTGTGAAGAAAGTACATTTGTTAGCGCTTATTACCACATTAATGAAAGAGCAGGCTATTTAATAGAAAAGCCTTGGCTTTTGGATTCAGTTTAATTGGGGCTTAAAATTTACTGTAAGCTCTGTCACTTAGCTGTTATTTAGCCTTTCTTTGCTTCAATTTCCTTATCAATAAAATATATAAGAGAATAGTAGCTAGCCCACAGAACACTGCTGTGATGCTTACATAAGAATCTATGCACAGCATTTAGAACACTTTCTAACACAAATAACAGCTCAATAATTTTTAGATATTACTACTTACAAAGACTTTTTTTTTTTTTTTTTTTTTTTTTTTGAGACGGAGTCTCGCTCTGTCGCCCAGGCCGGACTGCGGACTGCAGTGGCGCAATCTCGGCTCACTGCAAGCTCCGCTTCCCGGGTTCACGACATTCTCCTGCCTCAGCCTCCCGAGTAGCTGGGACTACAGGCGCCCGCTACCGCGCCCGGCTAATTTTTACAAAGACATTTTAATTAAGTAAAATGATACAATCATATCTACATTGAGGTATCTATTAAAGATTAGATGTATCGTTGTATTTCAGTCATTCTCAGATGCTCATTTTCTCACTATTCTCTTATATAAGCTACTATTCTCTTATATATTAACATCTCCTAACATTGGAATACTGTTTACAATTCATTATTTATTACATTTATAACTGGCAACATTTTAAACATTATCTTATTGATATATAAAGTAACGTGGCATCACCCAATCCGTGATGCCTTACATTAAGTGGGATACAGTTCATAGAACAGGCAGTTCTACTCATATAATTGGCACCTAAATAAAGTACTGTGGAAAAAGAAGGCAAAAAAAAAAAAAACAACAAATTTTTAAAACAAAGTAATTCTTACTTTAATTTTCAAAATAAAATAATCCAAAGAAAACTCAGGATTCAAATGAATAGGTATGGCTCATTTTTTTCAATACTTACAGAATGTTATGTAAATTAGGTATTTGCAATGATTAATAGTAGTATTTGAGACTGTCATAAGTTTCTGAAATGGCAGTTAAAGGTTATCTTTCACTATTTTCTAACTTCAGAATTGCTTTTGTTTAAAAAAAAAAAAAGGAATAAAAGATCCAATTGGGATTCAGTCCTAATGCTTCCATTTTAAATCTCAGCTTGCTCAGGCTGGGCAGGTAAACATGAAGTTGTTAAGGGTGGAAGAGTCCTGAGAGATGGTGGAATGTGTCTGCTACATAATAGGTATTCAGGTTATGCTTGATGAATAACTGGATTGAAAGAATGCATACATACAGTTGGGAAGTTTATTATGAAAAAAACATAAATTAAAGCAGTGCTTTTGGAATAGTGATAATCACTTATATTTGCTCATTTTCATTTTCATGAGGACACTGATAAACTAAAATAATTAATTTAAAATTGTTTGCTTATATGTAATAAAACTATAATAAAAACCTATTTATATACTAAAATCTATGCATAATAAAATAATCAAGCACAAATAAAAATATTCCCTCTGCCTCTGAAGAGGCTAAAAGTTCACAGAATATACCAATAAACAAAAAAATAAAAATAAGGCCAGGCACAGTGGCTCACACCTGTAATCCCAGAACTTTGGGAGGCCGAGGCGGGGGGATCACCTGAGGTCAGGAGTTTGAGACCAGCCTGGCCAACATGGTGAAACCCCGTCTTTACTAAAATATACAAAAATTAGCTGGCCATGGTGGCACACATCTGTAATCCCAGCTACTCAGGAGGCTGAGGTGGGAGAATCACTTGAACCTGAGAGGCAGATTGCAGTGAGCCAAGATCATGCCACTGCACTCCAGGCTGGGCAACAGGGTAAGACTCCATCACAAAAATAAACAAACAAGCAAAGAAATAAATAATAAAATAAAATAGAAACTGAGAATTATTTTTTCTTTGCAAGATTTATATTTCTTCTTTTCCCAAGGATAATTTCATTAATAAAACACATTTACTAGAAGTTTTAAACATACTGATCATTTATACATCACGGATAAGAAAAAATATCACAATACCCCTGCCAGAAAAGAAGAAATGTTATATTTTGTACACATATTTGGCTTACAAACACCATAGATTGTTTGTGTGTATGTATAATCAAACCAACTTTTTTTCAGAGTACATCTTCACACCTCAACATACATCTGTATCTACTGACATCTGCAAAGGTCCCATATTGTCCCATCCTATGGATGCACTGAAATTTATTGATAAATTTATAAAATTTATAAAATCCATTATAAGGGGTTTTCCAAATACATTGCTATTTTAAGCAGTGCTGAGAAAAACAAATTGCATGTATCTCTATTTCCTAGAGATATTTTAGTATAATGGAATTGATGGGTGAAGGGCACATACATTTTTACAGTGTGATACTTACCAACAAATTGTCTATTTGAAAAGTCATCAGAAATGTAAACTTTCAACAGCAGTATATGTACTGCTACCCTTTACCCTCACAAATTTGTGGATAGAAAATAGTATTTCATTCCTTTTTTAACTTAAATACCTTCTCCTCCCAGGAACACTAAATATTTTTTCCCATGTGCATAGGTTGCTTGAATATCTGAAAAAAAAATGCTTTGCTCTATTTTAAATGAGAGCTCTTGTTTATTTGAAGAATTCTCTGTAAAATGAAAATCACTTTTTTATCTAATATGTATATACACATATTGTCTTTTAATTTTTTCTTATAAACTGGATTTTTTTTATTTTGCTAAATCGACCTTCAGAATGTGTGCTTGTGATATTTGTAGGAATATAAACATGAATCAATATAAGTAGGCATTTGTGGTTTTTTCTGTTATCTCTTATTTTGTGCATTTAAAGTTTTTAATCTACATTCCATAACGAACTTATTTCTGTGACATAAAAATCTAGCCAGATTTCTCCAAATAGTTAGCAGGCACTTCATTTATGAGTAATTCATCTTTTCCTACTAATATGAAATGTCACCATTATCCAATTCTATTAGATTGGTGCAAAGGCAATTGCAGTTTTCGCCATTACTTGTAATTGCGGCAAAAACCGCAATTGCTTTTGCACCAACCTAATAAATTCTTACACATATTGGTGTGTTCCTGGATTTTCTAACCTGTTCCATTCACTGATTTGTTGTTTCAGCTGTTAGTAAATAACTTGTGGAAATTAACAGCACATTTTCATATCTAGAAAGGCAAGTCTTTTTTGACTCCATTTCAAAAGTTTTCTTAATGTCGTCACAATAGTAAAAGACAGCATGAGTAATTCAAAAATATTAACACTTTGATAACTTTATTTGGATTATGTAAAATTTATAAACATAGAAAGAGCTCAGAACTTTAGAAAAATGTGTCTTTCTATTCAAGAACACAGACCATCTTCCCACTTCAAAGTTTCCCTCTAAGGTCCCTCAGTGAAAACCAAATTGACATAGGTGTCCATTGATATCAAATAAATATTGGATTTTTATCCAAAGAATTTTTAGTCAGGAAGTTGATATATTATGGAAATGATTTCTCTCATTATGCACCTTTCCATAATGTATGTAACATTATGCTTTAAAACGTGTACATTAAAAATAAAACGCTGTACATGCTGAATTTTATTAGTGAAATCACTTTAAAATGATTTATAAAGAAGCAGCATGGTGAGTGATTGGAAACCAGCTGAAGTTTTGTTTTTGTTTTGCTGCTTGTGAAAATGACCTGGGTGCTCGCCCCTGCCAAGGTTTCCACATCCCAGGTGCGGCTGAGCCTGCCAGGAAAGAAAGTCCAGCCCCTTTGGTGACAGGACTCGCCCCCCTCACCTCTGCACCCCTTTCCGCCACCCCATTCACCCCCACACCTCACCCCCACCTCCAGTCCTCTATCCCATTGAACCCTCACCCCATCTCCCCACCCCACACCCCCTACCCCCCAAGCCTTCATTCCGTCCACCTCAGCCCATTCACACCCCCACCCCATGCACCCCCTACTCCCCACTCCCATCCCCCAACTCACTCCACACCCCGCCACCCCATATACCGCCACTCCCCAGGCCCCGCTCCACTCACTCCCACCCCAGCCAGGCACCCCCTAGCCCCCGTCCATACCCCGAGCCCCGGACCATCCGCCCCGCAGCCCTCAGCCTGGAAAGGGGTACTTCTCCACATCCACAGGCCTCCTCCCGCAGCCCCGGCTCCCGGCCCCCATTACCTTTCCTTCCTGTCTCTCTTATTGATGTCATAACGCGTGAGCAGAACGAACTTCAGTTCCTCCAGATCACGATAGAAGACAGCTCTGTGGATCCCCTTCAGATGATACGGTTTAATGGGGTATTGGGGAAATAAGAAGCCATCCGAGCACAAGCGGTCCCTGAGGGTGGGCCACCTCTTCGGCTCCTTGTCATCCATAATGGTCGGCTGCAAATTGTAGCCTGCAGCCGTATTTCAGCTCGCCTTCGGGGATCGCCGCCTCCGAAGAGCAACAACAGGCAAAGCAGTCTGTCCACGGACCTTCGCACAGACTCTCAGCGCCTCCCGCCTCTCAGCAGAAACGCCCAACAGAAGGGTTAGAACCAGCGAGCACGCGCACCTTAGCCGGCCCTGCCCAACAGGCCCGAGGCAGAGAAACCGCCCTAGCAGCTCTCGCGCGCCCAGTGCAGGCGGCGGTTGCTGCGGAGGTGCCGCGGGAGGGCGGGGCTCCCTGGAGCGCGAGGCGCGCCCTGCCCCAGGGCCTGTTTAACTGTCGCCCGCGCGCTCTTCTCTTCCACAGGCTCCCGACGCTCGGAGCCCCCCGCGCTGGGCCCTCTGCAGCCCAGGGATGGGGTTGAGTGGTGCTTCTCCGCCTAGTGCCACCGCTGGGCCCACAGCCCGACATCGCCACTGCGTCGCCCCCGGGGTCCGCGCTGATGGGTGCGAGGCGGGAGGACGGGATCTGGGGTTGCCACAGCTGCAGCCAGCGCACCACTTGCAGGCGGCACTGCAGCTCGGGCTCCGGCGGGGGCTGGCGGGGCTCCCGTGGGATGGCCTCCTGAGCCCTGAGTGCGCCGCCATCCGGCCGGAGGGTGCGCGCCTCCTGCACCCCCGGCCGAAGCCCATGCCCGGCGCTCCTGCCGCAGACTGCCTGACTTGCCGCGGCCAGGCTGGCCCCGGGGTCCGCGCGGCTGGAGGCGCAGGCCTGGTCGGGGATTCCCAATCCTCGGGGACCCCTGCTCCATGTGCTGGTGGCGGCTGCAGCTGCAGCGCCCGTGGGCTGACGTGGCTTCCCGGAGCTGCGGCCGGCCAGCGCCCAAGGGCCCACAGGCTGCGCTGCCCTTGCCAGCTGCTTCTGACCCGCGCCCGGAGCGCAGGACCTGGCGCTTGGCACTCTGCAGCCACCGGGATGAGGCTGAGCGCCGGTTTTCGGCCTCGTGGCGCCGCTGGGGCCACAGCCTGACTTCACCACCCCGTCGCCCAAGTCCTATGATGGGCAGGTGTGAGGAGGGGCAATCGGGGTTCCCAAGGCTGCTGCCTGCATGCCACTCCGTGAGGAAGTTGAAATACATGGTCTCTAAGATTCCTTCCAGCTCTTCACCTCATGAGACATATAAATCAAGTAACATTCGTTATTGTGATTAGAAAAGCTGCATTTACACACGTTAGCCACTAGATGGGGACGTGCGATTGTTACAATGCTGAAGGTTTCCCGTATTTCTTTATTTTTTATTTGGCCGCTAGAGGGCACGCCTGCACTGCACTTAAAGTTGACTACTTTCAAGGAAAGACAAAGGAATTCTTGGATTTCTCCATTTTCCTCATCACCTGTGCTTATCAGAGAATTCCAGGGGCAAGCTACCCTTTCCAATTCATCACTAACTTATAAACAAAATTCTAAGGAGTAAGGAATGCTTCTTACTTACTTCCTATAACATACGTAAGAATGAACGCTCAAAATAAAAGTAATTTATTTAAAACTTGTGTTGAGTAATTATAACTGCAAAATTTTTGCTCATGTTTTTCATATGCTGTTCATTTGCAAATTATTAGAAATCTACATATTCTGTTCATCTCAGCATTATTTATAACAGGGAAAAATTAGACACTAGCCAAAAATCTAAAAACAGGGAACAGTAAGGAAAAAGCAAATGGTTCTTTAAATCATCATCACTAAAAGTGGTTGTGACTTAAAATAATGACATAAAAGATGCTTCTACGTTGTTGAGTAAAACATCAAGATAAATTTAAAATTCTATTTCGAGCTTAACATATTCATTTAAAAAGAGAAAAGAAATTTTAGAGAGTTTATCTTGTTGGATTATCGGATGTTATTTTTCTCTTTTTAATGCCATATACTTTTCAAATTTTCAGTGGGCTGGTATTACTTTTGTATTTAAAAAAGAAAAATATAAGGAAAAAGAAACCTGTCACACACTTTCTAGTGGATTTTACTGATCAGTCATCTCTGTATTTCTGGCATCAGCAAACTGAGCCAGAAACTCAGTGCCTCCCATTTCTTTCTTTTTTTTTTTTTAGACGGAGTCTTGCTCTGTTGCCCAGGCTAGAGTTCAGTGGCTCAAACTTGGCTCGCTGCAACCTCTGCCTCCCCGGTTCAAGTGATTCTTCTGCCTCAGCCTCCCAATTAGCTGGGATTACAGGTGCCCGCCACCACACCCGGCTAATTTTTGTATTTTAGTAGAAACGGGGTTTCACCATCTTGACCAGGCTGGTCTCGACTCCTGACCTTGTGACCCACTGGCCTCTGCCTCCCAAAGTGCTGGGATTAACAGACCTGAGCCACCGCGCCAGGCCAAGTGCCTCCCATTTCTTGTATTCACCTTTAAAACTCCTGCAATGAAGGACTCCCTCCTCCCTCATCTAACCTATTATGTGTGTGGTGAGTTCTGACTATGATATCATTCCTGATGTGAAACCGAAGTCTCCCTCTTCTAATTCCATCCACTGGTTCAGTTCTGCCTTCTGACAGAGTCCACGCCAGACTTCACATTTCTCCCAATCGTCTTTGTCCTACAAGGGCTTTCTATTCTTCAAGCTAAAGAGATACCAGTGATTCCATTCATTCATTCAGTTAACATTTAGGGGCCACATCTTGTGCTATGTCCTGAGATTTGCCAATGAGCAGAGCTCAGAGTATTGAAAAGACAAACACATACACCAGGCATTTTACTATGCTGTGTTGTGTGCATGACAGGAGCACACAGGGCATGCAGGCACCAGTGAGAAGGGCCATTTACCAGACTTGAGAGGTCAGCAAAGGTACTCTGAGGAAACACCTTCTAAACTGAGAGCTGGAAAGAGTGAGACAGGAAAGCGTAAGAGGTAGCGTTCTGAGGAGGAAATCTCCGAGGTGGGACAGGGATGCGTGTGGAGAGAATGCCCTTCCCATCCCCACTCTTCATGAAGTCTGTACTCTATCAGGGTCTCTCTGCCCTGTGAGCTGCTTGAGGACAAAGACTGTTTTATAAAAATTTTTATTTCCTCCCTCTGTCTTCCTTGAACACCTAGCCCAGTGCCTGGAACATAAGAAACCATAATGAATTTTTGTTGGATGAGTGAAGAGTGCTGAGTAGAGCAGAAATGTCACATGCCTCAGTTTAAATATGGGTCATCAGTTTTCTTTCTTTTTTAACATAGAAGTCAAGACTTGATGATCTCTTACAGCTTCAAGATACCATTAAAGATATAATCATCCTCATGTACTTGAGCTTTGTTTTCACCCATTATGTTATGACTGCTGTCCATTGTTCCATGACACAATTCTCCATCTTTCTTCATTTTCTTCCATTTCAATTAACTCATTTATTTACATATGGGAATGGAACATATAAAATCCACAAGTAAGACTTCCCAGATCCTCAGCTTCTTTCTCTGGCATTAGCCACTGTTTCTAGTTTCATGAGCATCTGCTATGGTTTGAATGTATCCCCTCCAGAAATCAAATATTACATATGTGATAGTATTAAGAGTTGGGGCCTTTTGGAGGTGATTAGGCTATGAGGACTCTGCCTTCATGAATAGGATTAGATATGCTTAGAAAAAGGCATGATGGAGGAAGTTAGACTCCTTTTGCCCTTCAGTCTCCTGCCATGTGAGGACACAGCACTCCTCCTCTCTGGAAGACGCAGCCTTCAAGGCGACATCTTGGAAACAGAGACCAGACCCTCACCTGACAATGAATCTAATGGCCCCTGGATTTTGGACTTCCCTGCCTCCAGAACTGTGGAAAAAAACAAATTTCTGTTCTTTATAAATTACTCAGTCTATGGTATTCTCTCATAGCAGCCCAAAACAGACAAGACTCTAGGAAATCAATTTGTATTCAGCACATCAACAAAATTCTTTACAAATGGGACTCCCCCCAATAGGTGGGTGTCACTAAAGAGAGGTGCCCATAAGCATGAGACAATGACCACATGGCATGAGCAACGAACTACGATGAATGAGCACATGTTACCACCACTAAAGACAAAACTTACATGACTAGATGACAACAAAATAATTTCTTATAATGAATTTCTCATTGTATTTTTTCTTAACCTTCCCTCCATTTAGTCAGGAATCTGGCTCTGACTCACACCTGAAGGACAGACAAGGACTTTTGTTTCCAAAAGCATAAACTGAAAGGAGAACTCACAGAGCCTACAGAAAAGAGAAAAGACATTTGTCAACAGAGAGTGTTTATTTATCTTTTTCAACTGGAGGGAAAGAGCAGGGATGAGGAGAGGAGATGCCTTCGGTATTGGAAAAAAACAATATTGTAGGGTTTTCCATCCCGGTACTAACAAAATTATAAAGGCCAATAAGAAATGACTGATAGCAATAAAACAAGGAAAGGGGCATAGCCTAATACAGTAAAGAAACTGGTGACTCAGAGAAAGGAAAAGAACATTCTGGAGCAAAATAGAGAGGGACAGCATTTAGCTCCTAAATTCCTGTTCCATCCTCCAGCCCCACCCTCCACATCCACCTCCAAATCCGGTGATTTTGAGCATAGTGAAGCACACTGACACTGAAGGGTGTCCTTATACGATCCTCCCCTTGCTGGTGACTGGTGGAAACAGATGCTGGGGAGAAACAGGAGAAACAAGGTGGAGGGACATCAGGGTGCACTTCCTCTAAGAGAAGTCAAGGCTACACATGGAATGAGGAAAGCAATCCAATGCCCAGGGGAGTCCTCATGGTACTGAAACAGGAAGAGCCATCTGTTGCCCAAGCATTCTAACCAATGCTCAGAGCCCTCAGCTGCCCTTTCCCTCTACTGTCTCCCCATTCCCTTGGGCCACCAGGAAAAGTGGAGATGTTAATGGGCTCCAATCAAAGGCCACCATGAACACACCTGTAGTTGAAGAAGTGAGTTATTACTGGTTAAGTGAAGGAGAATACAAACTACAGGAAACGGTGTGGTGTCTCACTAAGAGGACGTCAGAAAGGACTTAGAGGATTTGGGGTTGTGTTAGGCAATAATCTGGGAGAAGGGTTTAAGGAAATGGGGCTTTGTTCTGAATTGGGTGTTGTCAGGAAGTGGGGGTAATTCTAGCATAGCAGGGTATCTTAATAAATCTTATGTAGAAAGATGTAAACCTGTATTAAAGCCTTAATGGGTTAAGGCTATAATTGGTAAAGAACGTTAAAGCTGTAGTTGGTGAAGAAACAGTAGTTACTCATCTTAGCTAGAATAGAGAGACATTGGTCATTTGTGTGATATGAACAATGCTCATGCTTTGCTCATGCTCAGACATGATTATGAAGACGTCTTGTTTTTGTCTTAAGTATTGGCACAAAATGATATGGTATGAAGCAGATGTTCTATGGAATTGTTTATGCTCACAAGAGAACATCAACATCCATCTGTGGGTGCCAGGCAGCTCACAGCATCGCCAATGCCCAGCAGATAGGACCAGGTCAACTCCTGTCTGCCAGACACACCTCTTCTCTTTCTCAGAGGAACACAAAATACCCAATGCTCATTCTGTAGCTCAACAGGAAAACACATTCTCAGGTGAGCTGGAAAGAAAGTCGCTCATCTAATAATGACACAATTTTAAAAGACTGGTCAATTCAACTACATCAAAGACAAACAAAACAAAATTTTTTGCATGGCAAGAAAAGACTACCACCACAGTCAGAAAACAAATGAAAGAGTGGGAAAATAGGTTTGCAACTTATATCATAGACAAAGGGGTGCTATCTCTAATATACAAATAGTTCTTACAAATTTAGGGGAAATAAACCAACAATATATTGAAAAAATTAAAAAGATACACAAAGAGATTTCATAGGAAAATAATTGGAAGTTGATCTTAAACACATGAAAAGTTACGCAACATGGCTCATAAGAAGATAAGTGTAAATTAAACATATTTCTATGCTCTGTTGTTAGGTGCATACACACATGCAGGATTGTCATATCTTCTTGGAGAATTGACTCCTTTTTCTTAGGTAATGTCCTTCTTTATCTATGGTAACTTTTATTGCTCTTTAAGGCTGCTCTGCCTGAAATTAATAGAGATATGTTGGGGGTGTTTTGATAAGTGTTAATATGGTATATCTTTCTGTATCCTTTTAATTTATGCAGGTGCATCTTTATATTTAGAATGTGTTTCTTGTAGACTACATATAGTTGAGTCCGACTTTTTAATCTACACTGACAATCTCTTTTATTTTATTTCTTTCTTCCTACCTTTTATTTTAGGTTCAAGGGGTACATGCGAAGGTTTTTTTTTCTCATATGATCTTTTATTATACTTTAAGTTCTAGGGTACCTGTGCACAACGTGCAGGTTCATTACATATGTATACATGTGCCATGTTGGTGCACTGCACCCATTAACTTGTCATTTACATTAGGTGTATCTCCTAATGCTATCCCTCCCCCCTCCCCTCACCCCATTGACAGGTCCTGGTGTGTGATGTTCCCCATCCTGTGTCCAAGTGTTCTCATTGTTCAATTCCCACCTATGAGTGAGAACATGCAGTGTTTGGTTTTCTGCCCTTGCAATAGTTTACTCAGAATGATGGTTTCCAGCTTCATCCATGTCCCTACAAAGGACATGAACTCATCCTTTTTTATGGCTGCATAGTATTCCACAGTGTATATTTGCCATATTTTTTTAATCCAGTCTATCATTAATGGACATTTAGGTTGGTTCCAAGTCTTTGCTATTGTGAATAGTGCCACAATAAACATACGTATGCATGTGTCCTTATAGCAGCATGATTTATAATCCTTTGGGTATATACCCAGTAATGGGATCACTGGGTCACATGGTATTTCTAGTTCTAGATCCTTGAGGAATTGCCACACTGTCTTCCACAATGGGTGAACTAGTATACGGTCCCACCAACAGTGTAAAAGTGTTGCTATTTCTCCATATCCTCTCCAGCACCTGTTGTTTCCTGACTTTTTTAATGATTGCCATTCTAACTGGTGTGAGATGGTATCTCATTGTGGTTTTGATTTGCATTTCTCTGATGGCCAGTGATGATGAGCATTTTTTCATGTGTCTGTTGGCTGCATAAATGTCTTCTTTTGGGAAGTGTCTGTTCATATCCTTTGCCCGCTTTTTGGTGGGGTTGTTTGATTTTTTCTTGTAAATTTGTTTGAGTTCATTGTAGATTCTGGATATTAGCCCTTTGTCAGATGAGTAAGTTGCAAAAATTTTCTCTCATTCTGTAGGTTGCCTGTTCACTCTGATGGTAGTTTCTTTTGCTGTGCAGAAGCTCTTTAGTTTAATTAGATCTCATTTGTCAATTTTGGCTTTTGTTGCCATTGCTTTTGGTGTTTTAGTCATGAAGTCCTTGCCCATGCCTATGTCCTGAATGGTATTGCCTAGGTTTTCTTCTAGGGTTTTTATGGTTTTAGGTCTGACATTTAAATCTTTAATCCATCTTGAATTAATTTTTGTATAAGGTGTAAGGAAGGGATCCAGTTTCAGCTTTCTACATATGGCTAGCCAGTTTTCCCAGCACCATTTATTAAATAGGGAATCCTTTCCCCATTTCCTGTTTTTGTCGGGTTTGTCAAAGATCAGATGGTTTTAGATGTGTGATATTATTTCTGAGGGCTCTGTTCTGTTCCATTGGTCTATATCTCTGTTTTGGTACCAGTACTATGGTGTTTTGGTTACTGTAACCTTGTAGTATACTTTGAAGTCAGGTAGTGTGACACTTCCAGCTTTGTTCTTTTGGCCTAGGATTGTCTTGGCAATGCAGGCTCTTTTTTGGTTCCATATGAACTTTAGAGTAGTTTTTTCGAATTCTGTGAAGAAAGTCATTGGTAGCTTGATGGGGATGGCATTGAATCTATAAATTACCTTGGGTAGTATGGCCATTTTCATGATATTGATTCTTCCTATGCACGAGCATGGAATGTTCTTCCATTTGTTTGTGTCCTTTTTCATTTCATTGAGCAGTGGTTTGTATTCTCCTTGAAGAGGTCCTTCACATCCCTTGTAAGTTGGATTCCTAGGTATTTTATCCTCTTTGAAGCAATTGTGAATGGGAGCTCACTCATGATTTGGCTGTTATTGGTGTATAGGAATGCTTGTGGTTTTTGCACATTGATTTTGTATCCTGAAACTTTGCTGAAGTTGCTTATCAGCTTAAGGAGATTTTGGGCTGAGACGATGGGGTTTTCTAAATATAAAATCATGTCATCTGCAAACAGGTTAATTCCTATAAACCAAGCTGACCTAATAGCCATCTATTTGGCTATTTAAGGTTAAATATTGTTTAACCTTAAATATGACATTTAAGGTTAATATTGTTATGTGTGAATTTGATCCTGTCATTGTCATAATGTTAAGTGGTTATTTTGCTCATTAATTGATGCAGTTTCTTCCTAGCATCGATGGTCTTTACAATTTGGCATGGTTTTGCAGTGGCTGGTACCGGTTGTTCCTTTCCATGTTTAGTGCTTCCTTCAGGAGCTCTTGTAAGGCCGGCCGGGTGATGACAAAATCTCTCAGCATTTTCTTTTCTGTAAGGGATTTTATTTCTCCTTCACTTATGAAGGTTAGTTTGGCTGGATATGAAATTCTGGGTTGAAAATTCTTTTCTTTAAGAATGTTGAATATTGGCCCCCACTCTCTTCTGGCTTGTAGAGTTTCTGCTGAGAGATCTGCTGTTAGTCTGATGGGCTTCCCTTTGTGGGTAACCCGAACTTTCTCTCTGGCTGCCCTTAACATTTTTTCCTTCATTTCAACTTTTGGTGAATCTCCAAGACAATTATGTGTCTTGGAGTTGCTCTTCTCAAGAGTATCTTTGCGGTGTTCTCTGTATTCCTGAATTTGAATGTTGGCCTGCCTTGCTAGGTTGGGGAAGTTCTCCTGGATAATATCCTGAAGAGTGTTTTCCAACTTGGTTCCATTCTCTCCGTCACTTTCAGGTACACCAATCACATGTAGATTTGGTCTTTTCACATAGTCCCATATTTCTTGGAGGCTTTGTTCGTTTCTTTTTACTCTTTTTCTCTAAACTTCTCGCTTCATTTCATTCATTTGATTTTCAATCACTGATACCCTTTCTTCCACTTGATTGAATCGGCTACTGAAGCTTGTGCATGCATCATGTAGTTCTCATGCCATGGTTTTCAGCTCCATAGGGTCATTTAAGGTCTTCTCTACATTGCTTATTCTAGTTAGCCATTTGTCTAATCTTTTTTCAAGGGTTTTAGCTTCTTTGTGATGGGTTTGAACATCCTCCTTTAGCTCAGAGAAGTTGGTTTTTTTGTTTGTTTGTTTGTTTGTTTGTTTGAGAGGGAATCTCTGTCACTCAGGCTGGAGTGCAGTGGCACGATCTCAGCTCACTGCAAGCTCCACCTCCCGGGTTCTGGCCATTCTCCTGCCTCGGCCTCCCAAGTAGCTGGGACTACAGGCACCCGCCACCATGCCCAGCTAATTTTTTGTATTTTTAGTAGAGACAGGGTTTCACCATCTTAGCCAGGATTGTCTCGATCTCCTGACCTTGTGATCCACCTGCTTTGGCCTCCCAAAGTGCTGGTATTACAGGCATGAGCCACCACACCCAGTGGAGAAGTTTGTTATTATTGATCATCTGAAGCCTTCTTCTCTCAACTCCTCAAATTTATTCTCCATCCAGCTTTGTTCCATTGCTGGCGAGGAGCTGCGTTCCTTTGGAGAAGAGGTGCTCCGATTTTTAGAATTTTCAGCTTTCTGCTCTGGTTTCTCCCCATCTTTGTGGTTTTATCTACCTTTGGTCTTTGATGATGGTGACGTACAAATGGGGTTTTGGTGTGGATGTCCTTTCTGTTTGTTAGCTTTCCTACTAACAGTCAGGACCCTCAGCTGCAGGTCTGTTGGAGTTTGCTGGAGGTCCACTCCAGACTCTGTTTGCCTGGGTATCACCAGCGGAGGCTACAGGACAGCAAATATTGCAGATCGGCAAATGTTGCTGCCTGGTCCTTCCTCTGGAAGCTTCATCTCAGAGGGGCACCCGGCTGTATGAGGTGTCAGTTGGCCCCTACTGGGAGGTGCCTCCCGGTTAGGCTACTTGGGGGTCAGGGACCCACATGAGGAGGCAGTCTGTTCATTCTCAGATCTCAAACTCCGTGCTGGGAGAACCACTACTCTCTTCAAAGCTGTTAGACAGGGACGTTTTCACATGTGAAGGTTTATTATTACATCAGTAAACTGCATGTCATGGGAGTTTGGTGTACCGGCCATTTTGTTCCACAAGTAATAAGCAGAGTACTCAATAGGTAGTTTTTCAATCCTCATCCTCCTCCCAACCTCCACCCTTAAGTAGGCCCCGGATGTCTGATGTTCCCTTCTATGTGTCCATGTATACTCAGTGTTTAGCTCCCACTTATAAGTGAGAACATTCATTATTTGGTTTTCTGTTCCTGTGTTAATTCATTTAGGATGATGGCCTCCAGCTCTATCCATGTTGCTGCAAAGGACATTGATTGCATTCCTTTTTATGGCTCTGTGGTATTCCATAGTGTATATATAGTCTATCATTGATGGGCATCTAGTTTGATTCCATGTCTTTGCTATTTGTGAATTGTGCTGCGATGAACATAGGCCTGTATGCGTCTTTATGGTAGAATGCCTTATATCTCTTTGGGTATACACTCAGGAATGGAATTGCTGGGTTGAATGGTAGTTTTGTTTTAAGTTCTTTGATAAATCTCCAGACTACTTTTCACAGTGGCTGAACTAATTTATGTTCTGACCAGCAGTGTATAAGCATTCTCTTTTCTCCACAACCTCTCCAGCATCTGTTATTTTTTTACTTTTTATAATAGCCATTCTGACTGGTGTGAGATGGTATCTCATTGTGGTTTTGATATTGAGTACTTTTTCATATGTTTGTTGGCTGTGCAGATGTCTTTTGAGAAGTGTCTGTTCATGTCCTTTGCCATTTTTAGTGGGGTTGTTTTTTCCTTGTTGATTTAAGTTCCTTATAGATTCTAGATATTAGACTTTTGTTAGATGCATAGGTTGTAAACATTTGCTTTCACTCTATAGGTTGTGTGTTTACCCTGTTGATAGTTTTTTTGCTTTGGAAAATCTCTGTCTTAGTTGGTGTATTTAGACCACTGGCATTCAAAATGATTATTGACATAGTTAGAGTAATATCTACCATATCTGTTATTGTTTTTCTATTTGTTGCCTTGTTATTTGTTCCTATATTTTTGTCTTCCACTCTTTTTTTGCCTTTTGTGATTTTAATTCCACATTTTATATGACCAAAAAATAATTACATTGTCAACATATTTCTGCTATGGTCTCAATATGTTCCCTTGAAATTTAATCACCAATATAAGAAGTGAGGCCCTTGGGAGATGATTAAGTCATAAGGGTGGAGCCCTCATTACTGGATTAGTGCTGTAATAAAATAGGTGAGAGGGGGCTATTCACCTTTTCCACCACACAAGGACACAGCAAGAAGGTACCATCTTGGAAGCAGAGAGTGAGCCCTTATCAGACACCAAATCTGCTCTTGCCTTGATCTTGGACTTCCCAGCCTCCAGAACTATGAAAAATAAATTTCTCATATTTATAAATTATGCAGTCTAAATTATTTTGTTATAGCAGCCCAAGTGGAGGAAGGCAATTTCTTTTAAAAAAAAATACTTTTCTTCTTATTTTTTTCACTTCTTTTAGTGTTTTCCTTAGATTTGCAATGTACATCTACAACTAATGCAAATCCATTTTCAAATAGCATACACTACTTCATGGGTTGTACCAAGTACCTTATAATAACAAAATAATACCAATTCCTGCCTCCTATCTCTTATATCACTATGTCATTCATTTCATTTATACATAAGCATATGTATTTATACATAAGTATATATGTTTCTGTGGATATATATACACATATATGAATACATAATTGAATACATTCTTGCTATTATTATTTTGAACAAACTGTTATCTGTTAGATCAATTTGGAATAAAAAATAAGTTACTATTTTATCTTATCTTCACTCATTCCTTCTTCAGTGCTCTCTGTCTTTATATAGATCCAAGTTTCTGACTTGTATGTTTTTCTTTCCCTTGGAAGAACTTCTTTCAGTATTTCTTACAAGGCACATGTACTACAATAAGTTCCCTCAATTTTTGTTTGTGTGAGAAGTCTGTATTTCTTCTTCAGTTTTGAGGAATAATTTTACAGGGTACAGAATTCCAGGTTGTTTATTTTTTTCTCTCAAGATGTTAAATATTTCACTTCACACTCTTCTTGTTTGCATGGTTTCTGAGGAGAAGGCAGATGTTATCCTTATCTTTGCTCCCTATAGGTAAGGTGGCTTTTTCCTCTGGCTTCTTTCAATAGTTTTTGTTTGTTTGTTTCTTGGTTTGTTTGGAACAGAGTCTCGCTTTTTCACCACGCTGCAGTGCAGTGGTGCAATGTCAGCTCACTGCAACCTTGCAACCTTCACCTCCTGGGTTCAAGCGATTCTCCTGTCTCAGCCTCCCAAGTAGCTGGGATTACAGGCGCCCACCATTACATCCAGCTAATTTTTGTGTTTTTGGTAGTGATGAGGTTTTGCCATGTTGGCCAGGCTGGCTCGAACTCCTGACCTCAAGTGATACACCCACCTTGACCTCTGATCAACCTGCCTTGGCCTCCAGTAGTGTTTTATTTATCTTTGATTTCTAGTTTGAATATGCTATACCTGGGTGGAATTTTTTGTCATTTATTCTTGTTGGTGTTCACAGAGCTTCCTGGATCTATGGTTTGGTGCCTGATATTAATTTGGTGAAAATCTCTGTCATTATTCTTTATTTATTTATTTATTTAAAAGGTGGGGTCTCGCTGTGTTGGTCAGGCTGGAGTGCAGTGGCCTTTCACAGGTGTGGTCAGCAAGGGAATTTTGACCTGCACCATTTCTGACCTGGGCCAGTTCTCCCCTCCTTAGGCAACCTGGTGTTCCCCCATTCCCTGGAGGTCACCATACTAATGCCAAACTTAGTGCAGACACCCAATCGGCATAGTGCACTACAGCCCAGAACTCCTGTACAGACTCAAGCAATCCTCCTGCCTCAGCCTCCCAAGTACCTGGGACTACAGGTGTGTGCCACCACATCTATTTATTTTTTGAGACAGGGTCTCACTCTGTCACCCAGGCTGGAGTGCAGTGGTGCAATCATGGCTCACTGCAGATTTGACCTCCCGGGCTTACATGATCCTTTCACCTCACCCCACTGAGTAGATGGGACCAGAGGTGTGCACCATGCACCCCTAATTTTTTAATTTTCTTGTAGAGATGGGGTCTCCCTATGTTGCTCAAGCTATTATTGTTTTAAATATTTTTTGTTTCTTTCTCTTCTCTTTGTTTCTCTTCTCTTTCTTGCATCCCCATTATGTGTATGTTATTTTTTTCATAGTTGTCGCACAGTTCTTGAATAGTCTGTTTCACTTTTTCAGTCTCTTTGTTCTTTGCTTTTCTGTCCTGGAAGTTTCTATTGATATATCCTCAAGCTTAGAGATTCTCTCTTCAGCCATGTCCATTACACTCATGGGCCTATCAAAGGTATTTTTCATCACTAGGACAGTGTTTCTCATCTCTAGCTTTTCTTTTTATTCTTTCTTAGGATTTCCATCTCTCTGCTTCGCGGGTTCTTGCATGCTGTCTACTTTATTCATTAGAGCCCTTAGTATATTAGTTATAGTTGTTTTAAATTCCCAGTCTGATAAATCTAACACTCCTGCCATATCTGAGTCTGGGTCTGATGCTTGCTCTTTTTCTTCAAACTTTGTGTTTTGCCTTTTAGTATGACTTGTAATTTTTTTCTTGACATCAGACATGAGGTACTGGGTAAGAGGAACTGCAGTTAGTAGGCCCTATAGTAATGTCGTAGTAAGGTGGCAAAGGACAGAAAAGTGATCACAGTCCTATGATTAGGTCTCAGCCTTTTAGTGATCCTCTGTCTCTGAAATGTTAACTTCACAAGTGCTTCTTGGTTTTCCCCCTTTGGATGGAACAGGACAGTTAGAGCTCTGTATACACCTAAAAAGCATAAGCAAATATTGAACTTTAGCCAATGTGTGCATGTTGAAATGTTTGAGGGGGGCAGGGAAAGTGTACTGATGTCTATAACTTACTTTGAAAGTCATCAAAAGACAAGATGGATTGATAGACAGGTGGAAGGATAGATGTACATGTGATAAGGAAACTATAGTAAAACATAAATTGTAAGGTCTAGGTGGTGAGTATACAGGTTTTCATTGTACTTTTTTTCCAACTTTTTTGTATGTTTGAAAATTTCATAATACAATGTTCAAAAAATAAGCCCAACAGCCTAAGGAGATAGGTCAGAGTCAGTAGGATGAAATTTAATGTCAGTGAAGGGCAAGTGGTCTCTTCAGGTGTAGATGCTCTTTTGCTTAGGTGAAGAATGAGGAAGTCATTTTCTGTCAGCTCTTCATATACATAAGGAATGGGTTGCACTCAAGGTAATTATCATGTTCTTCTGTAAGAGATGCTGAACTCATAGATGTTTCCGTAATCTCTGGACAAGGAATTGGGCATGCTATCCTACTCCAGGCCATTCACATCCTCTTAAGGTGAGATATCCCACTTTCTAAGAGACTTTGGCAAATGAGTCATATCAGTCAGGATGGGCTGAGTTTTGCTGCAATAACAAAAGACTCCCAAATCTCAGTGTCATCTCCCTCATATTCCACATCCGATGTGAGTTGGCTGTGGCTCGATCCATGTCGTTTTTACTCTGGGACACAAGCTGACAGAGTGGTTCTTATTTAGAGCATTCTATCTAGTAGCAGAGGGAAAAGAGACATGGCAAACACAGGCAGGCTTTTACAGAAGCCTTGTAAGGGGTCTATGATGCTCCTGCCCACATAGCATCGGCCAAAACAAGTCTGATGGCCAGGCCTTAGTTCAGCTAGATGTGAACACCCCATCCTCCAGCAGGAGGAGGCACAGCTGGTGATGACCAACGGTGACTGAATCTACCCCAAGGAGATTATCAGAATGATGTGAGGTCTAAGAAAGGTGAGGGAAGTAGGGGAGAGGTGGCAGAGGAATGACATGCTGGTTTTATTCAAACATTTTAGAAAATGCAAGACAAGATGTGCTCTGCACAGCTCCAGGGGCAAGCTGAAGACATTTCTACCAGCTAGGAGTCACAGGCTTCAGGTTGTCACAGGAAGCACATTCTGACAGGAAGGACTACCCAGCATTAGGGAACACCGAGGGCACGTTGTTACCTGGGCTGCTCCATGCGCCCAGGACAGTGATGACACTTGAAGACAGAGTTGCCTTCCATTCTCCCCCTCCCCATAAAATACTGGGCCCAGCCGCCCACACAGCAGTGACCTCCCTATCCCTGAAAAAATGTAAGCAGAGCCTGGGTGCTCCTGGACAGAGGGCTGTGGATGGAGCCCCTGCATCGCAGGGTGAGGCCAGACCACAGCAAGCCAGAGGAGGGTGTGTCTAACCCAGGGTACACGTAGGACAGATAACTTGGCAGGGATGCTGTGCTCCTTCTTGCTAACATGTGCCCCTCTCAAGCTGCCAGGAAAAAAAAAAAATCACATAATGAGGTTGCTAAGATCTACAGAAAGAATGAATCTTCTATCCATGAAATTGTGAAGAATGAAAAAGAAATTTGTGCCAGTTTTGCTGTCACACCTCAAAATGCAAAACTTATGGCTACAGTGTGTGAGAAGCGCTTAGTTAGGGTAGAAAAAGCATTAGATTTGTGAGTGGAAGATGTCAACAGAAACGTATTCTGATTGACAGCAACCGTGTAGCACCAGATTAACTTCATCTGGATTAAATTTGTTCACTGGCATCTATGTATAGGAAAAGACGTGGCAGATGTAGGGTTTGGTACTATCTGCAGTTTCAGGCATCTGCTAGGGGTCTTTGAAGATATCCCTCAAGGACACTCCATATAAATGAAATCATCCAATATGTACTCATTTTTAATCTACCCTTTTTCACTCCAAATAATTATCTTGATATATTTCTATGTTGTATCAATAATTTGTCCCTTTTTATTGCTGAGTAGTATTCCCTAGTGTGGCTATACACAGAGTGTTTACACATTCACCTGTTAATGGAAAATTGGGTGGTTTCCAGTTTGGGGATTTTACAAAAAGCCTGCTGTGAACACTTCTGAATACATCTTTGCATGAGCATATTTTTCTTATTTCTCATGTAATTACTATCAAACAAAAATATAAATCTGGATTCCATAAAAAGAGAATTTATTCAAAAGGATTGTTGTGGGGGTTGGGGGGGGACTATTACAATAAGGAGACAGTCTGACGATGTGATCCTCAAGTGTCTCAGAGGTTAGGCAAAGGGCTGACCTTGTATAGGGAGGCGTAAACATGGCTAGAAAGAACTGTTATGGGAAAGTGAGCTGAGCAAGAGTGTCACGATCGAGCAGGTCTTACCCTGCAGACAGCCTGTTCTCAGGAGGGACCCTCAGGAAGGCGGTGGGTTGGCACAAGCTGCGGGTGGGCCAAAGGTCAGGGGCTTGGAGAAGGAGAGAATCTGAACCAAGGTTTGGTTACAGGCATTTTGTTCTTATTGATCTGTGGGGACAAGCAGTCCAGCTAATCATTTATGATGTCAAGAATGGGAATTTAGAGGGTCTGTGTATGGTCTGGTCAGGAGGAGACATTCAGGATTCTTATTCAAGCTATATGGAAAGCCACTGGTTCTTTCCAGTAGGGTGTTTTCTGGAACAAAGGAGTGGAAGGATTCCTTAACCTTCACTATTTCTAGGAGCAAAGGGCTAAGGTACAACTCAATACTGTCAATAGTTAGGATTGAAATGGCTAGGTCATATGGTAGGAGTATGTTTAACTCTTCATACACTGCCAAATGATTTTCAATTGTAGTGATACTATTTTATAATCCCATAAGCAGCGTACAAGAATCCCAGGTCCTCCACATTCTTGTGAATACTTGGTATAATCAGTCTTCTTTGTCCATTCTAGTAGGTGTGAGACGGTGTCACATTGTGCTTGCAATTTGCATATCCTTAATGATTAATGATGTTGAGCATCTTTTCATGTCTTAATTTTCTGTCTGTATATCTTATTTGGTGAAGTGTCTGTTCAAATATTTTGTCCATTTAAAAAATTGAATTGTTTGATTTTATCTATTGATTTTAAGTGCTCTTTCTATATTCTGGATACAAGTCTTTTATCAAATATAGCCTCTGAAGATCTTTTCTTTCAGGCTGTAACTTAGCTTTTCAGAAAGTCTTTGGGAGCTATGGCTTAATGAAACACCTGTGCCAGGTTCTCCTCAGCACATCCCCCTGATCACAGCCACCCCCATAGGCTCTTTTTTTTTTTTTTTTTTTTTTTGAGACGGAGTCTTGCTCTGTCCCCCAGTGGTGTGATCCGGGCTCACTGCAAGCTCCGCCTCCCGGGTTCAGGTCATTCTCCTGCCTCAGCCTCCCGAATAGCTGGGACTACAGGCGCCCGCCAACATGCCCGGCTAATTTTTTGTATTTTTAGTGGAGACGGCGTTTCATAATGTTGGCCAGGATGGTCTCGATCTCCTGACCTCGTGATCCGCCCGCCTTGGCCTCCCAAAGTGCTGGGATTACAGGTGTGAGCCACTGCACCCGGCCATAGGTTCCATTTCTATATCGGTGGTGACCTTCTGTAAGCTAGACTGAAGTCCCAAGCTCCAGACCCACGTCTCCAGCTGCCCACTGTTCAATGCCCTTTGGATGTCCCATGCAAATTGGAGCTCACTGTCATCTCCCCAGACCCGCTGCTCCTCCAGAAGCCCTGTCTCCATGATCAGCCCTGCACCTACCAGGCTAGAGACCCAGGAGTCGGCCTTGTACCTGCTTCCTTCTCACTTCCACCTCCTGTCATCCAGAGCTGTCAGTTCTTCCTCCTGAACATCTATGAACACTCACCTTCTCCGCCAAGCACCGCACCATCATTGTTCTCACCCGCACCACCCACCCAGATACCTTTCCTTAGACAGGTGGCCAGAGAAAAACTTCTCAAATAGAAGTCGGGCCATGGCACGCCACTGAGGACCTTCCAGCGGTCTCCTGTGCACTTAAACAAGGTCCAGACTCCTTCGTGGGACAAGTAAAGCTCTTGATGATCTGGTCCTTGAGTAATGTGGGGGCCTCTTGCCCAGAGCCCCTCATACTCTTCAAAGCCGGCAGCCGAAGAGCTGAGCAGTAGCTGTCTGTGGAGTTCAGCCTCCGCTCCCTGCACGCCTGCCCTCTGCAGGGGATGGAGCACCGTTTCCCCACTTCCCCACCTGCGCCCAGCAGTGCAGGTGAAGGCCTGGCTGCTGGGAGTGGCTGGGAAACGCTGAGCTTTGGGGTCAGGAATGCCAGCTCCACTACTCACCGCCTGTGTCACCCTGGGAAAACAGCTCTGGCCCCAGGTTCTCCATAAGTAAAACAGGGTCACTCATCCCTCCCCTCCTCAACGACATATGTCAGAATCAGAAGCCACAAATCATTCTCTCCCACCCAGCACGCTGCCTTGGTCTCCTAGACCACTTTCCCCAACAATGGGAAAGGCGCCAGGCCCAGAACAGGGCCGAGACCGGATGAGGCCAGCGAAGCGCCCAGGGACAAACTTTCAGGCAGCGCCCACTCTCGGTCTCGGGCAATTGCAGGGTCCCTCCGAGAGCGACCGTCTCCAGAAAACGCGGCCGGCGCCTGCCTATGCCCTGAGCCTGAAGAGCCCCCGGCGCCGCCCGCCCCGCACTGGGCCCGCCCCTCCGGGATTGGTGCCCTGCTAGGGGTGGTTGCCTGTGACGTCACCGGACGCGCCCGCTTCTCGCTGGAGTGCGCACCGAGCGGCAGTGACTTCGCCGCTGCTGTAGTTCCCCGGCTGGATGCGGTGACTGGTGCCAGTGCTCAGGCGCCCGCTGCCCTTGACCTCCCGCCCCGCGAGCCCTAACTCAGCGCAGGAGGACCGGCTGCCGCCGCCGCCGCCGCCAGGTAGACCAGGCCTGGCTGGGTTAGGCCAGAAGGGTGTCCCTGGCGCAGGTCTCCCGCGGAGGGCAGAACTAGAACCAGGTTCCCGGCCGTTTCCGACCACACGGATGGGGCGGACCCATGTGAGCCCTCACTAATTGCAGGGGACGAAGCTGGGCATATGGGGAAACTGGGGGTTTCCAGGCGAGTGGACGGTGGGATGGGATCCGACGTGCACACCCACGTTTCAGGCTACTGTTTCCACCTCACGTCGCCGCCCCTTTGCTTATGGACTCTTGCAGAGTTGGATTGAGCTCGGACTGTGTGACATAGTGGTTGTTGCAGAAGCCCCAGGGCCACTTTCTGACTAGTACCTTGGGCACCTGACGTCATCCCTTTGAGTCTCAGTGTCCTCTTCTGTAAAGTGAGGGCGCTTTACCTGAGGGGATTGCTGTAAGGTTGGAATGAACCTGCATGTGTGAGTCATGTGGGAAGGGAACAGTCAATGGGGCCTGGGGTTCTCTTGGAGAGCTGGTAACCAGCCTCGTCCCTGAGGCAACAGCCAGAGGGCGCCTGTAGTTTCCCCACGCATGGCTGTTAGCAGGGCCTCTGCAGGATCTCCTGTGGGAGGTCCCTACTTCTCACTACAATCTTTAGGGCCTTTGGAGGATTTCCTATGGAAGGTCCCCACTTCTCACCACAACATTCTGGGTTAAAATGTCCTTGGTAGGAAGATGGGGCTGAAGCTAGATTTTCTTGCTTGCATTACAAGCTTCTGAACCAAGGACTTCAATGTCACCTGGACTTGGATTCACATCCCAGCTCCTTCCCTTCCTAGCTTTAAGACTGTGTAACCTTGGGCAAATCCCTTAACCGCTTTAAGCCTTAACTGTTTCATCTGTAAAATGGGACTAACAGTACCTACCTTCCACAAGCGTCAAGAATTAAATCAGGCCTGGCGCGGTGGCTCACGCCTGTAATACCAACAATTTGGGAGGCCGAGGCAGGCGGATCACAAGGTCAGGAGATCGAGACCGTCCTGGCTAACACAGTGAAACACCGTCTCTACTAAAAATACAAAAATTAGCTGGGCGTGGCGGCGTGCACCTGTAGTCTCAGCTGCTGGGGAGGCTGAGGCAGGAGAATGGCGTGAACCCGGGAAGCAGAGCTTGCAGTGAGCCAAGATCGTGCCACTGCATTCCAGCCTGGGCGACAGAGCGAGACTCCATCTCAAAAAAAAAAAAAAAGAATTAAATCGGACATTGTAGGTAGAGCACTTAATAGTTGGCATTCAGCGGCAGCAGTTACTGTTATGTTAGCATGTGGAGTGTCTGAGTGTGTGCACTTTGGCTCGAACAGCCTTTTGACAGTGGCACAGTTGGTGCTTGTGTAAGATAGCAGGGCAGAGAAGTCAAAACCCTCGGTTTTCTAGTCAAACTGGTGGGCCACAACAGTGGTGACCTAAGTCTAATGAGTCTTTCACTGAACAAGGCAGATTGAATCTCCAGGCGAGGACCAAGAGTCTGGGGCTCAGCTGCCTCAACATTTTTGGGCATAGAAGGCTGTACAATACAAACAGCCTTTGTTGTAAGAGCAAGGAACCATTCAGGGAAGGCACCATGTGGTAAGGAATAGTGGCCAGAATTGGATTCAGAACAAAACAAGAGAATAGTGTTTGTCTTTAAGTGGAGCCTTGGACTCAAAATAGGACCTGAGCTCTGTGGATAATTTCTTTTTTTTTTTTTTTTTTGGAGTTGCTCTGTTGCCCAGGCTGGAGTGTCGTGGCATGTTCTTGGCTCACTACAACCTCTGCCTCCTGTGTTCAAGTGATTCTCGTATCTCAGCTTCCCTAGTAGCTGGGATTACAGGCGCCTGCCACCAGTCCTGGCTAATTTTTTTGCATTTTTAGGGGAGACAGGGTTTCGCCATGTTGGCCAGGCTGGTCTTGAACTCCTGACCTCAAGTGATCCACCCACCTCGAACTCCCAATGTGCTAGGGATTTCAGGTGTGAGCCACTGCGCCTGGCCCTTGTGGATACTTTCTAGGTGATTTGAGGAGGAAAGGCACAGCCATGTCTCCTAAAGTTAACAAGCACTAAGCTTTCCCAAGTAGTGAAATGTCAAGCCTCTGCTTCTGTCACTTATTTGTTCATTCAGCAGAAAGTCACTGAGAGCCTTCTGTACACCAGGCACAGTGCTGGGCAGTGAAAGAGACAGACATGTCCCTGGATCCAGGGAGGAGATGACCAAGTGATGGCTGTCAGGCCCAGACCTTGCTGTTTGTCTGCAGCCTCTTCCCTCAGGCAACTTGTTCTCTATCAGGAGAAATGAAATAATTATTATCTGGAGAGGCAGGTGGGGGCGCTGCTCCTAGAAGACAAGGACAGCCTGGTAGAGGTTCTAGCTTGATCATGTGAGCAGTGGAAACCATTTTAAGTTGGAGGTTAACAGGACCAAAATAGCATTTAAAAAATGGCTTATGGCCACTGTGAAGCCAGTTTCACCAGCATCACTTGCCCATGCTGGGCTGCCACCCAGCTAATTCCTGGTCCTGCTCATTTAGCCCAGCTCAGCTCACATCACTTCCTCCAGAAACTAGACAAGGGTAGAGCCCCTGACCATCTTCACAGCATTAGTCCTGATAGCTGAATCTTACGTCACTTGTTAACATCTGTGACCTGTGCAGGGAGAATGGCAGGGCTGAGTTTCACCTACATTGTTTCCCCAATACCTACAGCAGAGCCAAGCACAGTGGGAACTTTCAGAAAGCACTGGTTGAAGGAACACTGGAATCCCTGGGACTTACTGCGTAGCATGTAGTAGTTGCTCCTGTAGAAAAGTTTCACCTTATGAAGAATAGCAGGTAAAATACAAGCCTGGACCACTTCCCGTGTGGTATGCAGGGAACGGTTGATGGGGCAAAGGGCCTTGGGCTATATAGCCCTAGGAATTTCAGAGATCCTGATGATGGCTCTGGGATCCTCCGTCTCCTGGATCCTGCATTTTTCTCTGCAGGCTCTGATGGTGGTGTCTGGTAGAAGGTTACTCACAGCTCTGCTGCAGGCTCAGAAGTGGCCCTTTCAACCCTCCAGAGACATGAGACTAGTGCAGTTCTGGGCACCCCACCTGGTGGGGCCTCACTTGGGCCTGGAGACAGGGAATGGTAGAGGGATTATCAACCTCAATGCCTTTGACCCCACACTCCCAAAGACAATGACGCAGTTCCTAGAGCAGGGAGAGGCCACCCTCTCAGTGGCAAGAAGGTAAGTAAGTGGGCAGCATCGCCCTGACACAGCTGCCCTGGTCCCCCCACATCCTCCCCGCTCTGGGAAACAGCACCAGCAGGTAGCTCTTTTGCAAGGGAGCAGAGTAACCCCACCTTTCCTTTTCTCCCATTCTCTTAAAAGATCCTTATAAATCTTATATAATAACATCTTCAGTTTTCAGAGGAGAAAACTGAGAGCTAGGGGAGGTGATTAACAATTTGAAGGCCATACATGTGGTGCTGGAACCAGGACTCTATACTTCATCACACTGCCTCCTCTGGGAATGAAGTCCTGGACTGACTGACGGGTCTGGGCCCGGGGGTCCTAAAAGGCATCTTATGCAGCTGGGGGAGTGATATAGACTCCCAGCTCCTACAAGGAGAGAGGACTGCAAGGAGGTTTTCTATAAGACACTTGGTTCCTGGGTTTGGACTAGATTAGGTGAGAGTGTCCCTGAAGCCTGGACTCCTATAGAATCTGGTCTAAGGAGCTGATGAACAATAAATTAAAAATACTTTAAGATGTCATTTTCATCTATTAAAATGGAAAAAAATACAAATGTTTCACAGCTCACAGTATTAACAGTATGTTCCCATATTGCCATAATCTGCAAAGATTGGAAAACTCCATGTCCCTCATTAGGGACTTGGGTATATCTCTATAGAGCAGTAATATGCAGCCACAAGAAATAAAGAGGACACTCTCTATGTATTGTTACATATTGTTAAGCAGAGATCTCCAAAGTCAGTTGTTTTTTTAAAAGATGTGAATAGTATGCTATCATTTGCATACAAAAGGGTGGGAGAAGAATATCCATAGAGTAGCTGCGAAGAGCCAGGGGAACGGGGTAACCGGAAGGGGAAAGGGAAACCTTTCCATGTATTCCAGTTTGTATCTTTTACATGGACATGAGTTACCTAAGGGGGAGAGGAAATCAACACTGGATAAATAAAAGCCCTGCTCTGATAGCAAAGGACAATAGTCAGTGATTTTCACAATGACTCTGATGGTTGATAGAGCTAGGAAATAGATTTCAGAAAGCAAAACCTTTAGCTGCTGCAGGATCTGCCCAGCCTGCCCGGGATTGCCCACCTGTTCCCAGCCAGACCCTCTCACCTGCTCTGGTCTCTACAGAGCCTTGGCTGCCCAGTTGCCAGTCCTACCACGGTCGGAGGTAACCTTCCTGGCTCCAGTCACATGGCCAGATAAGGTGGTGTGTGTGGGCATGAATTATGTGGACCACTGCAAAGAACAGAACGTGCCCGTGCCCAAGGAGCCCATCATCTTCAGCAAGTTTGCCAGCTCCATCGTGGGGCCCTATGATGAGGTGGTCCTCCCACCACAGAGCCAGGTCAGTGCCTCCCCACTGCCCTCCCTAGTCACTGGGCCCATCACAAGGGCATTCTGAGCTCAGTATTGAGCCTACTGGAGCCACCTCTCGCTCAATAGTGCATTCAACAGAAACTCTACAGGATTATACACACAGTAGTAACACTGGCCTTGGAAAAAAAAAGTTAATGTACGTGTTTTCCTGGTTACAAAAGCAATACACCTTCACTGTAGATAAAACAGAGATAAACATTTAAAAATTATGTCACCCATAATCCCACTGCCCATGGCTCAGAATATTAATGTTTTTCTGTCTACCTTCCTATTGTTTCTCCACTCCTGTATATGTTTATACTGTACATATACTTACCTTTTACTTAAGACTCCATCAGGAGCATTTTTTCATGCCATTAAATATTCTCCCTGACATATTTAGGTTACCTTGGAGTTTTGTGATGTACAGGGTAGTTTATATTCCTGAGTACCTTACTGCTGGATACTTGTTTCCAGTTTTTTGTTTCTATAAATAAATGTCGCAATGAACATCCTTATGTAGAAAAGACTTTGCGTGTCCATTAATATATTATTATTTCCTTTTTTTTTTTTTTTTTTGAGACAGAGTCTTTCTCTGTTGCCAGGCTGGAGTGCAGTGGTACAATCTTGGTTCACTGCAACCTCCGCCTCCTGGGTTCAAGTGATTCTCCTGCCTCAGCCTCCCGAGTAGCTGGGACTACAGGCGCATGCCACCACGCCCACCTAATTTTTGTATTTTTAGTAGAGATGGGGTTTTACCATGTTGGCCAGGATGGTCTCAGTCTCTTGGCCTTGTGATCTGCCTGCCTGAGCCTCCCAAAGTGCTGGGATTACAGGTGTGAGTCACCACACCCGGCCTTATTATTTCCTTTGAATAAACTCTTAGGATTTGAATATTATCAAACTACAGGCAGTATTTCAAAACCCTTGAGAAAATCTCCCAATTGTCCTTTAAGCAAATTGTAAGAGCAACTTACACATCCATCGTTAGTGTATATACCCTTACTAACACTGGTTACTTTTCCTCGCAAATTTTTATTTTAGAAATGTCTTGGGAATTATAGAAAAGCTGAAATAATACAGTGAACGCTCATATACTTTTCACCTGGTTTCACTGTAGACATTTGCTGTATTTGCTTTCTCTCCCTTGCCCTCTCCCTGCCCTTCACATGGCAAACACACATTTTTTTTTTTGGCAGGGGTTGGGGTGACACATTGCAAATATTGTCATAAAAACTGAAATAGACATTTTATAAGGACAACGGCTTGCATGACCATACCATTATCACAGCCAAGAAAATTAACTTGAATGATATTTAATATGAAATCCAATTGCCCCAAAGATGACTTTTAATTTGGTTACTTTGTTGCTCTGTGATCAACCAAGGGCACACACTGTATTCAGTTATATCTCTTTAGTAGTTTTAACCTAGAACAGGGTTCCACAGACTGTTTTAAAGGGCTGTATTAGTCTGTTTTCATGCTGCTAATAAAGACATATCCGAGATTGGGCAATTTACAACAGAAAGAGGTTTAATTGGACTTACAGTTCCACGTGGCTAGGGAAGCCTCACAATCATGGCAGAAGGCAAGGAGGAGCAAGTCACATCTTAGGTGGGTAGCAGCAGGCAGAAAAGAGCTTGTGCAGAGAAACTCCCATTTTTAAAACTATCGGATCTCATGAGACCCATTCACTATCATGAGAACAGCACATGAAAGACCTGCCCCCATGATTCAGTCATCTCCCACTGGGTCCCTCCCATAGCACGTTAGAATTATGGGAGCTACAAGTTGAGATTTGGGTGGGGACACAGAGCTAAACCATATCAAGGGCCAATTAGTAAATATTACACTTTGAGTGTCATATGGTCTGTTTTGCAACAATTCAACTCTGCTGTTATAGTGTGAAAACCACCAGGGACGATACAGAAATGAATGATGGGTTTCCAATCAAAGTTGATTATAGCAGACGGTGAGCTGGCCATAGTTTGCCAACTCCTGACCTCAAACAATCCCCCCTGCCCTTTCCTTGAAGAATCCAGTTGTCTCATAGCATGTTTCACATCCTGGGTTTGTCTGGTTGTTTCTTCATGATTAGTGTCAGGGTAAGCATTTTTATCAAGAGATCTACAAAGATGTTATACATTTCCCATTGCATCCCAGAATTTGACCACTTGGTTTAGCTGACGTTCACTAAGTCCCTCCATTGTGAAGATGCATTTCCATTTTTGTAATTAACAAGCAATCTATGTGGTAGTTTGAGATCACATAACCATCTTATTGCCCCGTAGATTCTCATCCAAGGATCCTGTAGTCATCCTTACTGAATCCATTATTGCATTGGGGGATGAAGAACAATGACTTTTCTTTTCTTTTGTGATGGAGTCTCTGTCACCCAGGCTGGAATGTAGTGGCACCATCTTAGCTCACTGCAACCACTGCCTCCCAGGTTCAAGCAATTTTCCTGCTTCAGCCTCCCTAGTAGCTGGAATTACAGGGATGCACCACCACACCCGGCTAATTTTTTGTATTTCTAGTAGAGACGGGGTTTCACCATGTTGGCCAGGCTGGTCTTGAACTCCTCACCTCAGGTGATCCACCTGCCTCAGCCTCCCAAAGTGCTGGGGTTATGGGCATAAGCCACCGCACCCGGCCAAGAACAATGATTTTTCTAAATCATGCAGTTTTTATTAACTGGCATTCTTCTATGAAAAAAGCCTGGCCAGGCACGTTGGCTCACGCCTGAAATCCCAGCACTTTGGGAGGCCGAGGCGGGTGGATCACGAGGTCAGGAGATCGAGACCATCCTGGCTAACACGGTGAAACCCCGTCTCTACTAAAAATACAAAAAATTAGCCAGGCGTGGTGGCAGGTGCCTGTAGTCCCAGCTACTCCGGAGGCTGAGGTGAGAGAATGGCGTGAACCTGGGAGGCGGAGCTTGCAGTGAGCCGAGATCGCGCCACTGCACACCAGCCTGGGCAACAGAGTGAGACTCCATCTCAAAAAAAAAGAAAAAAAGCTGCCTCGCTCTTTATTCCTGTGTCTTCAATATCACTGTGAATTCCTTTTTGTTTTTATTCAATTGGTTGTAATCCATCATTTACATTCTTCAGGTGACCTCAATTTGGCCAATGAGGGACCTTCAAGTTTGTTCCATCCCCAAGCTTTTAGCATATATTTGCTTTCTGGCCAAGACGTTCCAGGCTCATCATGTACTGTCTGTCTTGGACCAAGGAACCCGGTGCTCCTTACTGGGGAGTGGTATTAGAGACCAACATCTGGATGTCAGGTGTACTTATACCAACTCTGGTTATTATTAGAAAGAGCCACCAATTTTAAAGGCCAAATTATATCTATTTTATAGTGTATTTTATGGATTATGGGAGAGGCTGAGCATTTTTTCATGTTTTGTGGCCATGTCCGTTACCTTTTTGTGAATTGCTTACTCAAGTCCTTTGTGGGATCTTTCTCTTACTAAAGTGAGTTAATAGATTAAAACACTTAAAATAGTGCCTGACACACAGTAAGGTTACATATTGCTAGGGGATATTACTTCGTATTTATCCTTTGTTAAAAGTATCCAGAGTGACTTTTAAACTCAGTGCCCTGGACACGTGTTGCTCTTCTGCAGTCAATGGTGTGGGGACCTGTGCCTGCATCCCATGATGCTGTCTGCCACTGCCCAAAATGTATGGGTCTACAAGTCACACCTCCCTTGTCGTTCACTGGGCTCTGGTTCGTGGTGATGGCAAACATGGGATGGCAGCCAAGCCATACTGACAGAGATCCACAGCGTACAGCCTCTGAGCATAGTTAATGGGCCCCAAAGCCACTGCGGCTCACTATTCCTCTCCCACCCTACAGGAGGTAGATTGGGAAGTGGAGCTGGCCGTGGTCATTGGAAAGAAAGGCAAGCACATCAAGGTGAAGTGGAAAAGGTGGGCTCCCAGGCCAGAGTGCAGCAGAGTCCCCAGCTCCTGCCTCTCCTAGTTCTGACCTCGCTCACCAACACATGGTGCCAGCTGTCCCTGACACTAGGAAGCAGTCAGCCTCCTTGCTCCCTGACACTGCCTTTCCCTTCACCCACCTTTGGCTGGCTCTGGCTACTAACATGGGATAACAGCTTTGAGATCCCTTGCCACAGGTGTTGGTGTCACCCATGATCTATCCTCCTGTATGGCCAAATCCCCTGCCCCCATAGGCCACAGATGCCATGGCCCACGTGGCCGGCTTCACTGTGGCTCATGACGTGAGTGCTCGTGACTGGCTAACAAGATGCAATGGGAAACAGTGGCTGCTGGGAAAAACCTTCGACACCTTCTGCCCTCTGGGCCCTGCCTTGGTGACCAAGGACAGTGTAGCAGGTAGGTTCCTGATCCCTGCCCCCTTGTACCTACCATTGCACAGATGAACAGCCCTCCAGGGAGGAGCACGGGTTCAGGTACATGTGGCACCTGCCCTCCCTGGCTGCCCTTTCACTGCTGACTCCATACAGGGAAAGTCTTTTATCCTCAGCCACGAGTTCTCCCATGGGCTTCCTTCCCAAGCCCCCTAGAGGGAACACAACTGCAGAGGATGTGAAACTGCATGCGTGAAGTAAATTACAAAGAACACTGAGCTGATGGGTGGATCGGGCTTCCTGCGGCTGCCACCATCTGAAATAATCTAAGTTGAGCATCATGGAGCATAGCTATCGCAAGGCCCAGGCATTTTCCACACTACAGATGAAAGCCAGTGTGACTCACCCAGCCACTGTGGAAACAACAGCATTGACCACACACAGTGAGGGGACAGCGCCAGGTTGGAGGCAGTGTGCCAGAGGGCAGAGCGCAGCCTCTTAACACACAGCCACCCACAACTGTGGTGGAGGTGGGGGGTGTCCACATGGGCCAGCCATGCCAGGATACCAAAGACCCCAGTGCCTCACAGCACCCACACAGAGTCCTCGGCAAAGTTAAATTGTGTTTCAGGTGCTCTACTTAAGGGTGGTAGAACACTAAGACCAACACCAACAGTTAAAAGTGCTGGTTAGCCAGGATGTTCTTACAGTAATCCATCCCCTGCCAGCATCCGGTACACGAGGCTTCTCTGTCCTGGCTAGAACCATTGCCTCACTGCTTTATAGATGCTGTCTTTTTTTTTTTTTTTTTTTTTTTTTTTTAAGTATGGTCTTACTGTGTCACCCAGGCTGGAGTGCAGTGGCCCAATCCCAGCTCACTGAAGCCTCAACCTCCTGGGTTCAAGCAGTTCTCCCGCCTCAGCCTCCTGAGTAGCTGGGACTACAGTCACGCACCACCATGCCTAATGTTTTTATTATTTTGCATAGAGACAAGCACTCACTACGTTACCCAGGCTGGTTTTGAACTCCTGAGCTTAATCAGTTCTCACCTGCTTTGCCCTCCCAAAGTGCTATGATTACAGGTGTGAGCCACCACGCTTGGCCCTGCCCAGGAGTCATTTTTGTATCTACAGGTATCTTCCTATGCTGTAGACAGATGCCCTTTTTCAAGGCAAAAACCCTAGCCATTTTTCTCTTCTCCTTCAGAGTCTGCAACATCCTCTCAACTCATCCAAGTGACTACTGCCTGGTGCTCTTGGGGATGCAGGGAGGCCTGAGAAGGCCAATGTCTATACAGAAAGTTCTAACATAGTGCACTGAGTCAATGTGGGCACTTTAAAGCCCTTTCACCTGCCAAGTCACGAAGCACCCCTATAGTTGTGTTTGTAAAATACTGGGGGGTTTGAAGGGGAAAAGGGATAACTCCAAGGTACCATCTTTGCATTTCAGATCCACACAACTTAAAGATCTGCTGTCGAGTGAATGGGGAAGTGGTCCAGAGCAGCAACACCAACCAGATGGTATTCAAGACAGAGGACCTGATAGCCTGGGTGTCCCAGTGAGTGACAGGGGCTATCCTGCCAGCCCCGCTCCACCTGCCACACATGTGGAGGCTGACCTGAGCCCTCCACCTTTGGCTGTGGCCACCTCAGCCAGCCCCTGGTCTCACCGGGTCCTTTTGCTTTGCTCCAGGTTTGTTACCTTTTACCCAGGGGATGTCATCCTGACTGGGACCCCCCCACCTCCACCCAGGTGTCGGTGTATTCAGGAAACCTCCTGTCTTTCTCAAGGTAGGTTAGTGAAAAGCAAAGAGAGCAAGGGCCCCAAAGGGCTGGCAGGCTTGGCTCAGACTTGAGAAGTACAGGCTTGTGTACGTGTGTCTGACGGAAGGGCTGACACTCTCATGGCCTGCTCTGTTGCAGAAGGGGGATGAAGTCCAGTGTGAGATTGAAGAACTAGGTGTCATCATCAACAAGGTGGTGTGATGGCTCCTGCACAGGCCCTGCACATAGGATGAGGGCATCTGCTCCCACTCAGCCTAGCCCAGGGAAAGGCCCAGTGACAGGTGTGGACAGGTGCCAGCCCTGCAAGCCGCCTCTTCTCGGTAGAAGGGAGAAGGACAGAGCTCTCTTCAATAAATTCGTCGGGTCAAAGCAGCAGCTTGGCTTCTGCTGTTTGTCTTCGTTTGGGCTTTGTTTCATGGGACAAGTTAGGGCATTTTGTGGGACTGGGGAAGAAGAGAGCAAATACACACACATACACCAAAAAGATGCTGCTGGGCTGGGGAAAAGACAACTCGTCTCGTCCCCTTGTTTATCACATCAAAGAAGGGAAAAAGCAAGAGATGGCAAGGGACAATCAAGCCTCAATGATTATATTTATAGAGCAGCTAAGGGTTTGCAGCCTCCTCTCCATCTTCTGGCTCTAGGACACAGCTGTGTTCTGGGGCTGAGAAGTCTCAGCACAGGCTCCTCCTCACAGTTCTAGCTACAAATGAACTGCCGGATGAACTGTTCTAGTTTTTCCTGATTGTCCAGGCTGGCAAAAGTAGGGGACAGGTGGAGCCTGGGGCCTGCAGGGCTCGGCGTCTGCTGCAGAACCTGGGCCATGGAAGATAAGCCGTGAGTGCGCTCACCACAGGGACTGTGTACACATGGCCCAGGGGCCAGGCCTGTCCCCCAGAAACCTGCCTTGAGACCTCTGGCCCCTTAGACCTCAATGTTTGCGTGCAAATGCTGCCGCAAAGCAGTCCCAATACCCCACCTAGAAAGATGAGCCAGTGATTTGGGAGACCAAGAGGCAGGAAACCATCCCACCTTCTCCAACCCATCACCAAATCTGTTGCTGGAAGACACCAAGTAAATCCCAGGGTCTTAATGAGGCACCATCAGGCCAGCCCTGTGGAGTGATGGGGACATAGCTGGGTTTCCCTGAGCTACTCTATTGGGGTGGGAGCAGGGGGACAGAAGATGGTGACAGTGGCTCCTCTCACCCCTAGGTCTCTGAAGGTCCAGACAGCACTGATGGCGAGCTTTGGGTCCGCACACTCTGGAAAGAAGAGAGAAGTGAAGGCTCTAGGTAGGGAGAACAGAGAGCCACTGGGCACAGGCTTCTCTCCTCTTGTTTAAAGAAGCCCAGGGAGGGATAGAGCTCTGACTGGACAGAAGACTGTACTCTGCAGCCTGCCTTCCTAGAGTTGGGTTGTCACTGTCCTGCAGGGGGCAGCAGCCACCAGCAAACACCACTGCCTGCAGGAGCCTGGGCTGACTGGTTGGGACTCACCGAAGATCCCTTCTTCCTGGGCGGTGGCCTGCAGGAACTGGAACAGCTGCTCTGTGTAGCCCAACTCTGCAGAAGAGAGAAGACCTAGACCTGGCACCCAGCACAGACACAGCCTGCCTCGAGGACTGCAAGGGAACAAGGGCCTCACCAGTATCGGGCAGCTGGCCCTGGCGGAGGAAGGCGGCAGCCTGTGCAAAGGCCTTGAGCAGCGGGCTGAGCAGGCGGCAGAGGAAAAGAAAGAAATCTGGGCAGTGTGACTGCTGGCTGAGCTGGAGGGGACAGGCCGGGGTGAGTGCAGCTCCCCACCGCCTCCCTACCACCTCCCTCCAGGGGCAGCTTTTTGAAACACACCCTGAAGTACCGGCCGTCAGCCTCTCCGAAGTCATCACTGTCACTATCAGTAAAGTCCCCACTCGGTTTCCACAGCAGCTTTCTGCTCAATCGCTGTCGCCCTGTGTCACAGGCTGGCCGGGAGCCTGGGGTCTAGGGGCCGTGGAGCCATTGTTCTCTGACAAGCTGGCCAGGGATCAACCCTACACCCCCAGACCAGGTACATGCAGGTGAAACCAGTAAAAGCAGACCTAGAGACCCAAGAGGATGGCCAGAGCCATGCCCCAGCACCTGCTGGGCCAACTTGCAGAGTGAGAGGAAGTGAATTCCCACCCTCAAGGGCAGTAGCCCTGTGGCCAAGAAATGTGGGGAGCAGGAGGTGTGCAGAGAACCTCAGAGGCACACATGTCCAGTGCTATCCAGAGAGACACACAGAACCGGGGCATAGGTGGCTATATCCCAAGGCACAGGGAGCAGAGGTGCGAGCTAGGCTTCCCCGCTGCAAGGCCAGGGGCTGCCCACCCCCACAGCACACACGGGGCAGAGGAGGAGCCTGGGGCAGCTGGCACTCAGGGTGGGAGGCTGGAGGAGGCCAGGCTCCAGGCAAGGATCTTGTCTCCAACTGCCCTGCCTACCTCCTCAGCAACCAGGAGCCCGCATTGGATGAGCCGGTCCAGCACCTCCTGACAGTAGCAGTAGGAAGACTGGCAGGGCTGGGAGAAAAAGGCACCCATGTGGCCTCAGGAGAGCCAGGCACATGGGCAGGGGCCTAGCCAAAGACCGGGCAAGGCCACACCTACTACCCAGGAGGTTTCAGAGGTAGAGCATGGGCAGGGATGGGCCATTCCTACCACCAAGAGGGGAAGGCCTAGGACCAAGTGGGCCGTAGGGGAGGCCTGACCTTTAGCAGCAGCAGGTCTTGCGGCAGCAGGTGCATCAGCAGCAGGATCTGGCGGTACAGCTCATTCTGGCTCAGCAGCAATATGCCCTGCAGCTCCCAGGGCCCCTGGGGCGGCACTCTGCCTGCCAGCAGCCCCCGCACTGCACAGGCTGGGGGCGGAGGGTCCATTATGAAGAAGGAGCCGTTCCCTTCACCACTGCACACACATCCCACCTACCCCGTGCACCTCAAGACTCACCGCCCACAGCCTCGCTCAGGAAGACGGGCAGCAGCTCAGCACTCAGTTGTGCCAGGTGTGTGAGGCCTGGGCCAGGCTGCGGCACCACCAGCAAGTCACCCTGACGGATGCGCAGCAGGGCCACGTGCGCCCGCAGCAGGCTCAGTGAGTGCTGCAGCAGGCTCCGCAGCTGCCCAGAGAAGCCTACATCAAAGCCACGCAACAGTATCTCCTCCGTCAGCCAGGAGAACTCCCCCAGGAGCTGCGACAGGAACACACCCTGGGTGGGCAGAGCAGGGCTAGGCAGCAGGGCCACACATCGCCACCCCCCCCACCGCCCAGGTCCCCACCACATTGCACCCCCTACCTTCTGATGCTTGAAGAGCAGCAGCGTTGCCATAATGGCCGTGCTCATCACCGCAGAGCTCCCTACACTGGCTGGAGTGGGGCGGGGGGTGGAGATGCTGGTCAGGTTGAGGCCCAGCAGCCTGGTCCCTCCATGATCTAGCAAGTCTTCCTAGCCACACATCCCAACTCCACCCCAGGGATGAGGAACGTACACCCGGAGCAGTGGTGTTTATCATCACACAGGCTGAGAGCAGGCCAGGAGCTGGGGGCCTTCCCCTGGATCTCATCGTAGGGCCCACACATCAACCCACAGCCTCTACTAGAGGGGCACTGAAGAAGATACAGATGGATCTCCCTATAAGGGCCCTCTGTGGAGGCGCTGTGCTAAGCCCCTTACACGTATCATTCCATTCAGTTAACACCATCTCCACCCAAAGCTAAGGAGACTCCGCTCAGAAGGCAGGGCTGGGTGTGGCCTTGGGGAAGCAGCTGCAGCCTCCTGGCCTCAGGCCACCATCTTTGTGCATGCACTTAGCTGCTCCCTTATGATGGCCCTGGCTGCCTGCTCCTCCTGTAGGAGAAGGGTTCCATTCTTCTTCAGATGTCCCCAAGGTATCACAGAGCACCTCAGGTGCAGACACTTGGAATGGAGAACCCTGGTGACTGGCTGACCCCGAGAGGGGACGGTTCAGTGACCCACCCGCAAAGGCCCAGATCTGGTTCACCCTCACCACTCAGGACATGACAGCTCAGTCTCCTGACCAGGAGCTGGTCCTCTTCCTTGAGGGCCAGGAGAGGCCCAGTTATGGGGGTCCACTCCTGCTCCTTCTCAGTGTCTGGGACAGCAGTACTGAGATAGAGACACAGATTACAGGATGAAGGGTCCAAACACAAAAACAGCTGTGGGAATGCCTAGAGCTTTCTAAAAGGTGAGGGTGTTTCCCCCTCCCAGCCCCAGGACAGAGGATGGCTTCTATAACCCCCAGTCCCATCCAGGCCTCTGTGCCATACCCCACACTCAGACTGTTGGCAAGGCGAGTACCTGGAACTATTCTAGATGACCCCAGGATACTTGGTGAGGGAGGGCTGCTAGTGTGTGTATATGGGGGATACATAAGCTGGTGCTGAAGGGCTGCTTGCCTTGCCCCCTGAGACCCCACGCTCCTGTGCCCCTACCATTGGCCCAGCACGATGGGCTGCAGTAGCTGCTCCAGGGTCTGTCTGCCGCCCCAGCAGCTTCTGGCACTGACGATGTATTCCTGCCCAAGAGAAGGCTCTTAGGTGGCCTGCTCGGGCCCACCAGGAAACTTGCACACAGCCCACTGGAAGTAGGCAAAGCTATCCCTGCAGTGGCTTTGAGGGCCAGGCTGCCAGGATGCCTAGGACAGACACCCCAGGTACTCCCAGCCTTCCCCAGCTGGCTCCATACCTGCAGGGAAAAGGGCTGAGCTAGGTGCACCCGGGAGCAGATCCGGTGGCTGCAGCCCCAGCGGCTCCACAAGCTACGTAGGACAGCCAGAGCTCCTGTCCACAGCCCCAGGGGGGCCGAGGCCTGCAAGGAGGGAAAGGATAACTATACTCGCCGAGGACACTGCTCTCGGGCGGACATCAGGGCTGCCCACCCATCCTGGTCTCCAGAGGTATCCTCTGGTCCCACCCTGCTCAGTTTTATCTCAGGCCCAAACTGGTGCGTGACCTTGTCCCAAGCTCCTCTTTCCTTATCCATGACACAGGAAAAATCCCTCCCTATCAAGGTCTTCAGAGGATGAAATGAGATGATGGTAATGGCCTTGACAGGTGCTGCCAGATGATTGTAAGGACGATTCCTTTGTGCCCCCCACAGCCCTAAGTGGGGCTCAGCCACAGGACACAATATTGTGCCTCCTATCGGGAGCTGGTGTCCACCTAGGGGCCCAAGGGGCTGGAAGGTCTCACATTCTCACATGGTCTATGTCACACGGTGCATCCGGAACCAGGTCATAGGTGACGGCCACTGGTACCAGCAGAGCATCTGGGACGATGCCCACCTGGACTGCCTGCACCACAAACCCCACCCAAGCCTGGCCCAGGGCTGACAGCCGTGGCCCCAGAGCCCCAGGAGGTTCCTCCAGGAAGATGAGCAGGGGCTGCCCACTAACCAGCAGCTGCTCTATGACCTGGAATAGGAGGGGTCAGAGGGGGTGTTAAGGCCAGAGCAGAAACAGACCCCTGTCCCCTTAGCCTGGCCCATATGTAACCACTGGGGGCACTCACCGCCTGGACCACAGCCCTGGCAAGGAGCCCCTCAGAGCTGTCCAGGGAGAGGCTGGCCTCTGGGGGCAGGAAAAGCCCCCCAAGCTTCCTCAGCAGAGCTCTGTGGGACATAGGGCAGAGCCTGATAAGGAAAGGGGCTCTGAAGATGTGAATGAGTAAGGGGCTAGTGAGAGTCTCAGCTCCCCCATGGCCAGCCTGTGTCCTACTTGAATACCCTGAGGCAAAGCCATGGCCCTAGGCCCTGTGGCTGACACCTCCATCTAAGCCCCACAGGCTAGACTGCTGTATGGCTCGGAGCAGAGAGGCCACGAAGAGGGCCTTTAGTAGGGAGCTGCTGCCAACACACCCCGATACACACCCCGCCCCAGCCTGCGACTTCTCCCATGTATGTCTAGAGGCAAAAGGTTTTTACCTGAGGGCAGGGGAGCAGGCGCGGGAGTCCCAGGCCACACGAAGCACACCCAGGCCCTGGGAGAGCAGCATAAAGGGCAGCAGGATCCCATCCAGGAGGGTTTTGTGAGTAGAGAGGAGGACAAGCGGCAAGCCCTGCTCCGGGGAGAGCCAGAGGGAAGTGCCAACCTGCCCCACCCTGAGGACACAGGCAGCCAAAGACCCAGGGCAGCCCCAGAGGGAGGGACAGTTCAGCTGCAGAGTTCTTCCTCTGAGCACATTTCCCAAAAGCAAAGGAGCCTTTAGACAACTCTTAAGGTAACTGCACCGACGCACTGACGTCATGGTTGTTAAGACCATGATGGAAAGACGTTAGAGGAAGCCCCATGGGAGCAGGGCCGTGAGACATAAGGGAAGGTCGGCAAAGAGCAGGGGATTTTTCCCACCAGCTGATGGGGACTGGACTGCTGTATGGCTGGGAACAGAGAGGCCAGGAAGCAGGACCAGATGGGGACTGCTCCTGACTTAAGGGCTTGGCCCAGCCTCTGCTCTTCTGCTCCCACCATCCCCAACCCAATGGAGGGCGGGCCTTACTGCCTGGGCGGCCTTCTGGACCATCTTCATCTGACCCTTGTGGAGCTGCACATTCAGGAACAGGCAGTTCAGGAACCTCAGCAGCGCCCAGCTGAACAGCCTGGGGAGGGACACCAGGCCTGAGGTGCGGCAAGGAGTGACGCTCGGCCCGTGGCACTTGGAGGGCTGCCCAGTGCTCCTTAGGGCAGGCCCCGCCACTATCCTCATTTTACAGAAGAAGGAAAGTGAGACTCAGGGAAGCTACAGAACTGCTTCCTGGTAGTGAACGCTAAGAAGTAGCAGTGCTGGGACTGGAAGTTCTGACACCAGAGTTCATGCCCACCAGACGCTGCTACTCTCCCACGACCTCATGGTGGAGCTGCCTCACATCAGAATCAGAGCATCTGCCTCAATTTACCCTAAAGGAGACTAGAGGACCAAGCCTCTCTCCAGGCAGAACCCAGCCTGGTCTTCACAATCTACCAGAAAAGGTGAAATAAAAAGGAAGGATTAGTAATAGAAGAAGGAAAGGGGATAACTGCAGGGGCAAAATCCCTGGTGGGCAGGTGGGTGGGGTTGTCCCTGCAGCCCAACAGGAGGACCAGCTCTATTTATTTTTTAGGACAGGGTCTTGCTCTGTTGCCCAGGCTGAAGTGCAGTGGCACAAACTTGGCTCACTACAACCTCTGCCTCCTGGGCTCAAGCGATCCTCCCACCTCAGCCTCTCAAGCATCTAGGACCACAGGCACGCAACAGTGCACCCGGCTAATTTTTGGAGAGACAAGTTTGCCCTGGCTGGTCTATGTCGCCCAGGCTGGTCTTCAGCTCTTGGGTGATCCACCCCGCTCAGCCTCCCAAAGTGCTGATATTACAGGTGTGAGCCACTGCACCGGCATAGGACCAGCTTTAATTTAGGACAGACACATAGCTGTAGTAGCAGGGAAATGTGCTGGATAAGCAGCAAGTCCCCATGTGATGGCTTTTATCTTTCTGTGAAGCATGAGATGGGGAATCAGTTGACAGTGGATAAGTCTAAGAAGGAGCAGGCTGGGTGGGAGCCCTGGAGAGTGCCATGTGTCCCTGTGACATTTGCACTTAGCAAGGAAACCAGTCCACTGGTATGTGTTTCTCTGGCAACGCTGGGCTGCTCAGGTGCAAAGAGAAGGTAGACAGCGGGGGGTCATGCCCATGACTCCCTCGAAAGAGCATTATTAGCACCCCGAGCCTGCAATCTGAGCTAGGCTTGGAGGGAAGGAAACACAGAAAGGGAGGCTGATGGCTGATGTCAAGGTAGGCAGATCAAGAGACTAGAACAGCAGAGGGCTGGTCAAGGTCACCAACAACCTCTACTTTCTGTCCTTGCTCAGTTGGCCACTCAGCACATTCAAGACAGCTGAGCTTGACACATGCTGCCCCCAAGCCCACCTGTACTCAGGGACTCATTCATCTCCTTGGCTTTAAACACCATCTGTATGCTAAAGCCTCGCAGTGTCTCTGGCCCCAACCTCTCTTCTGAGCTCCAGGCTCCTATATGCAGCTGCCTCCTCAGTGTCTCCACAAGCATGTCAGGTACCAAAACTCTCTCTCTCCAAACTACCTTTTTGGGCCAACTCACTTCTCCCAAAGCCTGTTCTCTGTCCATACCACCAGAAAGTAGGCTAGAAACGGGGCTGTCCTGTAACTTCTCCTACTTCCCTCACTGCCCCTGTTCCCACTGTCCAATCCCTCAGTGAGTCCTGTTAATATCACCTCGACCTCTCAATCCACTTTTCAACCTCTACTGTCCACCATGATCTCTCACCTGGATTAACAAAACAGCCTTCCAGATGCCCTTCTGGTCTCCACTCTTGACCCCAATTCATGATGTCACTTCCCACTTAAAACCTTGCAACTGGTTTTCACTGCACTTGGAGATCCAGTCCAAACTTGCACGGCCTTACATGATTTGATCCCTTCTGCCTCTCGATTTCACCTCCCACAGCTCTCGACCCCTCACTTGCTGGCTTCCAACCACGTCAGCTTCTGGAGCAAACCTAGTCCTTTCCTGCCCAGGGCCAAAGCTCAGGCTATTCCCTCTAGCAAGACTGTTCGCCTCATTCTTGTTCGCCTTTTCTTCCTCTTGGCTCTGGCTTACAGGCTCTTTGTCCCCTTCCTGGTATTCTGTCTCAGCCCTGTTCCTTCCTCCTTGCAGCCGCGCATATCTCGTTTACCCTCCGTTTCCCTGGAACAGTGTGCTGCATCTAACATAGGCTCCAACCTGTGCTGGCAAAATGTGGGGATGGGAGGCGGTGGTGAAGGCAGGCTGCAGCCCACTCTGGTAAACACTATCCAGCAACCCAGGAGGAGAGTCCAGCACTTCCCCAAGCCCGGCCAACACCCGCTCTCCAGAAGGACAGAGTCCCCAGCCCAAGGGTGAGTGCCCTTCAGCCCAGTTACCTGACCAGGAAGGGACGGGGTGGGGCCTGGATGTGACCCAGGATGCGCTGTACCTCCTTCTTCACAAGGTCAGGCACCTGGCCTTCCCCAGTGCCTCCTGGGACCCTCCCTGAGAGGAGGTTCTGCACCCTGTGAGGGGGTTAGAAGGAGTGCTATGAGGCTGCAGCAGGGCACAGCCTCCAGTCTTCACTCTCCTCCTTAAGGAAGGGTTCCAGGCAAAGCTCATGCTCTAGAAGCCTTGCCCCAGCCACCCCTCTCAAACACCCCTACCTAGTGTCATTGTCATCCCATTCAGGATCCCAGAAATGCCAGCCAGACCTCACTCCCTGCCTCCTCACCCGGTGCTTTCCATGATCTTCTGTGGGACATCCTGGCAGGGGGGGATGTGCTGCTCCAGGGACCACAGGAAATAGCAGAGCCTCCGAACCAGCCAGCCCCGAAACCTGGGCACAGCTCCCAGAGCAGGAGGGAAGATCCTTCAGAGAGGGCCCACCTCCACTAGGACTCACAGAAGGCTATTCAATCAGAAAGGGACCACACCCCAGACCCATGTACTAGGAACACCTGAGCAGGAAGAGCTGCCTGTCCATCTGTGCCCCATTCCCACCCCTCACCCTGTTGAGTCGGGTACAGGTTCACAGCCTGAAACACGGTGGGCAATCCATACATGCTCACAGAAGGAACTGCAAGAGAGCTCCAAGTCTGCCCCTCCCTGCAGGCTTGTGTATGGAACAGAGGACGGGGCCCTTCTTTCTCTATCAGAGGAAGAAAATGGCACCAAAAAGCAGGGCCCCAGCAGCCCTGCACCCAAGGGTCCCTGTCCCCAAGCCTGCTCCAGTCCATAGCTCTGACTACCTTGTGTTCTCCTCCTTCACCAGGATCACATTGCAGAAGCCTAGGTCCGTTATGCTTCTGTGGAAGAGGGACTCCTGCAAGACAGGGGGAGAGACAGCATGTCCTGGGGGGCCTTTGCAAACTGGTAAAGAAACGCCCCTGTACTGCCCCTCTGGCTCTGCCTGGTGGCCTGCTAAGTCTTCCAGGAGAAAAGATTACAGCACAGTATTTCACAAAAGGTGTTTGACCCCAGATTCTAGGCTGGCTCAGGAAAAAGGGGCCCATGCTCAAAACTGAAGTGCTGTATCCTGTACAGAATCACCCTCTTTCAGAGTGGTATATGAAAGTCTCCAGAAGTTATCTTCTCAACAGCAGAGAAAACGCAGCCTGGGTCTCCATGAGAAATCTGGGCTCCCTCACCACCATCACATGACACAAACCAAAAAAGAGGTCTTCAAGCATGTGCTGAGTGCTGGGGAAGTCTGAGTGGGTGATGTCCACAAAACTGAACAACAAAACTGACACAGGCATGATAAGAACCCAGCCCTCTGGGCACACCCTACCACCACTTAGGCCCCTCTGTACTTCTCCCACCCAACTCTCCCAGGCCTGGGAACAAGCCACCGCCCAACCATACAACCAATACCAGTGCATCCATTCCCCTGAAAGACAGAAGCAGAGGCATGGGGCAGGGAAGAGCCAAGCTTGCAGGGACATAAAGGAAGCAGCTTCCCAGAGCTTCGGCTCCCAGAACCAAGCTTCCTGCTTGGGGCCTGGCCCTACCATCACTCACCCAGCTCTTGGGGGTGCAGGTCTGGCAACAGCGACCCACAAAGGGGCGATACTTCCCCAGGAATGGAGTGACAGCCTCCAGCTTCATCCCAAAGCCTGACGACCACAGGCTAGCCTGGAAAGGGCGATGAGGAGAGATGAGAGGACTCAAAGTCCTTGGCAGGAGAGAGGGAAAGATGGAGCAATGGAGGCTCTAGGAGTGAGGGGCACAGCAGAAGGGGTGGCAGGGCAGAGAGGATTTGAGGAATGGGAGGAGCCACATTACCTCTCGGCCACTGGGGCTGCTCCTTGGCTGAGTTTGGCATCTGCCTTCCAACATGGTGGCCATGAGAGCCTAGAAGAACCATGAACCAGTCACCTCTGGCACTCTCCTTCTCCCCACAGAAACCTGAGCCGGGGAAAGGTGCAAGGATGGAGCCATAAGAATCTGAGCCATAATCCAGGGCCTCCTGCGGTAACTGCAACCCCCCATCACAGGACAGACAGACATCACTTAGGCCATTAGTGGTGAGGAGAACCTAGGCTGGAAACTAGGGGCTGGCTCAGGTCAAGGCCCTGCCCCACACCCAACTGATCCCACAAAGGAGCCAGCTGTCCTCAAAAGGTCTCACAGTATCCAGGTCAGGGCCCTCCTCGGGCCAACATGAGGGGGATCGGTTGTCTTAGCATCCACACCCACCCGGCCATCTCCTAGCACAGATGGGGGCTGTACCGGAGATGCTGATCCTTTCTGTGCAGAGGGAAAGAATGAGGGCTGGATTGGAAGGAAGGAGGCACAAGACTGCCAAGGAGGAAGAAGACTATCGCCATGAGGCCACCAGGTCCTACTCAGCTGCCCTCCCCTCCTCACCAGGAGACAGCCCTGTAACCACCCAAACATTACGGGAATGTGGGCTGGCTAATAGAAGAGGGACAACTCAGGGTCAGAACACAGAGGCCTACTCACCAGGAATGAGCATCTAGTTGGGGACAAAGACAGACTTTTCCACAATCACTCCCCTCTCACATTAACGTTCTCCACAGAAGACGCCACTTGTATCTCCTCAGCCCCTCCTTCCCACCACAATATTTCCCTGAACTAATAAATACCTATGTTCCTTCAAACAGCACTGAACGACTCCTGGCTCAAAAATTTGGGCCTAAAAGCCCCTCTTCCCTATTTGTCAGCACGACCCTGATGAGTGGGCTGGTCTAATCATGTTTCCCCATCCCTACCACACTTCGATCAGGCCCATCTAGGAGCCTCTCCCTTCCCAGCCACCCACCCAATTCTGCCCAGGGTTCTAAGTCCACGATGCTTCTGGAACACCCTCTAAGCCCTCCCTCTCCTCCTTGGGTTCCCCAGCCCAAGCCTGCCCGGCAAAGAGCCATTCGAAGCCCTCCTCCAGGGCTATGGTTTCATCTCCCTACGTGGTCAGAGTGTCCTGAGGGCAGGGACTCATCTCTGTATGTCCAGCAGTCTGCCCGGTGTGCAAGAGGGAACCAGGAAGAGCCAGCTGACCCACAATAACTTCCTCCCAAGAATTCTCCAGGCGCGTTCCTCCTTTCCCCAGTCAGCTCGGTTTCCAGCCAGGAAGCCAAGCAGTAATGGGATCAGGATCCCTGCAGTGCCCAGGGTCTCGGGGGCCACGGGAGGCTCATCCCAAAGGCACTCTGTTATCTTGAAAATGTTGCATAGCCCTGTTCACAGACACATGGTACAGGAAGGCTACAAACCCACGCCCGCTTTGCAAGGAGGGTGTCTGTCCCCTAGCTGCAGACCACCCCCAACCCCCAAATCTAACCCCATTAGGTCTGTGCTAGCTCTACGGAAGCAGAGTCAAAGCCATGGCAAGGGGTTATTCCCATCTGCCAGTTAACAACACAGCTCAGGACTCCTACAGCAGAGGATGCAAACTGGCACCCCGAGGGCAAATTCAACTCATAGACACATATATATACACACACATATATACATATATAATACATATATACATATATATACACACACATATATACATATATAATACATATATACATATATACACACACATATATACATATAATACATATATACATATATATACACACACACACACTTCTTTGACTACACAACGTGCTAAAACCTTATGATGTAAAACCAACGTTGAACAGCAGAGGGCTTGTTACATATACATTTTTTGAAAATCAAGGTTTCCAGTCGCGGCTGTAATGGAAAAAGCTGAGCTCTGGCATCTCTGAGCACACACCCCACAGGGCTCAGCTGGCCGCCACTGTCCCTTTAGCCCGACAGCAGGAGCCCTCCCGTTTGCCTCCACCTTGATTATCACTGACGCCTGAGCCTGTGCACATCTGAGCGTTCAGCCCTTGATCAAGGGTAAAACTCTAAACCTGCCCCCACGTTTGGAATGCTTGTGCCCTACAGAGAGCCGCAAGAGAACTTCACCTTCCCGGCTCTGCTCAAACATGGCCTCGGCGCCCCACAGCCCCCGCCCAGGGCCCCTCAGGCCTCAGCTTCCTCGTCAGACCCGTGACAGGCGCTCCCCGAGCTACCCCAAGATGTGCGAAGGGCACCTGCCCGACATCAGGTCCTGGATGCCCTCTCTGGATGTAGGGGAACGGGATGCCGAGGAAGAGGCAAAGCGGGGCTCTCCACAACACCACGCCCCACAAGGACTCATTCCCGCCACAAGACCCGCATGGCCGGCACTCCCTCCCTTTCGACTTCCGCCCAGTCCCCAACAGGCCGCTCAGACCAGGCTCTTGAAGCAGGAAAGCCCCTGGATGATCCCGGTCCCCTTCTGACCTGGCCTCGCCGGGGAGCGACCACCGCGCCTCTCACCTCACACCAGCTTCCAACTCCCGCCAAAGCAGCAGCTCCGCAAAGCCGCCACAAGGCGTGGACTGCTCAAGGGAAGGAGCGGATTGCCCACCTCCGCGCGTCCGGCTAAAAGGCAGCCCCGAGAGCCAATTGGGATGCGCGCTGGTCCAGAAGCCCCGCCCTGCGTCCCGTACTCTGCGACACTCAACGTGGCCACGGGACCCGTGCTCTGGGGATGGCCTGCTCCGTTTTCCAGTCGGCCCTGGCCCGCGGTGGGAGGGGAGTACTGCAGGCGGCCGCGAGGCCCCGGGTGCTTGAGCTTCGAGCAGGGACTCAGGCCAGATTCTGATTAAAGAAGTTATCCCAGGGCTTACGCTCCTCCAAGCTGGGGTTCGGCTCTAGCAAAATTCTGAGCTGGGGACGATTAGAAAGGAGAGAAGATCATCAAGAGACAGTTGCAGTCATGAAAAACAAGTCAGGCCTCCCAGTGTCATTTCCTTTGTTAATGTGAAGCCTAGACCACCGTCAGGGACCTCCAGCAGCCGCGCGGTGCTAAGGTTTCAGCTGGGCCTGTGGCCGGTGTGTTCATTCGTGTGGTTATTTGATTAAGACCTGACTCCTGTCTCGGCCCTAAGCTCCGCGTAAACAAAGACCTTATGGGTTCATTCATGTTGTAACTGTGTTCCCAGCACCCAGCAGGAGACCAGCCAGTGGGAGGCAAGCAGTATAGAACAGATGAACGTGCGAATGACTGGGCTCTCTGTTCCTGCCCCCATGGAATGAGCCCGCCTGACATGCCAGAGGATTCCACAGTTCCAGAGCATGTGACACACGTGTGCCGGAGCAAAGCCACACATGAGCCTGGCGGGGCCCAAGACAGCACAGAACGTGTTCACATCCTCCCTCGTCTCTGACTCACCAGCCCTGATGTGACTCCCACACCCTGCCCCTCCGGGATGTAGCCTTTCTCTCCCTTTGTGCCATTTCGTGTCTATCCAGGCTGTGTGTGCATCCACTCACCTTCATTGGGATTTGCAACGTCCTCCCGGTACCTGCAGAATCCATTTTGTACCCCATCTTACCGTTCTTTTGTATCAGGGTGCCTGTCCACATCGAGATCCTGAGACTCTGACGCTGAAAAACGAAAAATATAGACTTTCACTTCGAAGTTGTAAGTTGCCTCCTAAGAGTGCAGACTTGAATTTACCGAAGGCTGACGCCTCTTAGTTCTGGGAACACCATCTGTACAGGCAGCCGAGTTTTGCCGTTGTGAACACGTCCCCACCTCTTAAGGAGTTCTCATGCTGAGAAGTAGCCCCAAAGCAGAGACTTTAGACTAGAAGGTTGCATGGATTGACTGTAGAGACGAGGCGCAGCATCTCAGAGTTCAGCTGTCAGATGTGCTGCTTCTTTGGAAGAAACGTATTTTGTTATGGTGGTGGTGGTTGTTTGCTGCAATTTGGACATTTGAAAAGAAGCATCCCTCTCAGACCCAGATTGGGTCTGGGACCGAGGACTCAGTGTGCTCTTTCTCCCTCAAGCAGTTTGCAGGAGAGGCAGAGCTGCAGTGCAGCAAGACCTGTAGGCCAGCTGCCATACACACTGATTGTGACTGACCCGACCCTGAGAGAAACATAAACTGATTTGAGCTGGGCCCTGCCCAACCTGGACTGGACTTGGTGAGCCCCATCCTGGACTCATGCCAGAATGCATTACCCAGAATATCCTGATGCACCTAACTGACTGCCTGCGCCCAGAGGGACAAAGGCCCTCCCTGTGGCTGGGGGCAGGTGTTCCCTGAAGGCACTGACAGGCCTTTCTCCTGTATATCACCTGGAGAAAAGGACTTGAGCTGGCATTAGAATGGGCAGAGGGGCTCTTGCCAGTCTGTCTGGGGACCACCAGCGGGGCAGAGAAAAGGAGATGTGATGTTTAATTTTAGGTGTCAGCTTGACTGGGATACCCAGATACCCAGAGAGCTGGCAAGGCATTATTTCTGGGTATATCTGTGAGGGTGTTTCTGGAAGAGACTGGCATTTGAATCACTGGACAGAGTAAGGAATATTCACCTTCACCCAATGGGGGCAGACACCATCCAATCGGTTGAGGGCCTTGATAGAAAAAAGGCAGAGGAAAAGAGAATTTGCATGCAGGCTCTCTCTTTCTTCCCTTCTCTCTCTCTCTCTCTCTTCCCTTCTCTCTCTCTCTCTCTCTCTCTCTCTCTCTCTCTCCTGCAGCTGGGACAGCCATCTTCTCCTACCCTTGGACATTAGATCCAGGCTTTGGGTTCTATAACTTGGACCAGCAGCACCCCCACCCACAGGTTCTCAGGCCTTCAAACTTGGACTGAGCTACACCACCAGCTTCCCTGGTTCTCTAGCTTGCAGAAGGCATATGGTGGGGCTTTTCAACTTCCATAATCACGGGAGCCAATTCCCATAATAAAGCTCATCTGTCCATCCCCCTACCTATATTCTTGGTTCTGTTTCTCCATTCTATGCTGTGGTTTGCTGCAATGTTGAACAAGACTTTATGGAAGATTCCGGAGTAATAGGGATCTACAACATAGACACCACCAATGGTTACCTCTGAAGGTGGCTGTGCTCAGAACACCTGGGCCTGGGAGGGAAAGGGATGTCTCAGAGGGAGGCATGTCTCCTCCGTTAGTTAGGGTTATGAGGAAATTCACTTTTCCATTGCCTTTTGTTCTATCCAGGCCCTCGACTGATTGGATGGTGTCTGCCCCCGTGGGGTGAAGGTGAATATTCCTTACTCAGTCTGGAGATTTCAAATGCCAATCTCTGAGGAACCCTGATTAAAGGAGGAGACATGCCTCTTTCTGAGACACCCTTTCCCTCCCAGGCCCAGGTGCTCTGAGCACAGCCACCTCCAGAGGTAACCATTGGTGGTACTCTATGTTGTAGATCCCTTCCGTTATACCAGAACCTTCCATAATGTCTTGCTAAGCACTGCAGCAAATGGCAGCCTAGAATGGAGAAGTCAAATATGGGTGCTAGTGGCAGGAGAATGGGAACATTGATGCTGGGAAGCTGCCAACAGACACTGACCACACATGCCACTTTCCTCTGGCCAAGGCTGGCACCACTTCTATAGATGAAAACTTGAGCCAAGAGGCTGGGATAGAGTGAGTGGGGAACCCGAGATCCTTTCTAATACTGGGGATCTGGGATTCTGTGAAGACCAGGGACAGCGTGAGAGATTCAAGGGCTGACAACCTGAGGGAGGAGGGTGCTGCATGCTACAGTGTTCTGTCCTCCACATCGGTATCTTCAACACCAACTTGGGGGATGACACAGAAGGCAGGCTTGGCCTTCTAGCAGATGTCATAAACCAATAAGGAATAAAGGGTACTTACTGACAGAATCTGGATTCAAAGACAATTTGAGAACAGGGGAATTATGATCAAAATAAGCCCCAACCTGAAAGAGTGTGGTGGAACCTGAGGGGAAAGTTCCGTAGAGTGGGCAGAGAGTTGGATTTGTTGGTAGGGGCTCTGTCCAGTGGTACTCTTTGTTTCCACTTATTCCAACTCAAGTATGCATAAGCCAAAAGCTCATGGGTTGGCTCACATAACGAGAAAGTATGAATGTGTTAACTCTAGGCATGGCTGGACCTAAGTGCTAAAGCAACATTGTCAGGCCTCCGGTTCTCTCTCATGTGTCCATACTGCTTGTCTCTGCTTGGTTTTGTTCTTCCTGAAGGCTCTTTTCTATAAAAACCTGACTGCCAACCGCCCAAGACTTATATCCACCCTCCTCATCAACCTTAGTAGGAAGAAACTTCTGTCCCTCAACATACACATGAAACCCCAGGGAAGACTCCGGTACTGCAAGGATCGTCCTCATACCCTCTTGACCAATCCCTGTGGCTAGGGGGTGTGGCATGTCCTGATGTAGTGACTGGACCCACACCATTGCCCCCTTTCCTGTCTTTGGTGAGGGGGCACCATGATTGACCAGCCTAGGAGAAACGGAGTGCACGGGGTTGGTTTTCTCAGGGAATGGTGCTGGCTGACATGAACAACATGTCCACCATGGTGTCTAATGCTGACTGGATCCATTTGACCATTTGTCTGGTCTCTGCCACATCCCAGGGCCAAGAAGCTGCTGCACTGTGAGGTCTGGATAAATGTTTTTCAGGTAATGAGTGAACTTCCTTCTCTGTGGACCTTAGCAGGAGATGACTTCTCCTCTTCTCTTGAATGGGGATGATAATCTGTCTACTTACTTGACAATGTTGAGGTGTAGCTCAGTCAAGTCATGAGGTAGACAGGCTGAATGAAGCACAACAATCCTCCCAATCCCCGGGACAAGGGGGAAGCAGCCAGTGCCGCCTCATGATGCTGGCCGGGAGGGTTGGCCCATGCTAGGGAAAGCCAGAAGTTCTGTTGCTCTGTGTCCCCTTGCCCCTTGCCCCAACTTCCCACCATACCTGCTTCCTCCAGGACACCTGGTTTCGTCCACCCAGAAAACATAGGTTCTGTGACAGGATGTTTCCTCCCTCTTGCCAGGCGTGGCTGGGAATGGAAGCAGTGATGCTGAAGAATATTCCAGGCCCACTCTGTCTTCCTCCCTGGAGATCTGCTCCCTAGCATTGATTGAGCAACTCCATCAATTGCCGACTAATTGGTAGGTGGGAGTAGAATGGGGGTGTAGATACTCCCCAGGTAAAGTCATCTCCTGCTCCTGGGAGGGGTGGCCTGATATATGGAGATGTCAGTTCTCCCTCAATTCATCCATCACTTCACTGTAGTCCCAGTAAAGATTCCAGTTTTAGAAACTCACTCTGAATCATGCGAGGAGGGATAAAGGTCCACAGATGCCTAAGCCAAAGGAGGGTAGGCAGGAAGCTCTTCCAGATACTCAGGTACACTCTAAAGGTGCTGTTGTTGTCTTAAGCAGTATGGTGACAGTGAACCAACAGACAACTCAGCATGGAGAGGGGAGATCCCTGGTTAGAGGGAAATTTCATCTATGATAAAAGGTGCATCACAAGTCAGTGGGAAAGAGTTGCTGTTCTTGTTGGAAAAACTCTTACTATATGGAGAAAAACAATGTGATCCCTTATAAGATGGATGCTCAGATGATGGATTAAAGAATCATACATTGATTCTTTTTTCATTCTTATACTTTAAGTTCTAGGGTACGTGTGCACAACGTGCAGGCTTGTTACATACGTATACATGTGCCATGTTGGTTTGGTGCACCCATCAACTCATCATTTATATTAGATATTTCTCCTAATGCTATCCCTCCCCCAGCCCTCCACCCACCGACAGGCCCTGGTGTGTGATGTTCCCTGCCCTGGGTCCATGTGTTCTCATTGTTCAATTCCCACCTATGGGTGAGAACATGGGGTGTTTGGTTTTCTGTGTTTGTGATAGTTTGCTGAGAATCATGGTTTCCAGCTTCATCCACGTCCCTGAAAAGGACATGAACTCATTCTTTATAATGGCTGCATAGTATTCCATGGTGTATATGTGCCACATTTTCTTAATCTAGTCTATCACTGATGGACGTTCGGGTTGGTTCCAAGTCTTTGCTATTGTGAACAGTGCCGCAGTAAACATACGTGTGCACGTGTCTTTATAGTAGCATGATTTATTATAATCCTTTAGTTATATACCCAGTAACGGGATGGCTGTGTCAAATGGTATTTCTAGTTCTAGATCCTGAGAAATTACCACACTGTCTTCCACAATGGGTGAACTAATTTACACTCCTACCAACAGTGTAAAAGTGTTCCTATTTCTCCACATCCTCTCCAGCATCTGTTGTTTCCTGACTTTTGAATGATCGCCATTCTAACTGGCGTGATATGGTATCTCATTGAGGATTTGATTTGCATTTCTCTGATGACCAGTGATGATGAGCATTTTTTCATGTGTCTGTTGGCTGCATAAATGTCTTCTTTTGAGAAGTGTCTGTTCATATCCTTCACCCACTTTTTGGTGGGGTTGTTCGTTTCTTTCTTGTAAATTTGTTTAAGTTCTTTGTAGATTCTGGATATCAGCCCTTTGTCAGATGGGTAGATTGTAAAAATTTTTTCTCATTTTGTAGGTTGCCTGTTCACTCTGATGATAGTTTATTTTGCTGTGCAGAAGCTCTTTAGTTTAATTAGATCCCATTTGTCAATTTTGGCTTTTGTTGCCATTGCTTTTGGTGTTTTAGTCATGAAGTCCTTGCCCATGCCTATGTCCTGAATGATATTGCCTAGGTATTCTTCTAGGGTTTTAATGGTTTTAGGTCTTACATTTAAGTCTTCACTCCATCTTGAGTTAATTTTTGTATAAGGTGTAAGGAAGGGATCCAGTTTCAGCTTTCTACATATGGCTAGCCAGTTTTCCCAGCACCATTTATTAAATAGGGAATCCTTTCCTCATTTCTTGTATTTGTCAAGTTTGTCAAAGATCAGATGGTTTTAGATGTGTGGTTATTTCTGAGGCCTCCATTCTGTTCCATTGGTCTATGTGTCTGTTTTGGTACCACTACCATGCTGTTTTGGTTACTGTAGCCTTGTAGTATAGTTTGAAGTCAGGTAGTGTGATGCCTCCAGCTTTGTTCTTTTTGCTTAGGATTGTCTTGGCTGTGTGGGCTCTTTTTTGGTTCCATATGAACTTTAAAGTAGTTTTTTCCAATCCTGTGAAGAAAGTCATTGGTAGCTTGATGGGGAGGGCATTGAATCTATAAATTACCTTGGGCATTATGGCCATTTTCACGATATTGATTCTTCCTATCCATGAGCATGGAATGTTCTTCCATGTGTTTGTGTCCTCTTTTATTTCGTTGAGCAGAGGTTTGTAGTTCTCCTTGAAGAGGTCCTTCACATCCCTTGTAAGTTGGATTCCCAGGTATTTTATTCCGTTTGTAGCAATTGTGAATGGGAGTTCACTCATGATTTGGCACTCTGTTTGTCTGTTATTGGTGTATAGGAATGCTTGTGATTTTTGCACATTGATTTTGTATCCTGAGATTTTGCTGAAGTTGCTTATCAGCTTAAGGAGATTTTGGGCTGAGACGATGGGGTTTTCTAGATATGCAATCATGTCATCTGCAAACAGGGACAATTTGACTTCCTCTTTTCCTTATTGAATACTCTTTATTTCTTTCTGTTGCCTGATTGCCTTGGCCAGAACTTCCAACACTATGTTGAATAGGAGTGGTGAGAGAGGGCATCCTTCTCTTGTGCCGGTTTTCAAAGGGAATGCTTCCAGTTTTTGCCCATTTAGTATGGTATTGGCTGTGGGTTTGTCATAAATAGCTCTTATTATTTTGAGATACATTCCATCAATACCTAGTTTATTGAGAGTTTTTAGCATGCAGGGCTGTTGAATTTTGTCAAAAGCCCTCTTCTGCATCTATTGAGATAATCATGTGGTTTTTGTTGTTGGTTCTGTTTATGTGATGGATTACGTTTATTGATTTGTGTATGTTGAACCAGCCTGGCATCCCAGGGATGAAGCCAACTTGATCGTGCTGGATAAACTTTTTGATTCAGTTTGCCTGGATTCCGTTTGCCAGTATTTTATTGAGGATTTTTGCATCGATGTTCATCAGGGATATTGGTCTAAAATTCAATTTTTTTTGTCGTGTCTCTGCCAGGCTTCGGTATCAGGATGATGCTGGCCTCATAAAATGAGTTAGGGAGGATTCTCTCTTTTTCTATTGCTTGGAATAGTTTCAGAAGGAATGGTACCAGCTCCTCTTTGTACCTCTGGTAGAATTCAGCTGTGAATTCATCTGCTCCTGGACTTTTTTTGGTTTGTAGGCTATTAATTATTGCCTCAATTTCACAACCTGTTATTGGTCTATTCAGAGATTCAACTTCTTCCTGGTTTAGTCTTGGGAAGGTGTATGTGTCCAGGAATTTATCCATTTCTTCTAGATTTTCTAGTTTATTTGCATAGAGGTGTTTATAATATTCTCTGATGGTAGTTTGTATTTCTGTGGGATTGGTGGTGATATCCCCTCTATCATTTTTTATTGTGTCTATTTGATTCTTCTCTCTTTTCTTCTTTATTAGTCTTGCTAGTGGTCTATTTTGTCGATCTTCTCAAAAAACCAGCTCCTAGTTTCATTGATTTCTGGAAGGGGTTTTTGTGTCTCTATCTCCTTCAGTTCTGCTCTGATCTTAGTTATTTGTTGTCTTCTGCTAGCTTTTGAATGTGTTTGCTCTTGCTTCTCTAGTTATTTTAATTGTGATGCTAGGGTGTCAATTTTAGATCTTTCCTGCTTTCTTTTGTGGGCATTTAGTGCTATAAATTTCCCTCTACACAGTCCTTTAAATGTGTCCCAGAGATTCTGGTAATCGTGTCTTTGTTCTTATTGGTTTCAAAGAACATCTTTATTTCTGCCTTCATTTTATTATTTGCCCAGTAGTCATTCAGGAGCAGGTTGTTCAGTTTCCATGTAGTTGTATGGCTTTGAGTGAGTTTCTTAATCCTGAGTTCTAATTTGATTGCACTGTGGTCTGAGAGACAGTTTGTTGTGCTTTCTGTTCTTTTACATTTGCTGAGGTGTGTTTTACTTCCAATTATGTGGTCAATTTTAGAATAAGTGTGATGTGGTGCTGAGAAGAATGTATATTCTGTTGATTTGGGGTGGAGAGTTCTGTAGATGGCTATTAGTTCCACTTGGTGCAGAGCTGAGTTCAAGTCCTGGATATCCTTGTTAACCTTCTGTCTCATTGATCTGCCTAATGTTGATAGTGGGGTGTTAAAGTCTCCAGTTATTATTGTGTGGGAGTCTAAGTCTCTTTGTAAGTCTCTAAGGACTTGCTTTATGAATCTGGGTGCTCCTGTATTGGGTGCCTGTGTATTTCGGATAGTTAGCTCTTCTTGTTGAATTGATCCCTTTACACATTATGTAATGGCCTTCTTTGTCTCTTTTGATTTTTGTTGGTTTAAAGTCTGTTTTATCAGAGATTAGGATTGCAACCCCTGCTTTTTTTCCCTTTCCATTTGCTTGGTAGATCTTCCTCCATCCCTTTATTTTGAGCCTATGTGTGTCTCTGCACGTGCGATGGGTCTCCTGAATACAGCACAATGATGGGTCTTGACTCTTTATCCAATTTGCCAGTCTGTGTCTTTTAATTGGAGCATTTAGCCCATTTACATTTAAGGTTAATATTGTTATGTGTGAATTTGATCCTGACATTATGATGTAAGCTGGCTATTTTGCCCATTAATTGATGCAGTTTCTTCATAGCATCAATGGTCTTTATAATTTGGCATGTTTTTGCAGTGGCTGGTACTGGTTGTTCCCTTCCATGTTTAATGCTTCCTTCAGGAGCTCTTGTAAGGCAGGCTTGGTGGTGACAAAATCTCTCAGCATTTGCTTGTCTGTAAAGGATTTTATTTCTCCTTCACTTAAGAAGCTTAGTTTGGCTGGATATGAAATTCTGGCTTGAAAATTCTTTTAAGAATGTTGAATATTGGCCCCTATTCTCTTCTGGCTTGTAGAGTTTCTGCTGAGAGATCCGCTGTTAGTCTGATGGGCTTCCCTTTGTGGGTAACCCGACCTTTCTCTCTGGCTGCCCTTAATATTTTTTCCTTCATTTCAACCTTGGTGAATCTGACAATTATGAGTCTTGGGGTTGTTCTTCCCAAGGAGTGTCTTTGTGGTGTTCTTTGTGTTTCCTGAATTTGAATGTTGGCCTGCCTTGCTAGGTTGGGGAAGTTCTCCTGGATAATATCCTGAAGAGTGTTTTCCAACTTGGTTCCATTCTCCCTGTCACTTTCAGGTACACCAATCAAATGTAGATTTGGTCTTTTCACATAGTCCCATATTTCTTGGAGGCTTTGTTCATTTCTTTTTAGTCTTTTTTCTCTAAACTCTTCTCACTTCATTTCATTCAACTCATCTTCAATCACTGATACCCTTTCTTCCACTTGATCGAATCGGCTACTGAAGCTTGTGCATGCGTCATGAAGTTCTCGTGCCCTGCTTTTCAGCTCCATCAAGTCATTTAAGATCTTCTCTACACTGTTTATTCTAGTTAGCCATTTGTCTAATCTTTTTTCAAGGTTTTTAGCTTCCTTGCAATGGGTTAGAATATTCTTTAGCTCAGAGAAGTTTGTTACTACTGACTTTCTGAAGCCTACTTCTGTCAACTCATTAAAGTCATTCTCTGTCCAGTTTTGTTCCGTTGCTGGTGAGCAGCTGCGATCCTTTGGAGAAGAGGCGCTCTGATTTTTGGAATTTTCAGCTTTCCTGCTCTGGTTTCTCTCCATGTTTGTTGTTTTATCTACCTTTGGTCTTTGATGTTGGTGACCTACAGATGGGGTTTTGGTGTGGATGTCCTTTTTGTTGATGTTGATGCTATTATTTTCTGCTTGTTAGTTTTCCTTCTAACAGTCAGGACCCTCAGCTGCAGGTCTTTTGGAGTTTGCTGGAGGTCCACTCCAGACCTGTTTGCCTGGGTATCACAAGGGGAGGCTGTAGAACAGCAAATATTGCTGCCTGATCCTTCCTCTGGAAGCATCATCCCAGAGCGGCACCTGCCTGTGTGAGGTGTCTGTTGGCTCCTACTGGGAGGTGTCTCCCAGTCAGGCTACACAGCGGTCAGGGACCCACTTGAGGAGGTAGTCTGTCTGTTCTCAGAGCTCGAACGCCATGCTGGGAGAACCACTGCTCTCTTCCGAGCTGTCAGACAGGGACGTTTTAAGTCTGCAGAAGTTGTCTGATGCCTTTTGTTCAGCTATGCCCTGCCCACAGAGGTTGAGTCTATAAAGGTAGTAGGCCTTGCTGAGCTGCAGTGGGCTCCACCCAGTTCAAGCTTCCTGGCAGCTTTGTTTACCTACTCAAGCCTCAGCAATGGCAGACGCCCCTCCACCACCTCCCACAAGGCTGCCACCTCGCAGGTCGATCTCAGACTGCCGCGCTAGCAGAGAGCAAAGGACCATGGGCATGGGACTCACTGAGCCAGGCACGGGAGGGAATTTTCTGGTCTGCTGGTTGCTAAGACCATGGGAAAAGTGCAGTATTTGGGCAGAAGTGTACCGTTTTTCCAGGTACAGTCTGTCACGGCTTCCCTTGGCTAGGAAAGGGAAATCCCCTGACCTCTTGCACTTCCCAGGTGAGGCAATGCCCCGCCCTGCTTCGGCTCACCCTCCATGGGCTGCATCCACTGTCCAACCAGTCCCAGTGAGATGAACCAGGAACCTCAGTTGGAAATGCAGAAATCACCCATCTTCTGTGTCAATCTCACTGGAAGCTGCAGAACGGAGCTGTTCCTACTTGGCCATCTTGGAAGTGACTAATTGATTCTTTAATCCGTAATCTGAGCATCCACCTTATATGGGATTGCTTTTCACGATGACCACCATGAATAGCCAGATTATAACATGTTAGAAAACAAAACACACAGGGGAACTTACCAAAAGGAGTAGAAGATTTCTTAGACAAAATTTCAAAGCAGAAACCATAAGGCAGAAAAAGTGGAGGGGATTTCATGATGTTACAATCAAATAGATCTGTTGCAAGTGACACATGGCAAAATGAGAGAAGTTATGTGCAGTCTAAAACTGACAAGAGATTAGTGGCCTCAATATACGAGGAACTCCTGAAAATTAACAAGAAAAATAAATAGACAAAGGACACGAGCAGGCAGTTTTTGGGAGAGGAAACCCCAAAAGCCAGGAAGCATATGAGGAAGTGGCTAAGATCATTAGTACAGAAATACACATTCTAACAATAAGATATATGAGGAAATAGTTCTCCAAAAAAGATACACAGATGGTCAATGAGCACAAGAAAAGGTGCTGAGAATCACCCAGAATAAGGGAAATGCAGATGAAAACTACAGTGAGATAGCACTTCATACCCACTAGAATAGCTACTGTCAAGAAAACCCGAAAATACCGAGTGTTGGTGAGGAGTGAGACATTAGACCCTTGTGCACTACCGGTGGGTATGTAAAATGGTGCCGCCACTGTGGACAACAACATGGCCATTCCTAAAAAAAAATTCAAATAGAATTACCGTATGACCAAGAATTTCCACTTCTGGACGTATTCCCAAAAGGATTGAAAGCAGGATGTTAAAGAGATATTGTATATCCAAGTTCATAGCAGCAGCATTCATAGGAACCAAAAAGTGGAAGCAAGTGTCCATTGATAGACGAATGCATGAACAAAATGTGGTCTATACATGCAATAAAATATGATTCAGCCTTAGAAAGGGAGAGAATCCTGTGATAGGCTACATCGTGGATGAACCTTGAGGGCATTATGCTAAGTGGAATAGCCAGTCACAAAAAGACAGTATTCCACTTACATGTGATACCTAGAATAATCAAATTCATAGAAACAGAAAATAGAATGATTGCCAAGGGCTGGGGCAAAAACGGAATGGGAAGTTAGTATCTAATTGGACACAGTGTTTCAGTTTCACAAAAGTAGAGTTCTTGAGATGGATGGTGGTAATGGTTGCACAACAATGTGAAAGTATTTGATACCACTAAAGTGTACAATTAACAGTGGTTAAGATGGGAAATTTTATGTTCTGTGTGCTTTACTACAATTTGAACCAGATACAACCTTATACATACATGGTAGGCAAAATTCTCAGCTGAACTCCAATAGGCAAGCACTTCTGTAATCCTCTCCTGGTAAATGTGCTTCTAATTAATAGATTCTAACAAAGGTGATGATGTGCCATATGGAAAAGGGGAAAAGAATTTGCCAATGTAATTAAAGTCCCTGATCAGTTGACTTTATGTTAATGAAAAAGGACATCATCCAGGGTGCATCTAATCAGGTGAGCCCTTTAAAAAAGGATGTAAAGGTATGAGACTATCTCTCCTGCTGACATTGAAGAAGCAAGTCTCCTTGAGTTCTACAACCACTCGGAGATGAATACTGCCAGCCACCTGAGGCAGCCTGGAATCAGATCTTTCTCCAGTGGAGCCTCTGATGAGAATGCAGCCTGGCCAACACCGGGTTACAGTCTGAGCAGAGCACCCAGCTAAGCCGAGCCCAGAATCCTGGCCCACAGAAAATGGGAGATGAAAAATAAATGGTGTTTTAAGCCACACAATTTGTGTTAACTTGTTCTGCAGCTGTAGAAAACTAATGCAATCTTTTAGGCAAAACTAATCTAGGAAGAGACAAGTATTGGAGCTGGGCACAGTGGCAGATGCCTGTCATCCCAGCTACTCAGGAGGCTGAGGTGAGAGGATCCCATGAGCCCAGGAGTTTGGGGCTGCAGTGAGCTATGATCGCACCTGTAAGTAGCCAGGGCAACAAGTGAGACCCTGCCTCAAAAAGAAAAAAAAAAAGAAGTCTTCATGTTGGGTGGGGAAGTGGGGAAGTTGATGAGGGCACTGCTTGTGGAGTATAGACCAGAGCCACCATTGTGGAGGGATTTTGATCAATAGTATGCATCCCTTACACCCCTGCTATTCCATTTCTAGGTAGAGATGTAAAAGAAATTGACACAGATTCGTCAAACATGCACACCAAGATGTTCACTGCAGAGTTCTTTGTGGTAGTGTGGGGATGGGGGCTGCGGGAGGCACCCTAGGGTTTCTATCCTGGGGAGAATGGAGAGACAAAATGGGAATGGTCCACACCATGGAGAATTATGCAGCCACAAGGAGAGATGAAAGGCACACATAGCCACATGGATGGGCCTGAACACAGGGCTGAGTTTAAAAAGGAAGAAGCAACATGGGAACCCAAACATTACCATTTGCAGACATTAAAAAACACATAAAGACTGTATCTCTTTTGAAAGAGCATTTTTAAAGCAGCACAGGAGGTGGGGGAATCTATGGGGAGCATGTTGCCCATGCAGGGGAAGGGAATGGGAGTGAGTGTGGAGATAAAAGAATAAATAAAACAAAAGTGGTTTTATTGGACCAACAATAATTCACTGAGTAGTTCAGCGCAACTTGAGGGTAAAATTAACGGCACCTGGATCTGGGGCAGCTGCAGAGGCAGCGACGTCCAGGCCTTTGTGCAGGGGGGCTAAGGTCACCCGTGCAGGTGGGGAAACAGTAAATGCCAATGAAGCAGGTGTGTGTGGTATAGAGCAAGCAAGAAAGGAGAGATTACTTTGGCCTAAGAGGGATATCTGCATTTATATTACTAATGAGTTTCCACTGTAAGCCACAGAAAGCCCGGCTCAAAGCGATTTTTTTTTTCTTTGCAAACAGAATTTATTGACTCAAGTGACTAAAATGTCCAGGCTGACTCCCTTGGGTGGGAAAGATGGTTGCCAGCAGGGCCAGGCGTATTCTCTCCAGCTAGGAAACCAGAATTGTGGACCTCCCTTTCTCAGAGGTTTCCACAAAAGCCCCAAGGCTGGTCCCCTTTGGTCAGAAAGAGTGACACGCCTGAACAAATCCCCAGGGCCAGGCCCGGGTCACATCGCCACCTGCAGACAGCAAGGGCTTCCAGCAGAGGCATGGCATGAGCACAAGCTCGTGGAGGGACGTCTTTGGGAACGAAGCTGGAAAAGCAGGAGGTGAGGTTCCATGGCTGCCAGCTCAGGCGTGACCTTCGCTGCCACTTACTCAACTTGGAGGCTGTTGGTGGATGGAGGAGAGCCCTGGAGCATTTCCTCCCAGAAAGGAAATGCCTCCAGAAGTGCCTCCCTCCAGGTCCTTCTCACTGCCAAAAAGTCCCTTTCCCAGAGAGGAAGGAGGCTCAAGGGCTCAGAGCGTTCTCAACACAAATGACTGTGGGGAGAGCCCTCGTGGGGGTCTGGGTCATTGCAAGAGGGAGCTCATGTGGATGCAAATCTATATAATCGGTTGCCAAAAAAGTACTGAGCCGGCCTGTTTTCATCCTGTACCAGGCGGCCTGCAGAGGACAGAATGTCCACGCTGTCTCTACAGAAATCCTTTCCGGCCAAGCCCCAGGGCCTGGGGGTTCTCCAGCACTTAACCACCAGCTTTCCTGCCCTGCCCGCACAGGAGCAGCCAGTGGGTGGCTGCCATTATTGTCTCCAGGGGCACTGGGGGCGATGCTGGGCTGGGTAGGGCTGTGTGGGGCTGAGGGCAGTGTGGGTTCTGAGGGTCAGGAAATGACCTTCCTTTATGCACTACCACAACACCTCCCACAAACCACTCCTCCTGCTGCCTGGGGTTTTGAACACAGTCCTGGCCTCTTTATGGCAGTGGCAGGCAGTGTGGTTTTGGAATGGCCAGCCTGCCACAGGAGGCAGAGCTCCCACTGTGCCAGGAGGCAGAGCTCCCACTGTGCCGGCAAACAATAAGCACTGTTGTTTTTCCCCAGAGTGGGGCTGCCCGGTACTGGTCTGTGCCTGTCTCTCTGGAGCAGGAAATCGAGCAGAGGGAAATGTGTGGATTGGTTAGAGTGCTGTCAGCTGCAAGGAACAGAAAACCCAACTCAAAGGGGCTTAAACAATCAAGATGTGTCTCCTGTGCCAAGCAGTGCAGAGGTAGGACAGCTCAGGGCTGGTTAGATCAGGGCCGCAGGAAGCCAACAGGGACCCAGGTTTATTCCACATTCCATGCTGCCCTCCTCTTCAGTGGGCCAGTCTGTTTTCAGGCCAGCTTCCCTCATAATCACAAGACAGCTGCCACAGTTCCAGGCATCACCTCCAGATATGACAACACCCAGCAAAAGAGACTCTCTTCTCCTGGATCCATCTTTTAAAGAGTAAGGGAACTTTTCCCAGAATTTCACCCAGCAGCTCTTCCATCATGTCTCACTGGCCAGAATTGCATCACAGACCTATCCTTAGCCAGTATTTGACAGAGGAAACAGGAAAGCCATGACTGGCTTGAAGGGCATGGACTACCCCAATAGCACAGGGTTTGGATGCTCCTGCAGATGCTCCAACAGCCTTCACCACACCAGGAGACAGAAGTTCTTCCCAGTTGGAGATCAGCTTTATTCACCATTGAGGATGTGATGTTTGGAGCTGTAGGGGCCATCTTGCAGCAATGGGGGGAAATTCAAGAACATCTCAGACTTGCTAACGCCATGCTTTGCCTTTACTGGGCCGTGAGACAATCCTGGGACCACATAGGTTTGTTACGTGAGTAAAATGAACTCCTGTTCAATGAGGCCTCCATTAGTTGAGTTTTCTTTACTTGCAGCCCAACTGACACAGAGTTCAGTTGTTCTGGGCAGTGGAGGGACAGGAAAGGCTCCAATGGCGGCCATTCTCCTTTGGGTTCCCATCCTCTGTGATGAGAAATCCTCGTAAAAATCACCCACCAGGACACTGAGATGGCCAAGTTTCTGCTGACCTTCCATGTGTCCTTGCAAACTTCAGAGGAAACTGGACCCTGGGCAAAATGATGAAATTAGAGAGTCCCTGAGCCCTTCTTCTCGCCAGAAAACTCCACCCATGACCCAAATTCCCAGAGGACATAGGAAATTATCAGTTATAATTGCAAATAATAAAGACTTAGAAACCTGACAAGAGGGTCTTAAGCAAACACGATTTGGGGTTTTTCTATTCCTTGAGTAATGAGAAGCCCAAAGGTCAGGATCCATGATGGTCCCACTGCTGGGGCTGTGGTGAGGCTATAGGGGACCAGGGTCCTTCCAGCTCCCTGTGTTGACATCCTCACCAGGTGCCTTCATCCTCAGGGTCACAAATACCTGCTGCTACACCTTCAGGCAGAACTTTGTGCCCCAGGGAGGAATATAGGGAAGGGGAAAGGTACAGTGAAGAGCCACCAGGCCCAACAGGAAAGCAGTAGCTGTCCTGGAAGCCCCACTCTGAAGATGCCTGTCATGGGCTGTACTGTGTTGTGTAACCACCTTTGGCTTTGAGGGAGAGGAAGGGGAGAATGGCTGTGGACTAGGTAGCTAGCTGCGTCGGCCACCAGGTGTGGAGTCCGGAAACCTGGGACTCAACCCAACACTGCTTCCTGCTGCCTTCAGTAACCCCAGGCAGCCCAGGTCATTGCTGCAGCCTCAGCAGCCTCTCCTGCCTGGCAGAAAGTGGGGGAAGAGAACTGCCTCCATGAGGGTTCCTGAAGGCCGGGTGCTCACTTGGCCTTCTCCCCATCTGGGGCAATGGGTCCTAGGGCAAGCATGGGAATGGGAAGTGTGGCTTATTCAAGGCTCTTCTGATGTCAAGTGATAGAAATTGATTCAACTCATCTATAGGGAAAAAGGGCGGGTGATAATTAATTTATTTCAGACCCAATGGGCAAGAGGAGCAGTCAGACCTCAGGAAGGACCTGACCTCAAGCTAGCAAGCCCTTGGAGACAGAGGCAGCCACTCCTTCTGGCTCCCCGGCCCCAGGGTTGCCTGCCTCTGCTGTTCTCCCCTCACCCACTATACCTTCTTTCCCTCTGGATGGAAAGGGGTTTCTCAGCCTCACAGCTTCTGCATTCCCGTGAACAATGGGCTGCCAGCCTCTCTGAATTCGTATTTCACATTCCTAGGAGAGACTGTCTGATGATCCAGCTCACCCTGATGTCTGTCTCTTGGCCAGTCAATCCAGCCATCGAGTTAGAGCAGTTCCCAGAAAAGAGGGGCTGGATGAGGCTGACCAGCACACTGCAAAATTGACTTCAGGGGAGGAAGAGAAGCAGAGGCAGGAGGGTCCTCTTGGAGATCTGGGGGAAAGAGAGACAGGGCATTCCTTTAGGACTTGTGCCTCAAAGACCAGTGGGAAGAGACAGCTGGGTGAGGACAGGCTTCAGGTACTCTCATGTGTCCAGATCAAATATGGCTTTAACCCCTCTCTAAGTCATCGCAAATCTTTATTTTGCAAAGAGCAGAAAATCCCATTCAAATGGCTTGGCTGAAAAAGGGAATGTGTGGACCCACCTAACTGAAAAGTCAGAGCCAGGAGGGACTCAGGCATGGTTCGATCCAGAGGTTCAACATTTACTTGCAATATTTTCTCTGCAAGTTTCATTTTGTTTCTGTTTCCAGTTCTCTACAAGTCATTCATCTCTATTTCTTTGTGAGACAGTTTCATTTGAGGCTGGCTTTCCCCCTGTGGCACAAGTGGCTGCTTTATGTCAGCATTTCAGTGAAGTCCTTAGATGGGCTCTGAGTGGCCCAGCTTTTGTCACATGCCCCCTCCTGAACAAATCAACTTCTGTTGGGAGGGAAGGTAGTTTGCCGATTGGCTTGGTCAAGTCACAGTCTCCCTTCTTCTCACCCCCTTCAAGAAGGAAATCGGCTTCTTTGGGCTCACACCATCCCCCAGCAGATCTCTGGACTATAATCAAGAACAGGGAGAAAATGAAGCAAGTGTTCCCACACCAGTCATTTCCAAGAGCTGGCCAGTTAGCACAGAACAAGAAAACACACGCACGGGGCACTGGCATGTGGGCAGCTGAAGAAGGGCCCTGAAGATGTACAAGTCCTAATTTCTGGAGCCCATGAATATGTTAGGTTACATGGCAAGGAGAAGTTAAGGGCCCAAATGGGATTACGGTCACTAATCAGCTGACCTCGATGTCAGGAGATTATCCTGAATTATTCAGGTGGGATGTGCAAGAGGGAGGTAGGCGAGTCCGCGTGAGGGTGCGCAGTGTGAGAAAGCCTCACAACAATTGCTGGCTTTGGAAATGGAAGGGGGCTGTGAGCCAGGGCATGTGGGCAGCTCAGAGAAGCACAGAAAGAGATTCTTCTCCACAGTCTCCAGAAAGGAACGCAGCCCCGATGACGCCTTTGCTGTAGCCCAGTGACACCCAGGTCAGAGTCTGACCTCCAGAACTGCAAAATAATAGATGTGTGTTGTTCTGAGCCACTGAGCTGGTGGTAATTTGTTACAGCAGCAGTGAGAAACAAAAACACGGCATTCCAAGAGCAGGACTCCGCATGGCAGGAGTGACAGAGTGGTGCCCAGTGCAACGGTGTGTGACAGAAATACAACATGCACTGCAATGGGGATCTTAAGTTTTCTAGTGGCCACATTAAGAAAGAAAAAGAGGCCGGGTGTGGTGGCTCATGCCTGTAATACCAGCAGTTTGAGAGGCTGAGGTGGGTGGATGGCTTGAGGTTGGGAGTTCGAGACCAGCCTGGCCAACATGGTGAAACCCTGTCTCCACTAAAAATACAAAAATTAGCCAGGAGTTATGGTGGGTGCCTGTAATCCCAGCTGCTCAGGAGGCGAGGCAGGAGAACACTTGAATCTGGGAGGCAGAGTTTGCAGTGAGCCAAGATCGCACCACTGCACGCCAGCCTAGGCAACAGAGCGAGACTCCATGTAAAAAAAAAAAAAAGAAAGAAAGAAAAAAAACAGGTAAAATTAATTTCAATAACATATTTTAACCCAATATATTCAAAATACTATCATTGCAATGTGTCATCAATATACAAAATATTGAGAAGGTGTTTCCCATTCTTTTTAATCCCCAGTTTTAGAATTCAGTGTATATTTTACACACAGCACATCTCAACATTTCTGAGCTCCTTTTCAGTGCTCATCAGGCACACATGGTTAGTGGCTGCTGCCCTGGACAGCACAGGCCTAGTGACTGTACTTTTGGTTGTAAGGGTGGCAGTGGCTGGCATGAACCAGAACAGGGGTTTGTTTGTGACAATGACAAGGAGACCGCTAACCCCTGCTGATCTGTGTGTCCAGTTTTATTTCTCTTTTTTCTAATTTTTTTATTTCCATACATACCCTGCTTGTATATCAAGCTCTTTTCTAATCAGGGATCCTCAAATGACAGGAGTTGACCTCTGATTGTGTTTGTGCATTTCAAAGCCCAGAGCTGTGACCTCAGCCACGGTGGGCAGGATGGGTGCTGGAGAAGGGCATTAAGGCTCCCAGCTTTGTGGGGGAAATGGCATCTTCTTGAGTGAGTGGGGAAGTGCAAATAGAATATGCACAAGCTAGGAAGGACATTTTTAAAGCCTGTGCTTCGAACATTCTTCCTCTAAAGGATCAGGTGAGCTGGCTCAGAGCAGGGAGCCAACCGCCGAGCCAGGGTGAGAGGGCTTTGTATTTGGAGAGTGAAAAGAATACGGTTGTTTAGGCTTTGGACTCAGAGCATCAGAAACTCAGGAGAAATGAGATCAGCTGAAAAAGAAATGGGTTTGATGTTGTAGACCAAACATGAACAGTGGGGAACAGGCTGAAAAACGAGGGGGGAACAGTCAGCAGCTTCCACGGCTTCTCCCAAATGGAGGGAAGTGGGGCCAGCTCAGGGGACAGGCTGGAGGCTTATGACGGAAAGATGGTGGGGTCCAGGTGTGGCAGGACAGGAGGCAAAGCTGGGGGCTGCTATGGGACAGAGGGGGCAGAGGGAAAGTTGTGCTGCTAATGGGGTCACAAGAGTCACTTATGGCCTGGGGCCTTCAAGAACCAAGGGAAGCCCTCCCAGAGCCCAGCACCACCACAAGCAATGCTCACGGCTCCAGCCAGCAAGACTTGGGGTAGCAGCCCCCAGCCTCTCTCCCCATATTGGGGACAAAAGAGAACTGGAGAAGCCAGAGAGAGGGAGCTGGCCAAGCATTTCCGGAGGGCACAGCCCAGGCCTCCACCATCCTCTCCCCATGTGTGCTCAACCCTTAAACACTTTGCTAAGCATTACAGGTCAGGCCCCTCCCCTGTGTGTTCAACCCTTTAACACTTTGCTAAGCATTACAGGAGTTCTTCTGCTAGAAGTGGCCAATCAAATGTCCCTGGGCTTGGCTCTTGGTCCATGGCAACATTCCTTGCTTTTGGAGAGGGTGTGGGGTCCAGGAGCTAAGTGTACCCTTCAGCCAAGTCATATATCCTCTCACTCAACCTCACAATAATCATTCCAGGTGGTATCATTCTTACCCATTTTACAAAGGTGAGGTTGACCCTGTGTAATAGTCAGGGTAGGCTTGGTTACGCTGCTGTAACACACAGCTCTAAACATCTCATAACTTAACACAGTAGTTTACCTCTCACTCCCACTCATGGGGGCTGGCGAGGGAATCTGCTCCATGCAGGTCGCTCAGGGATTCAGGCTGATTGAGGCTCTGCTGTCTGGAACAGTGGCCTCTGCCAACTCCCTGGCAGGGGAAGACACAGATGGAGGTGCGTACTGGCTTCTTTAGAATTTGGCATGATCCTGCCTAACTAGAAAGGTGCTGAGTAGTCTGAGGAACATCTGGGCTGTCTGAGGATCCCCTAGTCCCCTAGATTGGGAAGTGGGAGCGAGGCTTAACTGAAGCGTGTCTAATGTCAAAGTCCTTGCTGTCAGCCCCGCCTTATGCAGCTTCCCCCCTAAACCACTGTGAAAACGTGTGAGCTCTGTGGTAATGTGCCAATTCCAGGGGTGTCAACACCATGACCCCCAGATATTCTCATACACTGCCTCCTTAGCCCATCCCAGGCAAAGAGGGCTCTGCAAACCAGGGACCCTGCGAGGCCAGGGGACAGTGGGATTATACTGCCCCATCCCCTCTGGCCTGCCTCCCGCCCTTCCAGCCTGCTCACTGTGTCCCTGCTGAGTCCCATGACTCTCAGCTGCCCTCAGGATCCTGCCTCCGAAGAGTCCTTTCCTTCCTGTGGAATCTGGAGCCTGGTCCTCCTTCTCCAAGGCAGCACCTGCCAGGTTCCTCACTGGCAGCAAGCAGCCTTGCTAACAGCCTTGCTAATCCGTTAATTACCTGCTTCTAGCAGAAGAGCTGTTAATTGAAAACTCCACCCCCTCCTTTAATTGCCTGCCTGCCTCTGGCTGTCTAGGCTTCCCTGGGTTCCCTCCAGGCCCGCAGCCCTTGGTTCTCTGCCTTTGGGCTCCTGACTTCTTCCTGGTCAATAAGGGTGTCTGTGGCTGTCTCTGCAGTGCTCATTACTGGGGTTGCCAGGTGAGAATCCGGGGCTACACTCCCTAGCCTGCAGCTAACAGCCTCTCTCCTGCCTGGCCCACTGTGGGAGGAAGGAAAGCATTTAATGCAATTTGCCCCAGAAATTAAGGGGGAGATAACAGGCCAGTGGGAGGATTCCACAGGGTAGCAGATTTTACTGAAACCAAAGGCTGAACTTCTCCAGGTCAGAGCTAGCCAGAGGGGCCGGCCACCCAGAGGGGCTGCACCACTTCCTGGAAGGGTCCACCCTGACTCTAAGTCTCAGCCCTGCCCGGAGGATTTTCTGACCTCAGTCCTTTGAGTCTGGACACACGAGGGCTCAAGGTGGCCCCGACCTTAATCACCACTTCCCTCCCAGATACATCACCAGATTCTCCAGGCACAGTTAGAATTTGGCAATATTGACAATCTGAAGAGTGAAAAAGAAGTGAATTTCAGAAAAATGAGGTCAATATCCCATTTTCCAATATAACTGTATGAATATTGTATACATATATGTTGATAAACACCTTTTTTAAAAGGTCTGATACAAACCCCACCAAACTCTTACTAAGAGTGGCTACTTCTGGAGAGTGGGAGAGGAGAGGGAGAGGGAGGACTCACAGTGGATCTTCACTGTTTGGATTATTTCACTAGAAAGGGAGCAGGCGAGCATTAGTCCTCAAAGGCCCTATGATCTTGAACAAGGCACCTGGCCACTCTGAGCCTCAGTGCCTCATCTGTAAGAGGGAGGCTTCTCCCATGTCCCCTTTTACTCTGGATTAGGACGCGTGGTTGAGTGCAACCTAAACCAACCCAAGCTTGTCTAAGAAAAGGGGAAGAGTTTCCCGGGACACAAGGATTTTTATGCATCCAGACCTTAGGCAGCGGAGAGAATCCTGGGGAGGGCTCTGCACGTCTCCTTACTGTGTGCCTGCTTCCTGTAAGGTCCTCTGAATGGGCTGCACCATGGTCAAGCCATTATGACCCCTGTGACCCACACGTACAGGCCTCCTGGAGTCACAAAGCCTGGAGCACTAGGAGAACCACTAAAGAAGAAGAAACAGCTAGTTCCTGCCTTAACTGATGAACTGACCTTGCAGCATTGCACCATTGTGATATGTTCCTGCCCCAACTAATCCATCCACCTTGTGATGTTGTGCCTTGTGACCTCCCCCACCTCGTGACTATGCACCTTGTGAAATTCTTCCCCTGCCCGAAAAAACTGCCCCTAACTGTAGCTTTCCACTACCTACTCCAAGCCTATAAAACTAACTCCACTCCCACAACCCTCCACTGACTTTCTTTTCGGACTCAGCCCACTTGCATCTGAGTGGATAAACAGCCTGTTGCTCACACTTAGCCTGTTCAGGGCATCTCAAAACACAGCAGCCAGGTTTACACCTTATGGGCCCAGCCCTCTAGAGAGTTGCAGGTCCTATTTCTAAAGTCCTGGGCAGGGATCTTACTGACTAGCTTGGTGACTGCATCGAGGCTGATAGGCTGGGTTATGTAGGTAACAAGTAGCCCACTGTTTCAATGGATGAAAATAGCGAAGTTTATTTCTGACATATGCAGTATGACCACTGAGTCAGCAGGAGGGCTCTGGGCATCACAGTCACTGGGTGACCCAGTCTGACAGAGTTTCATCTCAACAGGAGTGTCCAGGATCTCAGAGACAGGAATAGAGAACATGCTGGCCCACACAAGGGCTCCTAAGGCTTCTGTCTGAAAGTGACATTCCACCCACTTCCACCCACATTTTGTTGGTAAGAGCAACTCACATGGCCATGCTTGAATTGAAGTGGATGGAGAAGTCAACTCCTACCATGGGCCTGGCATAAAGGAGACTTGAACATCTGTGAACAGCCCGGATGACTACCATAATGACACCTCACCAAGAGCCCCTGCCCACTCCATTTCACCTGGCCCATCGCTGCAGGACTTCCCACTGTGCAGGTGAATGCTGCCAGGGAAGGAGGGAGAGAGTCCATGGAGGGTTCAGTTTCTAGCTGTTGCTATCTGGCTCCTTTTCTGTGGCAATAAATAGGTAAACATTGTCATGGCAGAGATGTAGAAGTCCCGCAGGAGGCGCCCTGTGAATCCCAGAGAGTTGCCGAGCCCAGCCTCTGGGCCTCAGAGTCACAGGAGGGAAGATGTCTTCCCAGCTCAACCCTTCCCCTCCTCCAGCAGGAAAGTTGCACTTTTGAGAGTGAAGGCCGGGTGGGGGTGAGGTGGGAGTGTGGCACCTTTGGCATTTTCTGCCTGAACAAAACTGCGGCCCCTGTCTGCCTTGGTGGCTGTCCCTGGCTTTGCTTTCAGAGACATCACCTCTCTGGGTCATTTTGGAGGAAGATGTGCCTCGGGATCTGGGTTTCGAGCTCTGGCTCTGTCGCTAACGGGCTGGCTCTGTGACCTAGGCAGGTCAATGAACCCCTCCAGAGCCTCCGTTTCCTCATCTGTAAACTGGGTTATCATAATGTCTGCCTCCCTAGCGAGCTCTCTGGATTCTCGTGAGGACCGGCTGTTATGGGGGGCATCACGGCTCTTTGTCCAGGTGACACGTGGGAAATATGAGGGCTTATCTTTGTGCTGCTGTGGCCTTCTTGGGATTCTCCCTGAGGACTGGCCCTGCCCTGCCTTGCTCTTGCCCCTGGGAACGGCCCACCCTGTCTCCTGCCTCCCCACCCAGACGGGAAGCAGTCACTCTGCCAGCTCTCAAGGACTCATCTCTGAGGTTTTAGACAGAATAATTTCCTCTCCCTCTCACGCCTGCCTGTCCGGGAAAATCACACAACCCACGCAGGACCCCCCCTACGTGCACCCACATGCCCCACAGCCATTGTCTCCTGCACCAGCCAGCAGAAAAGCAGAGTGGGGCATGGGAGGAGGATGCGGAGGCTGCAGGAAGGGGGGGTGACACCCCCAACCCTGAGGGTCTCCTGGTGTCAGGCCAAGAGCTGACATGGACATGGGGAGACAGGAGCCAGGCTCCTTCCAGATCCTCCCACAACCTGGGTTTCAGCCACCCTCAGCCACCCTGCCAAGGCCGCAGGCGCTGCACAAGGCCACAGGCAAATGTCCGGCTGAGGACTGAGGTAGGGGCTGGATCCCACAGCCCATTGGTAACAGAGACTGGATGAGAACGCCCGAGTCCAGTGCTCTTTCTGCACTGCTTCCCAGAACTTCCTGCCACTAGGGACCTGCAGCCAGAAAAGACAGGGCAGGAGGTACAGAGAGAGCAGAGAGAGCCTGCTCCAAGGGAGAGCCTCGGGACACAGGGAGTCTCATTCCTCCCTCCCAGCACGGGCTACGCCCATGCCACTCAGGCCTGAGCCACAGGGCACTGCCTAGCCCTGCTTGGGCCGGGGCTCACCAGCCCTTACAGACAGCAGGCCCCGCCTCCAAGACACTACCCCATGGCAGGGGAAAGCCTTGGGGTCCCCATAAAATGCAGGCATCGCCAGACAGAGAATAGGTCTGTCCTATTCCCAGGATGGGAAGATTTACTTAGGGAGGGGCCACCCTGGATACCCTGCCCTCCAGTAGCAGCCAGGTTCCGGAAGATCCCATGAGGGGCCAGTGTGGACCCCTCCCCTTCAACCATCCAGGCCTGCAGGTCTGGGGCTAATGGTGGGGAAAGGGGGCTCCAGCAGCTGAGGAGGGGCAGAGCCAGTGGATGGAGGCAGAAGGCGGGCAAATCTCAGGCACATTTTCTGCAGTGATAAAGACCTTTTGCTCAGCAGCTAGCTTCCACGGCACTTCTCCCCCACATGACACCACGTCAGGGCCCACAGGAGAAAGTCCGGAGTAGGCTGAGGCACTGGGTCCCCTCCCTTCTCCCAAACACACCTGCCTACAGGGGGCACTGCCCCCTCTCAGAGACTGGGGGTGGAAGCTTAGCTGCAGGGGGCGGGATGGCTCCAGGAGAGGAGAGCCATCCAAGAGAAGGCCAGGGCTCTGGGAGAAGAGGGGGTCCTACTGCCCTCCCGGAACAGGGCTCCTGGCTCCGTGAAGCCATCTCCACAACTCCCACAGCTGCCTCCTCCTGCCCCTCCTCAAACTCCCACAGCCACCTCCAGCTCCTGCACCGTGAGGTCTGCTCCACGACCGCAGGAGCCAGACAGAGGCCGGGGTAGCCTCAGGCAGACAGACACTTTTGTGGGTGTTCACCCAGAGCTAGACCTCAGGGAAAACAGGGGTGGCCTGGGGGCTGAGAATTCGGCAGTCCCAGCACATCCAGGACCATAAATACGCCATGCCCTTTGACCCGCTAACCCCACTGTTTGGAATTCCTCCCAAAAACATAATTGCAAAGGGAAAAATAGCTATATGTGCACAGCTGTTTATAGCAACACTATTTATCATAGTAAACAAGTCAAGTCAGCCAAAATACTTTGCAAGTTGTGGGAGGGGGAACTGTGGGTCAATAAGGTGGGATATTTATTATACGTACAAGAAAAATGGTAAACTTGTAAAATTACTCATACAATAATGTTAACAGCAGTGAGAAGACAAACTTGCACATATCTGTTCAGGCAGCAGTCAATGACTGAGCACCCCGTCTGGGCTACACAGCTGCTCCAGGTGCCAGAGAGATCCCCATGAACAGGACCAAGTCCACGCCCTCGTGGAGGGAACATTCCAGAAGTGCACCATAGGGTCAAAGGTAAATTAAAACCACAGGCAAGTACTTCCCCAAGGCAGGGAGATGGACAGAACCGAGTGTTGTCCACTGCGGGGTCCATCCTTCCTGGGCTGGTGGGTCACCAGGGAGTGGCCCCACAGAGGTCTGCAGTCTCCTAAGGCAGGAGCCAGACCCAGGATCAAAGCGAGGGGCACCTGGCCAAGGGCAGTGGGTCCTGCCAGACCACAGGGTCTTCTCCCCACAGGAGGGAAATTTGTCAGGCTGCTTTTAGGAATCCCATGAACCTTTGGAGTTTGTGCATGAACCAGGGGAGGAGCAGTCCCCGAGACTATGAGCTGAGTTTTCTACTAACCTAACAAGCTAGGAAGGGTCACAACTGAGGGGCTGGGGATCCATCCTGCCTCCAGCATGGCCAGATCTGCAAGCAGGAGATGTCGTATGGTGGCCTGGGAGGTGAAGGGGTCTGAGTCAGAGGTAAAGGTGTAATCTGAAGGTGGACTGGCCCCCATCCTGCCGGCTCCCTGTGGTCCAGAGAGTTGGAGAAAGCCCCTTGGACCAGAGCCTTCCCACACTTGGTCCTGTGTCGGGTAGGAGATTTGCAGGAGGCCATTTCTGCTGTTCCAGAGCCCAGATGTACTTCCCTGGGGTGCTGGGAGCCAAGGCATGGAACTGCAGTCGCCTCCCAAGTTCAGGGCCCTGGGTGGAGCTGCTGGCTGCAGCCAGGGCCAGGGAGCAGAGATGCCCCTCTGCCACCCTGCCCCACCCCAGGCAATGAAGAAACTCCAAGCTCTGGGTCCGTGGGAGGCACCAGGCAAACAGAGGAGTCAGCAAGCTAAACATGCTATTAGCAGCGATGGAGAAGTGATGATTCTCTGCACAGCTGTCAGAAGCAGCTCCCCGCCGCCTGGCACCAGCACCTGGGGAGGGGCCTCCGCTCATCGGCCTTCACAGAGATGCCCCAGGCTGGGAAAGAAAGACCAGCAGGCCGGACATTCTGTGCCACCACTCCCTCGTCCTTAGCTGCAGGGATCTTGCCCTTCATCCAGAGACTGAGACCTGGAAGCGAGGCCCACCTCTGCACCTGCCCCCATAGCTGGGCCTTCGTTCCTCAAACTGTAAGCTGGGCATGAAAGTAATACCACCTTTTGTGGCAGAATTGTTGGGAGGGACCAGTGAGATATTTTGTCTGAAGCACCTTGCAAATGGTAAAGGGCTATGGGGTCACTGCTGTTACAATTCTTCTATCAAAAATCTAATCTTCAGGGCTTTCACTGTTTCATTCACACAGAATGAAATTGAGGCTCAAGAGGTTACACGATTTGACCAAGTCACACAACTGCAAACAAGTAGGTGTCAGTTTCCAGGATCGAAGCCAGGAGGAAGCTCAAAGAGCATCCAGCCCCCATGCTGTAAAAGGGATTCAAGGCCCAGAACCAGAAGGTGATTAGCCTTGCAGCAGGACAGAGGGCAGACAGCACCGAAGCCCAGCTCTGCTCACTCTGCTGGGAGCACTTCCCAGGCCACTGTGGATCTGGGCCTTGTCCTCAGCTTGGGGTGGCTGCAGGAGCATCCTGAGGAATGAACCCATGCCAGAGCACTGAAGATGCCCCCACCGCCCCCGCTGCAGACTCCTCACCCAGGTCTCTTCATCTCAAAGGGGCTGTCATAGAGGCCCAGGGCTGTGACCTGGAGGAACACACTCCACCTTCCTGACATCCAGCCCGTCTATCATTCTAATAGTGGAAAGGTGGGTTCCAGAGCCTGCTCAAGACACAGTGTGCAGAGCAGGGAAGGAGCCTGCCCAGGCACAAGGCAGGGGCCCCTCTCAAAGCCTCATGCGCTGCCTGGGGCCCTTGACAACCTGAGGCCTTCCAGGATGCTTTGAATTCAGTCTTCTTGGCCCTGCTGCTGCCCCACTTGACAGAAGAGAGATGGATGGGGAGGTGAGAGGCACTGCCCGCCTAACCACCCACCACCTGTCACTTCTGCCTTTTGAAATCACTTTCGTGGGCAGAGGCAGGGATGCTGATCACACCATGTGGGAGGGACTTGGAGGGTGGGGCGGTGACTCACAGGACAGTGGGGGATAGGAAGCAGCTCCAGAGCCTCCCTGGTAGTGAAAGGGAAGGGCGCTAGTGACTCAGGGACAGCTGGGGAGGGGTGCATGGGGAGGGAGCTCATTCCCCCCAGCTCTGTGCCCTGCATGCCTGGGGGGTGACCTCCTGTGGTGGGCCCCGATCTTGCCCCTGTGGGGCAGTCTTTGCCCTCAGCTTGCTTCCCAGCAGTAGCCAGGCACCCAGTAGCTGCATGGTGAGTGAATTCCAATCTTGCCCGCTGCCGGCCAGCTGTGCAGACCTTCGGCAGGCTGAGTGCTCCTCTGCCCTCACATCTAGGCCTGTAGATGGAAGCAGAGCCCGACTCATAGAGCCAATTGCCCATCCTGCAGCTGTGAATGTTGCAGCTTCCAGCAGGTTCTTGCTGCAGACTTACTGAGAGGACTGAGGGCTGTGGCAGGCCACCCCAGCCTGCTGGGCACCCCCTTCAGGATGGCCCCAACAAATAGTAAATAAATGCCCCACTCCCAGGCCTGCTTGCTTCCGGTGCTCCTTTCACCCCTGCCCTGCACTGAGCCCCCTGACTATGGCTCCCTGATTCGTTCTCAGCAACACCCGGTGTCCCCAGAACGCTACACACTGGGCCCTGGTGGGGCACAAGGGAAACAGCACATCTCAGACTGGGGTTTTCAAACCCAAAGAGAGTCTCCCACCTAGACAGAGGCAGAAGAGAGGCAGGCTCACGTGGTTGAACTGTGTCCCCTGTGCCCATAACACTCAGCCCATCCCCTACCACCTCCTCCCCGGCCACCTTCCCTGACATCGAGCCCATCCATCACCAAAGTCTCCCCAGAGCCCAACTACTGTCATCCCAAGCCCTGCCTCAGTCAGGCCACTGCCCCCTTCACTTTCTATCCAGGAGACCCAGCCAGCCAGTGAGCTCTGTCCTGAGATGGAAATGCGGCCACAGGAAGGAGAGCAGGAGGAGAGCAGGAGGAGAGCAGGGGCCCAGGCTTCTTCCCTTCCTCATTACCTGTCCATCCATTGGTTCATCTGTCTGTCCATCTATCCACCTATCTACCCATCCATTCATCCATCCATTCATCTGTCCATCCATCTATCCATCTACCATCCATCCATTCATCCATTCACTCACCTGTCTGTCCATCTATCCATCCATCCATCTACCCACCAATCCATCCATTCTTCTGTCTATCCATCCATGCATCTATCCACCCATTTACTCATTCCTCCATCCATTCATTCATCTGTCCATCCACCTATCTATCCATCCATCCAATGATCCATTCATTCACTCATCTGCCTGTCCATTTGTCTATCCATTCATCCATCTTTCCATCTACCATCCATCCATTCATCCATCCATGTATTTATATGTCTATCCATCTATGCATCCACCCACCTATCTATCCATTCCTCCATCCATTCATTCATCTGTCCATCCATCTATCCATCTACCATCCATTCATTCATCCATCCATCCATTCATCTGTCTACCCATCTATGCATCCACCCACCTATCTGTCCATTCCTCCATCCATTCATTCATCTATCCATCTATCTATCCATCTACCATCCATCCATCCATCTACCATCCATCCATCCATTCATTCATCTGTCTGTCCATCTATCCATCCATCCAAACATCTATCCATCCATCCATCCACCCATCTATCCATCCATCCATCCACCCATCTATCCATCCATTCATCCATCCATCCATCCATCCATCCATCCATCTATCCATTCATCTGTTCAACCATCCACACATCCATCCATCCATCTATTCATTCATCTCTTCATCCATCCACACATCCATCCATCTAATCTCAGAATGCTTAGTGATGTCACCCTGTGCACATGGGTCTCCTGGAACATCAGCTTTAAAGGGGGAAGGATTACTGCTAGGTTTGTTCCCTGTGGTATCCTAGTGCCTAAAAGCTGGCACAAAGTCAGTGTTGAATACATATTTGTTGAATGTCAAATGACTGAATGAATGAATAGATTCTTCACCTGGAGAAGGGAAGTAGAGCCCACCAGCCATCATCTTCAAGTCTGGATGACCCAGGCCGAATCCCAGGCCATCCAGAGGTTAGGCCTCAGGTCCAGGGAATGGCATGACTTGCCCAAGGCCACCTGGCAGGGTAAGAGCAGGGCCAGGTGTCCGGCCTGGGTATTCTTCGCCCAGATTAGTGTTTTCTGCACTAACTACTAAGAGCTTTCTGTGCTGGCAGTCCCTGGGAGCAGCAGCAGAAGCCTAGAGCCCAGGGGTGGATCCAGTGGCCAGAGTCAGGAGCTGAGACTGGGAGCCTCTGAGGAGCAAGAACCTGCCTGAGTGGGGTCTGGATATTCCCAGCAGGAGGAAGAGTGTGTGCTGTGTGGCAAAGCTGTCCCAGCTGCCCAGAGGAGCAGCAAGTGCTCTGCTGGCCTTGCAATCCCTGCCCCAGGGTGGGATGAGCAGGCTCTGGCCTGGAACACAGCAACCTGGCAGCCCTCCAAGCCCAGCCACCGCCCCTAGGCCTTTACGCCCCTCCACCTCTAGATCTGGGGGCCCCAGGAGTCAATGCCCACTTCAGCTCCAGCCAACATGGCCTGGGATCTGGTCTGATCTAGTCTCTGACCTCAGCTCTGCCCCTAGCTGGCTGCGTGGCCTTGGAAAGCTCACTTCTCCTCTCTGCCTCAGGCAAGCTCTGCTCTTCAGCCTCACTCAGGACTGCAGAAAAATGCATGTTCTTGGGCCTGTCACTAGAGATTCTGCTTCAGCATGTCTGCAGAGAACTCAGAAATAAGCAGTTTACAAATGCTGCCACTCAAGCATTTAAGGAGACAGGCTGAATGAGGGCAGAGAGCCCCATGGCTGAACCACCCCATGGCATCTGGCTCCGGGCAGGCCACCTGAACACTGCCCAGCCTCGGTCCTCTTACCTGCTCAATGAGGATGCCCAGGGAATCCTGTGGGTGTTGGCAGGTCCTGTGGGAGATGGTGTGGTAACAGCACTTGGCCATACCTTACAGGACTCCAAACGGTAAGGGGCTCAGGTCTATTGGGATCCATTTCGGCTGTGAGTAACAGCAGCTGAATACCATGGAAGTTGATTTCTCTCTCCTATCTGTCTGTGGGAAGCTCAGAGCACTTGCTGGCAAGGGAAGGGGTCTCAGAGGTGGAGGGAGCCCCCACCACACAGCCCCAGCCTCCCAGGCAGCATAGGGTGGGGGCAGGCGCATGCAGAAGTCCTGCTTTCTTCCCTCTGCTTGCACTTTTCAGCCATGTGTGGAGCCTCACGGGGCCTCAGCTGCCTCGTCGGTGAAGTGGGTGTAGTGATAGTGTCCACTCTAGGAGGTGGTCACTTTGAGGATTCGATGAGGTCATCTGTGCAGCACACCTGCTCAGGGCCTGCGCTTGGCACTCCACAGAGCACAAGGCCAGCTCTACTCCTCCAGGCTGCTGCAAAGTGCTGCCAGTGCAGGGGCCTCTCCCTGGGTACTCAGGAAAGGCCAGAATCCATGAGGCTGTTGCTCTGGCCCTGCTGCCTGCATCGCTGATCCATCCTCAGCCTGAACCTCAAGGGCTGCAGCTCAGACACAGCTCTGCTGCTGCTTCCTAGGAACAGAGTGAGGACTCAAAGGGAGGTGCTGGGAGCAACCAAGGACATCAGTGCCTCCTTCTCAACCAGACACCCTGGGCTCTGAGCCCTAATGGTTCTCCCTCCCACTGTGGCCTAAGTGTCTTCACATTCAAGGCTCTGGCAGTCATGAGGATTACATCTCAACATGAGATTTGGAGGGACCATCCAAACTATATCACACGGTAAGACATGATGCATGTTTATACACTTTATTGGACAATTTGTTTACTGACAGCCAAAAGCACCCTCACAAATACAAAGGCTCAGCACTGTCTGGGGAGTCTTTCCAGCCTCATTTTCCACCACTGCTCTTTGATGCCTCTCTGGGTGAACCGTGTGTTGCTTTCTCTTTGCTTTGGCTGCTAACTGCCAGGCCCCTCTAGTGTCCTCAAATTGGTGAACTCCTAGTCATCCTTCAAAGCCCAACTCAAATTTCCCCACCTCTGCAAAGGCTTCTGAGCTCCCCTAGGCAGAACTCAAAGCCCTGTCTTGCTGCCTTCAAATGTCTTCACTGTGGAATTTCTCACATCATTCTCCAGCCACTTGTCTGCTGGCCAGTCTGCTGCACTGTGAGCTCTTGGGTGCTGCAGCTCTTTCTCCATGATCTGTTATCCCCTAGCATTGCACCTGGTATGCTGCAGGTGCTGGTCAATGCTGCATATTGCATTACTGAAAATACTGCTTCCTCCAGGCCTCCTGTAACCCTTGGCTCTCCTGATGTTCTTGCCCAGCTGGGCAGGAAGGTGGTGCATCTCTCATGTCCCAGGAGAAACAAGCTCTCAGTGAGGACACAGTATGGGAATAGGCTCCTGCTGCACCACACTGTCCCTGCTCTCTTCAACCCAGGTGGGATCCCTGGCCCAGACAGGAAAAAGGACATCCAAGGTCACCAGGCTGCTTGGAGCAGAGTGGGGCCTCCAGAATTGGGTAGGAAACACTGGGTGTGTTTCAGAGCTGGCATGACAGCTGTCCAAATTGACAAAACAGTGCAGGAGGCAGGAGCTGTGGGAGTGGGGGGAGCTGTCAGGTGCTGAACAATGCCACCTGCCAGCCACTGAGGAGCAGAGGGGATGGGGGAATGGGGGGAGACGGAGGGGAGCTTGGCACCGGGAATGGGCCTGGGACGCCTCCCTCAAGAACCCTCCCCCCACAAGCCCATGTCCCTCAGCCTCAGGAACCAGAGGGGCCATGGGTGAGGGGGAAGGAGCAAGAGAGCTGAGTCAGAGCTCACCCTGGGCAAAGGTGTGGACTGCTGGCTCAGGGTCAACCAGGGCTCCTTTGGAAAGCAAACAACGACCAGGGATTAGAGGACTTTGGAGAATAGGATGGTGCTTTGTCTGTCTCGGGGGCCGGGAGCGGTGCCAGGAGCATCATGGATTGCTGGGGAGCTGGGCCAGGCTCCTGGGCTCCCACCCTGCTCCTCTGAGAGCGGACAGCAGGATTGAGTAAGTGCTGTGCCCTCTGAGCCTTCCTGGAGCCCCATGGAGCTGGGATCCAGGTGCCGAGCTACCCTGGCCACAGCACACAGATGCTGAGAAGTCAGTGAGGCCTTTTAGGAAGGCAAGCTGCAGGCAGGGGCTTGCCTTCCTAAGACCTGAGTTCCCAGGCAGGGTGTGCAGGGGAAAAAAGGCCACAGGCTGCAGCCAGGAGTTGCTTTGTTTTTCTTTATTATTGCAGTTTAGAGATTTTTTTTAATTGTACAAGAACATCTCTTTTTGTTAGAAAAAAAACCCTGAAGTATTACAGGCAGTGTTAATATGTCTCTTAACCACCTAACCCTCCCACAAAACAAATTTCTGTTTCTAGAGGTAACCACTTCAGCTACTACCATTTAATAAAAATAATACATGTCACCCTCCAAAAAAATACACTTCAAGCCATACCTAATGTCTAAGATAAAATGTTTCCCTTTCCCTAATAATCATGAACAATTTCTCGGGTACTCCTCTGGATCTTTTAAAATTCATAATCATATTCAGGCACCAGATAATTGTTGTTTTCTCATAAATAAGAATCGATACTTAATGATAGGAATAATAGGTCCTGCTCTGCATCCTCCCCACCTCCTGGGTTCCTGTGACGCCTCGGCTTCTCCTTGCACACCCAGAGAGACCCAGCCAGGGCCCCGCACTTTCTTCACCCTTTTCCCTGGGGGTGGACGCCCGTGGTCTTTCCTGTTATTTCCCAGGCAGCACAGGAGAAGCGCGCATACCCTCAGTCCTGGGTGCATGTAGGGTGACTGCCCCCGAGGTCGCCACTCAGCGGGTCCTGGGCAGCTTCCGCAGGGACTTGGCCTCTGCTTCCTCCACTGCAGCTGGGGGGTTGGACTGGATCTAGTCCATTCGAACCTCCCCAAGGATGGGCAGGGGGCACACCCCTCCCACTGTGCCTGTCCTAGCAGATGACCCGGACCCGGAATGTGGGAGCACCAGGGGTTTGCTCTGGGCCAAACACCCCTGGACACCCCTGCCCCTCTGCCCCCACCCCCTCTTTACTTCTTCTTTCCCTCCCAATACCACAAGTCCCCACACCATGGCAGAGACAGGAGCCTGTGTGGCCAGCAAGCCCAGCGAAGGGGGCTCAGGTGTCATCTCCACCCCCAGCAGAGGAGGGAGAACACCCCCAGCCAGCTTTGCAGCTCCCCCATTTCTCCCTCTCCCGCTGCTGCTACTGGTTCAAAAGATAAAATAAAAACCCTCTGCATCAACAAATAAAATAAAATCACAATAAAAAATTTATATTCCTGGGATGTAGGTCTTTCCAAACAGGAGCAGCTGCTGCCAGAGCTGAGTCTGTCAGAAGCAGGGCGGGGCTTTTTTTCTTACTAGGAGTTTCTTTTTTGTTCTTTTTTTCCCAAGGAGGCACGTCCAGTTAAAATACATTCCTGGAATGGGAGCTCCATGCGCTTTCCTGGTCATCAAAGCTGCCGTTTGTTAGCATGTTCTTTGCCTGTTATCTTGTTTGTTTGTGAGGATTGCTGGAGTTTCTTTTTTGAGATAGAGTTTTAGGCTGTTGCCCAGGCCAGAGTGCAGTGGCGCGATCTCACCTCACTGCAACCTCCACCTCCAAGGTTCAGGCAATTCTGCTGACTCAGCCTCCCAAGCAGCTGGGATTACAGGCGTCTGCCACCACACCCAGCTAATTTTTTGTTTTTAGTAGAGATGGGGTTGGATTGTTGGAGTTCCTGAGTGACAGGATGTTGCAGCAGAGGTGGTGAGTGGGGGAGAGGGGGGTATCCACGAAGTCAGGGGAGCTGCCTAGCAACTGGAAGCCAAAGGGGTCAACCCACCAGCCCCTCTGGAGACAGCTGTCTGCAGCTCAGACGTCGTTGAATACGGCAGCCACTCATTCGGCTAAATGTGGGGATGCATTAAAGACATTTGCAGACATCCTTTCTTCTATTGCACCTTTTCTCAGGAAACTTTTAGAAGCATTCTGTCAAAACTACAGACTAGAACATGAGTCACCCCCTGCACGATGCCCAGTCCTGTCACTGGGCAGTTTCCTGAAAGCTGCGATCATCCCCCATCTGAGTTCCAGATGCAGTGCCAAGGCTGGGCTGGGGGCATAGGGAGGAGCTGGCCCAGTGAACGGAGCACAAACCAAGACAGCCCAGTGAGGGTTCCCCAGCGAGAGACAGAGCAAAGGGGTGCATTCAACATTCGGGTTCCCAAGACCCCTCCACACAGGCTGTACCCAGTGTTGGCATGTGGTAAGGGGCCTGTTGTGCAGGTTGGCCACTGCTCAACTGAAAAAAAGTGGCAGCTGCCAGAGGCTGGCCTTGAACCAGGGAAGCTACCCACTCTTTAGCCAGCACTCTGCACTCTATTATGTTGCCATTACGGAATGAAAGTGGAGCCCGGATATTGCCCCAGACCTCGACCCTGAGAGTTCAGTGCTACTGGCTGCCCAGAGCCCCTCTCTGTCTGTCTCTCCTTGGCCTGTAGGAGAGTGTGGCCACAGGTAGTATCCAAAGCCTTTCCTTAGGGCCTTCTCCTGACCTATCCTGCTTCCCGGGCTCAGGGGACATCTCCCGGAGTTCCAACCACACGACTGAAGATCCAGCGAGCCTCATGGAAGGGGTTGTGTGTTGTCTTTCTCACGTCCCTTTCTTCTCTCTGTCCCTCTGCCCCTGCCCTTGCCTGGGAGAGCTCCAGAGTCACCCTCCTCCATCACAGAGCAATTTGAGCTCCAGGCCAACAACCCTAAGATGGGCAAACCCAGCCCATCTTTGGCTCAGCCAAATCCTCCAGTTCCCAGCCACCCACCCACTTGCAAACACACTTATGTCTTCACCCCACAGGTGACCTGTGCCATACTCCTAGGGGTGTTCAAACTCCTGCCCCGTGCCACTCTATGCAGAGGGGCCGGCTTCCATCCATGGGACTAAAACGGATGAATCCTTATGCTTTCGAGGCACAGATCAACCAGGAGAGACACAGCTGGGACAGGAATAAAGGGGCGTATGGCGCTCTGGCCTTCCTGAATCATGAGCCTGGAGCTCCACCTGGCAGTGGCATGGGCTTACATGGACTTCTAGGGGAATGAGGGAGCAATTCAAACTCCTCTCCTGAGCAAGAGGAAACAGGGCTCAGGAGGAAGATCCTGAGTGTCTGTCCAAGTCCCTCAGCCAGGCCTGAATCACTGCTTTCTCCCCATGGACAAGTGAGCTGTGGAAACAGACCCAACCACGCCAGGGTGCGAGGGCACCGGGATCTGGCAATGGCTGTTCCTCAGGTCACACCCCTTTCTGGGTCCCAGGGTGACATCCATCCAGGGATGAGGCGAAATGGACTCTATGGGGAATGTAGAGCCAGTCACCACTCCCTGGCCACCCTAGCCTGGCTGTCTGGAGGGCTATTTGAAGAATTCTGATACGGCCTTGGCTCAGTAGGAACAAACACAGCATGACGGGCACAGACGTGGTCAGATGTGGCCAAGGATTTGTCAGACCAGCCTAGATGCCTGTGAGATCCCGGCCTGGCATATGTTCATTGCTTCTCTGATCAGACAGCAAGTGCCACAAATGTGGCCACACACCATCCGAGGCCGCTCTGAGAGACCAGACTAGCTCTGGCGGCTCCAGAGGTCTGCTCTTGGGTCTTTTTTCCTGTGAGCCCCATTCCCGGAGGAGCAGCTGCAGCTCAGGGGAGGGGGTGATGCTCCCTCAGGGAACAGCGCCATGACTCTACGACAGTCAGTACTGGCAGCTGTCAGAGCTGTCATTCCCTGAGTGCAACTCTTAATGAACGCCCATTAAGCCTCCTCTTATGACTGCATAATTGTTGCCACAAGGAGGCTTTGTTCTCTTTATTTTGGAAATGAAACAGTTTTATATCCCTAAAGCAAGAGAGATGCACACCAGCTTGGGGCTCGCACTGGAGAACACAGAACAGCAGGGCAGGGGCTCCACTGGGTTGGGGCTCTGGTGTCCCCAGGCTACTGCAGACACAGCCCTGAGCCCAGGGAGCAGCAGCTGTTGTTTCTGCAGCAGAGCGGAGCAGCCGGGTCAGCTCCAGCCCTCCTGTGAGCTGTGGGAAGTTGCCACAGGCCCACCAGCCCTCCTCACTTCTCCTGTAGCTCCCAGGAACTGTCATCATGAACCATCTGCACCCTCACCATCCCTTAGGGGCTGGGCAGTGCTGGGGCTATTATTCTCCTTGACCTTGAGAAAACAGAGGACGCCGGGTGGCCTGGCCAGGGTCCCTCGGATGTAAGAGGAGGATTAACAGGAAGAAGTTGAGCATGTCCTATGTCCCAGGCATATGTGGTCTAAGTCTTCACATACACGACCTCACCTGCTCACTACCACAGGCTGCAGAGGAGGAGCTGAGCTCCCATGTTAAGGTGAGGCTCGGAGGCATTAGGTGAAGTGTCCAGTTCCCCAGCTCTTATGTGACCAGCTGGGCGTTCAGCGGAGATATTTCTACCTCTCTAGCTTCCCATCCTCAAGAATGTGGCTGGGCCAGACCTGGACTCTGAGGACATTCAGGGACACTGTGCCTCACCAGCCCTCTGAAGCGCTCAGAACGCGTGTCCTGACCCAGCTGCATGCCAGGAACCGTGCATTGGGAAGTGGGTGGACAGGAGAGACAAGACATGCTCCTTCCCCCAGAGGAGGCTGCAGGCAGCAAGCGAAACCCTTAGGTAAGATCGGAACAGCCGTCCACCACTGGGAGCATGAGCTGCATCCTGCCTTGGGGGGCCGCTTTGGTGGGAGTGTGCTGGGCAGAGAAGAAGGGAAGGACATCCAGGCAGAGGGGGCTCCTGGGCAAAGGCTCGAAGGTGCAGAGGTGAGAGGCATTTGGGAGCTGGTGAAGGCATTGGGGGTGGCCTCCTATTGGGGAGGAATGAAAGGGAAGGGCTCCTCTGGCAGGGGCCCCGTACTTTCCCGTGGGGACTTGAGTGGGGCTGGCTCTGCACCCCCACCCCTGCCCAGGGAGGGCTCCACTGTCCTGGGCTGACCAGAGAAGCAGTGGGTTCTGTCAGGAAGGGGAGGCTTCTTTAGCCCCGTTCATGAGGCAGCTGGGGGAGGAGGAGGAATGCAGTGGCATCCCACAGAGTGGCCCCGGGCCACTGACCTGCCCTCTCTGCCCCATTTCCTCACCTGTGACACAGAGACCCACACACCCAAGCCTCTAATCTGCTTCTAAGAACATTGTGAGAGCCAGTGATGATCAGAGGACTGCTTATTGTAAAGCAAAAGCTCCAGAAGGCTGTAAGTGAACAGGCCTGGGACATGAGAGCTAAAGGGCCCTGGGCTATCTGAGTGTCCAGCCTTCATTTAACAGCAGAAGAAACAGACCCAAGGAAGTCAGAGAATGTGGCCAAGATGAGCCGATGAGTTCGGGCAAAGACAGAACCCTGCCTTCTCTCCTGCACCATGCTAGCTCCAGACTGGCAACCCTTTCTCACCTCTGCCTGCTTCATCCCAAAACATTTCTCCTCAGCCTGGGTGCTGAATGGGATCACACCATTAGAATGGTTTCTTGGACATGGTTACTACGCATGCCTTTCTTGGGGAGACTTTAACAGGGAATCAGTCACTCACACTTTAGTATGAATTAGTTTTATCAGCAGTTATTTAGCATTAGTAGCATGAGGATTTTAAAGAAAAGAGCAGAGAGAGGAATACCTGTGGACCTAGGAAGGACAAGCTTGAATGGGCCCAAGACAGCTGCTACAGTATAAAGAGGAGATCTGGTTTCCAGTCCAGTTTCTAGAATGTATTCACTCTGAGCCCCAGAGCCCATCTCTATAAAATGGCAGCCATCAAGTACTTGAATCAGAAGTCCCTTCCAGGATGACATTCTGGTTTTCTCCACCGTAGGAGAGGGTCCCCAGAAGCGGACCAGGCTCAGGACAGGAAGGCCAGGCCTCTGGGCTCTTCATCTCATGGGCCAAGCCCTGTCACAGATCTCCACAAAGCCAAGGCTCCAGCAGGAGTCAGTCACAGAGGAAAACGCTGCCTCCTCGGCAATGCAGGAGGTGGGCTGAGCCCCAGCCAACCCCATCTTCAGCTCTCAGCAGCCTCTGCCAAGCAGGAGGCCCTGACTCTCCCGTGACAAACATAAATATTTGTTCCATCTGTGAGTCCTGACTTGGCTACAGAGCTCTGTCGTGTCCATTCTCTTTCTTTGGTAACAGTACTTTACTAAAGTGCAGGCTAATTAACATATAGTGAAGTACACAAATCCTAAGCTATAGCTTGATACATTTCTACAAATGCATACACCTGTAACCATCACTTGCATCCAGATAATCAAAGGAACTTGCAACGGTGTAATTGTATTGATCTCTCTCTGCCTGTTGCACTAGTGTTATTATATATTTTACTTCCACATGCTTATTATTTTGCTTTAAATGGCCAAAAGTGTTTTTTAAAGTAAAAAACAAAAGATAATCTCTTATATTTTCCACATATTTACAATTCCTGGTCCTTTCTATTTCTTTTGGGTAGTCTGGGCTTCCATCTGAGATTCTCTCCCTTTGGCCTCAGAAATTCCTTTAGTACTATTTATAGTGTTGCAATGAATTCCTTAAGCTTTCGTTTGTCTAAAAATGCCTTAATTTGGCCTTTATTTTTGAATGACATTTTTATTGGATATAGACTTCTAAGCTCACAGAATTTTTCCTTGAGACCCTTTAAAGTGGTTCTTCAATTGTCTTCTAGCTGCCTTTGTTTCTAGTGAGAAATCAGCTACAATTCTTATTGTGTTTCCCCTAAATGTAACCTGATTGTATTTTCTGGATGATTTTAAGATCTTTTTGCCTTTGTTTTCTAGCTTGATGATGATATCTCTAGGTATAGCCTTTCTTGTATTTATGTAGTTTAGGGTTATTTTTATTCTTGAATCTGTGGGTTGACGTCTTTCATGAGTTTTATGAAGATGTGTTCAGTCATTCTCTCTTCAAATATTTAGTCAAGCTCCATTCTCATTCTCCTCTCCTTCTGGGACTCCAGTTATACATACAACATGCCATTTAATATATTGTTTGATAGCTTTTGATGCTCTATTACAAGGGTTGCCAAACTTTTCTAAAGGGCAAGACTTAATATAGGCTTTGCAGGCCATATGGTCTCTGTCACAACTACTCAGCTTTTCTGTAAACAATGTCTGGTATGTCTGGGATCCATAAAACTTTATTTACAATAGCAGGCAGCAGGTCAAATTTGGTCCATGGGCCCACAGTTTGCTGACCCTTCCTCTGCTCTGTTGTTGTTAGTTTCTTTCCGTGCTTCCACTTGGAGAACTTAGTTTGACCTGCCTTTGAGTTATTGATCCTTTCTTCTGCTTGTATCCAATCTGTTGTCAACCCTATGAAGTGAATACTTCATTTTAGATTCTGTATTTTTCAGATCTAGAGTTTACATTTGCTTGTTGTTAATAGACATTATTGTTTATTTCTTTGTTAATAGATTTTATTTTTCAGAGCTGTTTTAGGTTCACAGCAAAATTGAGCAGAAAGTACAGAGAGTTTCCTTATACCCTATGTCCCACACATACACAACCTCCCCTACTATCAACATTGCCCACCTGAGTGGTACTTTTCTTACAATTAAGTCCCATTCACATCATTATCAACCAAAGTCAATATTTAACATTAAGATTCACTCTTGGTGGCGTGCTTTCTATGGGTTTTGACAGAGGTATAATGACATGTAGCCACCATTATAGTATCACACAGAGTAATTTCACTGCCCTAAAAATCCAGGATGCTCCATCTGTTCATCTCTCCCTCCCTCCTAACCTCTGTCAACCTGTGAACTCTTTGCTGTCTCCACAGTTTTTTCTTTTCCAGAAGATTGCACAGTTGAAGTCATACAGTATGTAGCCTTTTCAGATTGGCTTCTTTCATTGAATAATAGGCATTTAAGTTTCCTTCTTGTCTTTGCATGGCTTAAAAGCTCATGTGCTTTCTTTTCAGTGCTAAAGAGACTTTAGCACTAAAGTCTTTTAGTGCTGAATTCTTTCCTTTTTAGTGCTAAATAATATTCTTCGGTGGTGGCTCACACCTGTAATCCCAACACTTTGGGATGCCAAGACAGGTGGATTGCTTGAGGCCAGGAGTTGGAGCCCAGCCTGGCCAAAATAATGAAACCTTGCCTCTACTAAAAATATAAAAATTAGCCGGGCGTGATGGGGTACATCTGTAATCCCAGCTACTCGGGAGGCTGAGACATGGGAATCACTTGAACCTGGGAGTGGAGGTTGCAGTGGGCAGACAATGCACCACTGCACTCGAGCCTGGGCAACAGAGGAAGACTCTGTCTCAAAAAGAAAGAAAAGAAAAAGGAAAAAAAGTTTTTGCCCAGACTAATGTCCTGGAGATTTTCCCCAATGATTTCTTGTAGTAGTTTCATAGTTAGAGGTTTTAGATTTAAGCCTCTAATCACTTTTGATTTCATTTTATATATGGCAAGAGATAGAGGTCTAGGATCTAGTTTCATTCTTCTGCATATGGATATCTAGTTTTCTCAGCACCATATATTGAAGAGACTGTCTTTTCCCCAGTGTATGTTCTGGGCACCTTTGTTAAAAATGAGTTCACTGTAGGTGTATGGATTTGTTTCTGGGTTCTCTATTCTGTTTCATTGGTCTATGTGTCTGTTATTATGCCAGTACCATGCTGTTTTGGTTACTATAGCTCTGTAGTATAATTTGAAGTCAAGTAGTATGATTCCTCGAGGTTTGTTCTCTTTGCTTAGGAAAGTTTTGACTATACTGGGTCTTTTAAGGTTCCACATAAATTTTAGGGTTGTTTTTTCTATTTATGAGAAGAATGCCATTAGTATTTTGATGGGGATTGCATTGAATCTGTAGATTGCTTTGAGTATTATGGACATTTTAACGATATTTATTCTTCCAATCCATGAACCTGGAATATCATTTCATTTTTTTATGTCCTCTTCAATTTTTAATTTTTTTTTTTTTGAGACAGAGCCTCACTCTGTAACCTAGGCCAGAGTGCAGTGGTGTGATCTAGGCTCACTGCAACCTCTGCCTCCCAGGCTCAAGCAATTCTCCCACCTCAGCCTCCCAAGTAGCTGGGATTACAGGCATGCACCACCATGCCCAGCTAATTTTTGTATTTTTGGTAGATACAGGGTTTTGTCATGTTGCCCAGGCTGGTCTCTGAACTCCTGGGCTCAAGTGATCCACCCACCTTGGCCTCCCAAAGTGCTAGGATTACAGGCTTGAGCCACCACACCCAGCCTAGAATTTTTTTGTTTATTCTTTTCAGATTTTCTGCATAGACAAACATGTCATCCACAAACAGAGAGTATATTTTTTCTTCCTTTCCAATTGGTATACCTTTTATTTCTCTTTCTTGTATTATCACATTAGCTAAGACTTTTGAACAGTGTTGAAAAAGAGTGGTGAGAGGAGACATCCTTGCTTTGTTCCTGATCTTAGCAGGAAAGCTGTTTCTCACCGTTAAGTACAATGTTAGCTGTAGGTTTTTTGCAGATATTCTTTATCAAGTTGAGGAAGTTTCTCTCTAGTACTAGTTTACTGAGAGTTTTTTATCATGGGTGTCGTATTTTTTCAAATGTGGTTTCTGCTCTATTGATATAATCATGTGATTTTTCTTCTTTAGCCTGTTGATGTGATAAATTATATATCTAACTAAGTTTTGAATATTAAACCCACTTTGCATACCTGGGATAAATCCCTCTTGGTCTTGGTGTATAATTCTTTGTTTACATTGTTAGATTCTATTTGCTAAAATTTTGTTGAGGAATTTTGCATCTATGTTCATCAGAGATATTGGTCCCGTAGTTTTATTTTCTTATAATGGCTTTGTGTGATTTGGTATTAGGGTAATGCTGGCCTCATAGGATGAGTTAGGAAGTGTTCTCTCTGATTATATTTTCTGGAAGAGACTGTAGAATATTGATATAATTTCTTCCTTGAATTTTTGGTAGAATTCACCAGTGAATCTATCTGGGCCTGGTACTTTATGTTTTGAAAGGTTATTAATTATTGGCTTGGTTTCTTTAACACAGATAGACCTGTTCGGATTGTTTTTTTTTGTTTGTTTTTTTTTTTGTTTTTTTGAGACAGGATCTCACTCTGTTACCCAAGCTGGTGTAGCACAATCACCTCTCACTGCAGCCTTGACATCCTGTGCTCAAGCAATCCTCCCACCTCTGCCTCCCAAGTAGCTGGGACAACAGGTGCGCACTAACACACCCATCAAATTTTTTATGTTTTGTAGAGACAGGGTCTCATTATGTTGCCCAGGCTGGTCTCAAACTCCTGGCCTCAAGAGATCCTCCTACCTCAGCCTCCCAAAGTGCTGGGATTACATGCATGAACCACCATCCTTCAGCATAGATTGTCTATTTCTTCTTGAATGAATTTTGACAGAATGTATATTTCAAGGAATTTTTCCATTTCACCTAGGTTATCAGATTTGTGGGCATCAAGTTTTTCATAATAGTCCTTTATGATCCTTTCAGTGTCCATAAAAGGCCATTAGTGATGTCACCCTTTCATTTTTCATATTAGTAATTTGTGTCTTCCCTCTTTTTTTCTTAGCCTGGCTGGAGGCTTATCAGTTTCACCTACCTTCAAATAAACAGATTTTGATTTTGCTGATTTTCTCTACTGATTTCCTGTTTTCAATTCATTGATATCTATTCTAATTTTTATTATTTACTTTCTTCTGCTTACTTTGGATTTAATTTACTCTTTTTTCTACTTTCCTAAGGCGGAAGCTTAGATTACTGATCTTCGATATTCTTTTCTAATATAGAATCTAATAATCACTTTAATTCATTCAATGTTATAAATTTCCCCCAATCACTGCTTTTGCTACATCCCACACATTTTTATTAGTTGTATTTTCATTTCCATTAGTTCAAAACATTGCTTAATTTCTCTATGTTTCTTCTTTGACCCAGATATTACTCAGAAGTGTATTGTTCAATCTCCAGATATTTTGATGGCTTCCAGCTATCTTCCTTTTATTGATTTGAGGTTTAATTCTGTTGTGGTCTGACAGCAGATAGTATATGATGTATATTCTTTAAATTTATTAAGGTGTGTTTCATGGCCTAAAATGTGGTATCTTGGTGAATGTTCCATGTGAGCTTGAGAAGAATGTGTAATTTTCTGTTGTTGGATGAAGTAGTCTATAGATGTCCATTTTATCCAGTTGATTGCTGGTGTTGTTGAGTTCAACTGTGTTCTTACTGATTTTCTGCTTGTTCCGTCTGCCGATTTCTGATCAACGAGTGTTGAAGTCTTCAGCTTTAGTAGTGGATTCATCTGTTTCTCCTTGCAGTTCTGTCAATTTTTCCCTTACATATTTCTATGCTCTGTTGTTAGGTGCATACACACATTCAGGATTGTTATGTCTTCTTGGAGAACTGACTCCTTTTTCTTATGTAATGCCCCTCTTTATCTCTGGTAACTTTCCTTGCTCTTTAAGTCTGCTCTGCCTGAATTAATACAGATATTCTGGGGGGTGTTTTAGTTAAATATTTGTATGGTGTATCTTTCTCCATCACTTTAATTTTAATCTAGATGCATCTTTATATTTAGAATGGGTTTCTTGTAGACTACATATAGCTGGGTCTGGTTTTTTTAATCTACTCTGATAATCTCTTTTATTTTATTTTTCTTTCCACCTTTTATATTAGGTTCAACGGGTACATGTGAAGGTTTATTATTACATGGGTAAATTCATGTCATGGGAGTTTGGTGTACAGGACATTTTGTCACCCAGGTAATAAGCAGATTACCCAATAGGTAGTTTTTCAATCTTCACCCTCCTCCCAGCCTCCACCCTTAAGTAGCCCCCGGATGTCTGTTGTTCCCTTCTATGTGTCTGTGTATACTCAGTGTTTAGCTCCCATTGATAAGTGAGAACATGCAGTATTTGGTTTTCTGTTTCTGTGTTAATTCACTTAAGATGATGGCCTCCAGCTCTATCCATGTTGCTGCAAAGGACATTGATTACATTCTTTTATATGGCTCTGTGGTATTCCATAGTGTATATATAGTCTATCATTGATGGGCATCTAGGTTGATTCCATGTCTTTGCTATTGTGAATAGTGCTGCGATGAACATATGCCTGCATGTGTCTTTACAGTAGAATGGTTTACATAACCTTGGGTATACACCCAGGAATGGAATTGCTGGGTTGAATGGTAGTTCTGTTTTAAGTTCTTTGATAAATCTCCAGACTACTTTCCACAGTGGCTGAACTAATTTATGTTCTGACCAGCAGTGTATAAGCATTCTCTTTCCTCCACAACCTCTCCAGCATCTGTTATTTTTTGACTTTTTAATAATAGCCATTCTGAGTGGTATGAGATGGTATCTCATTGTGGTTTTGATTTGATTATCGATATTGAGTATTTTTTCTATGCTTGTTGCCAGTGCAGATGTCTTTTGAGAAGTGTCTGTTCATCGCTTCTCGGCCTTTTGGCTAAGATCAAGTGAGAAGTGTCTGTTCATGTTCTTTGCCCATTTTTTAATGGGGTTGTTTGTTTTTTGCTTGTGGGTTTAAGTTCCATATAGATTCAAGACATTAGATTTTTGTTAGATGCATAGGCTGTAAACATTTTCTTTCATTCTATGGGTTGTCTGTTTACCCTGTTGATAGTTTCTTTTGCTTTGCAGAATCTCTGTCTTAGTATATTTACACCATTGGCATTCAAAATTATTATTGACATAGATTAATATCTACCATACCCGTTACTGTTTTTCTATTTGTTGCCTTGTTATTTGTTCCTCTATTTTTCCTCCCACTCTTTTTCTGCCTTTTGTGGTTTTTAATTGAGCATTTTATATGACCAAAAAATAAATAGTCAGCATATTTCTGCTATGGTCTGAATATGTTCCCCCAAAATTCATATGTTGAAATGTAACCACCAATATGATAAGAAATGAGGCCCTTAGGAGGTGATTAAGTCATGAGGGTGGAGCCCTCAATAATGGATTAGTGCTTTAACAAAATAGGTGAGAGGGGGCTATTCATCTTTTCCACCACGCAAGGACACAGCAGGAAGGTACCACCTTGGAAGCAGAGAGTGAGCCCTTATCAGACACCAAATCTGCTCTTCCCTTGATCTTAGACTTCCCAGCCTCCAGAACTATGAAAAATAAATTTGTATTATTTATAAATTATGCAGTCTGAGGTATTTTGTTATAGCAGCCCAAGCGCACTAAGACAACTTCCTTTTTAAAAAAAATACTTTTCTTCTTATTTTTTTCACTTGTTTCAGTATTTTCCCTAGATTTGCAGTATACGTCTACAACTAATGCAAATCCATCTTCAAATACCAAATACTACTTCATGGGTTGTACCAAGTATCTTATAATAACAAAATAATCCCAATTCCTGCCTCCTGCCTCTTATGTCTGCTCTCATTTATTTTACTCATACATAAGCATACTTAAGTATATGTTTCTATGTGTATAATATACATATACGATTAAATAATTGAATATATTGTTGCTATTATTATTTTGAACAAACTGTTACCTGTTAGATCAATTCAGAATAAAAAAAAAACACTTTCTATTTTATCCTCCCTCATTCCTTCTTCAGTGCTCTCTTTCTTTATATAGATCCAAGTTTCTGACTTACATGTTTTTCTTTTTCTTTGAAGAACTTTCAATATTTCTTACAAGGCACGTGTACTGACAATAAATTTCCTCAATTTTCGTTTGTCTGAGAAAGTCTGTATTTCTTCTTCACAGAGAGTTGTGGATGGAGCCCCTGCATCGCAGGATGAGAGGCCAGACCAGAGCAAGGCAGAGGATGCCATGTTCCTTCTCACCAACACGTGCTCCTCTCAAGCTGCCAACGGGGCGGCTGCACAACCAGAGTTCCAAATTACAAGCATGTTTTCTGGGAGGGGCCACAAGGTAGACAACCCCCCACCTCCGGCAGCTGCCCAGGCCCTAAGCCCTGGAGTCCTGGCTCGGGCTATTACTGACCATCCCTGTGATCCTGGGCAAGAGGTCTATCTGCAGGGGAGGAGGTGCTGAACTAACACACTTGTGCGTAACTCAGGTGGCCCAGGTGGGCCTGCATCTCCAGGCCTTTCCAGGCAAAAGGTAAGAGTATTGGCTTGTGCGGCTCCCGTGACCCACACAAGGTCGTACCTTGGTGCCTTGCCATGAGCAGGCAGTCCTGCGAGTGCCACACTTCTTCCAAGGCCTGAGGTTTGGACAGCCTGGGTGCTCACTCTTTGCTGATCACTTCACAAAGCTATCAGATCCATCCCGCCTTGGTAATAGCTCTTCTCTCAAGGATGTCCTTCCAGCCTGCAAAATGCAAGGCTCCAAGCCTGTGTCCTGGCCAGGCCGGGGTCCAGTCTTGGACTCATACTTACCCCAGCCCACGGCTAGTCTGCAAGGGGACAAAATGGAGAGAGGGCCAAGACACCTGCCTGTCCCCCAGGACCTCTTTGCTTGGCCAGCTGAGGTCATCAGGTCATCGATTGGAAGGCCAGCTCTCCTCTCCACCTCCCATTCTGGCAGCACTTCACAGTTTACAAAGGAAGCTTCTCCACTCCCAAGAGTGTAACTGACCTCATAACTTCCTTAGAGAGGAGGGAAGCTGCTTGCCCAAGACCACACCACTTATAAGGAACAGGCAGGGACAGGGACTCACATCTCCTGTCTCTCCGAGCCCAGTGTAGCTTACACAGCTGCCCTCCCTCCCACCCCACTCATGGGCAGCTCTCAGGCTGCCTTAGGTGGCCAGGAAGCCCACCTGCCTCTTCCCCTAGTCCTGGGAGGGCCACCACATCCTGGGGTCAACATCCAATGAATTTGGCAGGCACTGTGCAGTGTCACTTTAATTAGGAGGCTGATGAGATGGAGGCTGCCATAGCTTTAGCAGTGGACTTTTCCTTAGTCCTGCAGACCCTCCCTACTCCAGCTCAGCCCAAGGCAGAGCCTGCTCGGTCAGCCACTGGCCTCCAGCCTGGCAGTGTCAGGAGGAGGGGAAGTCAGGCCTGGCGCCGGGGCTGGCCAGCCAGGGGCCAAGGACTGCAGAGCTGCTCACGTCCGCACATATCTAAGCATCCACATCCCATGACCTGCTTCCAAGGGCCAAGGCCCCCACCCCTCCACTGGGGACAGCTGCCTTCTGTGCTCAGCCAGAGGTGGCCCAAAAATTCTGGCTGGCCTAGCCTCGTGCCCCAACCTCAGCAGAGAGGCATGCAGAAGGCCACGTCTGCCAAGCCCTCCCAGGCCCTGCCCTACCCCAGGAGTGCATAGTCAGAGGCCATGCACATTCAAATCCTGACCCCTGGACACTGCTGCCCCATCTGGGCTCCTGCCACCCCCAATCCCTGCAAGACCCTAGGGAGAGAGGCTCACCCTCCCTCTCTAGCCTCAGAGCCATTCCCCACTTCCTCCCTCTTCCTTCCTTAGTGCCTGAGTTAGGCGCATGCCTGTCACCACCCACACTGACCTCCAGGCCCCATGAGGGGCCACTAACATAATTTATGTTCATTTTCTCTTCATCTCTCTTCCCATGGATGTCCTTGAATACACGTGCATCCTCAAAACTGTCTAGTAGCCAAAACCGGGGATAATGGATGAGCACGAGTTCTAACCCAGCAGTCACAAAGGCCTCCAGAAGGGCCTCGCTCCCAGGAGCCATAGGATTTGGGGCTCATGGCCATCATATCTAGATTCCAGGAGAGGAAGCTGCCCTGATACCCAGGGATGCTGCAGCAGGTGCAGGCGCTGTTGGGATATTGCTCACCAAGTCCCAGCCACGGGGTAAGGGAGAAATGCCCTCTGCCCCCGGGTTGTCTGCGCTGTTTCTGAGTCCAGCTCTGGCTTGACCGCATGAATCACACATCACGTCCCTGACCGGGTACCCTGTAGCCACCCTCAAGCAGCCATCTCTCCTGAAAGTGCAGGACACCCCCTGGGTTCCACCCCATCATCCCGCCCTTGCTTCTTGCTTGTGAGAGTTCTCACCGTGTGTGTGTGTCTGCCTTTGTCCTGTGCTGTGGGTTTTGTAGACCACCCTGGATGCCCTCTGGCTGGGTTTGATAGATCCTCTCAGCAAGCCTCATGCTTTGCACTGTCACAGTGGCGCCCTTTCCACCAGCCTGAATATGCCAGGGGGCGTCTACCATGTCTGAACAAACAAATGAACAAATGAACAGACCACGGTGTGAGCCTGAGAAGTGGTAGGGGCAGCCTCTGGCCAGCAGGCCCCTCCAGGCGGTCGTGGAGAGTGGGCACCTCCTCCAGGCCCAGGGCCTCCCTCCCTGGCAGCCGGGGCCACCTGCACTGCTTTGGCTAATCCGGCAAACCCTAAGGGAGGCCCAGAGGTGGAGCAGCGACCACAGCAGCCTGCCCTGAGGACCCCGCTCTGGTTTGCCGCTGCCTGCAACCAGCCAGGGGCTGCTGGGCTGGAGGAGGCAAGGAGGAGGGCGAGCCTAAAGGTGCACTCAGCAGGGGCTTCATGAAGAACGAGGGACTGAGGTGGGCCTTGGGGTATAGGTGGGGTTTAGACGATGGACGTGTGGAATGGAGGAGAAAGGGGAGAAGCTTCTAGTTACAGGCAATTGTGTGTGCACAGGCCCAGCACAGGGGAAGCTCAAGCCACCAGGGAGTGGCCCTGAGTCTGTTTTTGGAGTGTCTAGATGTGGGAAGAGGAGGTGCAGGTGCTGAGGCTGCAAAGGCAGGAAGACCCCTGGGGGACAGTGCCAGGCGCCCAGCTAGGCTGGGCAACCCAGACTCTCCTTTTGGTATGAGGCCAAGTTTCACCCCTGAGCAGCCAGGAAGAGAGTGGAGCCAGGCACTTTCTCAGGACAGGAAGCATTGCTGACCGCCAGTGCCAGGCGCCCAGCTAGGCTGGGCAACCCAGACTCTCCTTTTGGTATGAGGCCAAGTTTCACCCCTGAGCAGCCAGGAAGAGAGTGGAGCCAGGCACTTTCTCAGGACAGGAAGCATTGCTGACCGCCAGCAATGCAGGCCTGGGCTGCAGAGGGAGGGCTGGGACTGAGGGGCAGGGGTGGGGATGGTGATGGCAGAGGCCCCAGAAGAGGGTCTGACTGCCCATGGGAAGAATCAAGTGGATGTGGGAAAGCAACCAAAGAGAGACCCTGGGAACCCGTCATGCAAGGGGCAGAAGGTGAGAGAGATGGAGATGTGGTCAGGAGGCCAAAGAAACAGGCAGGGATGCCCAGTGAAGAGGGGTTCCTGGAAGCAGAAAGGGCAGCATCTCCATGGGGCTGCTGAGAGGCCCTGGGGTTTGGAGATTGGAGGTCACTGTGGGCAGCGGGGGTGGCTGATGACGCAGACCGCGCTTCTCTCTGTGAGGATGGACGGGGGCAGAGGAAAGGGAAGGGCTCTGTTTGCCTGCCTGGATCAAAGAGGCCAGGTCTGCTTGAGATGAGGAGCGAGGCATCAGAAAGGCAGAGAGGCAGGAGGGACCAAGGAGAGTTCACAGGGAAGCCCAAGGGCCAGGGCCAAGGGATGGAGGGACGGGCCGTCCAGGTGCTGGGCTGCTGGGTAGCTGGGCCCTCCCCACTTCCTCCTCACCCAGCTCCACCTCTGGGGATCCAGGCCTTCCACAGCTGCAGGGGAGTACCTGGATACCACCCATCAGGCTTTATGTCCCTGCAAGTAGGTGGGGGGCACAGGCAGAAGTCACCTGGGGGAAGGTTCGATATCAGGCCTGGGACAGGCTGCAGGGCTCCACAGGCCTGAGCTCCAGAGCCGCTGCCCCAGGATGCGCAGAACCCAGTGCGAGCTCAGATCCTGTGGTCAGTCTGTTCATTCATTTATTCACTGACTCATTCACTCTTCATTTCCCAGCTCAGCCTGCCCCATGCACTGGGCTCTATGCTGGGATGGGGCCCTTGAGGAGCCACAGTCTGGTGGACACATAGGCCTGTAACCAAATCCTGGCCACAGAGGGTGATGATGCTGCAGGAACCCAGGGTGGCTCAGAGTGGAGCAGACAGACCATCCGCCAGCAGACGAAAAGGGGCTGGAATCTCCTTGGTGAGCTATGCTCTTGCAATGCCCAAAAACGAAATTTAGAAAACAATTTTATTTACAAACAGCATCAGATAATAAAATATTTAGGAATAAATGTCATAAGAAAAGTGAAAAACTTAAACCCTGACAACTACAAAACACTGTTGAAATAAATTCAAGAAGATCTAAATAAATGAAAAGATACCCTGTGTTAATCAATTAGAAGACTTAATATTATGAAGATGAAAATACTCCCCAAATTGATCTACAAACTTAATGTAATCCCTATCAAAATTCATCCAGCTTCTCCCAAAAAAATGACAAGCTGATCACAAAATTCATACAGAAATCTAAGGAACCCAGAGTAGACAAAACAATATTGAAGAAAATCAAAGTTGGAGGATTTCCAATTTTAAAATTTACTACTGCTAACCTACATTGATTAAGACTGTGGCACTGACATAAGGATACACATTCCAATCAATGGAACAGAATTGAGAATCCAGGAATCAACTCTTGTATTTATGGTCAAATTGATTTTCAGCAAAGGTGCCAAGACAGTTCAATGAAGGGAAGACTAGTCTTTTCAAGAAATGGTATGGGGCCACTGGATAGCCACATGCAAAAGAATGAATTTGGTTCCCTGCCTCACACCATATATAAAACTCAAAATGAATCACAGATTTAAATGTAAGAGCTAAAACTATAAAACTCTTACAAGAAAGCATAAATGTAAATCTTCATGATATTAGATTAGGCAATGGTTTCTTAACTATGACATTAAAAGCACAAACAACCAAAAAATTAGATGAATTGGACTTCAAAATTAAAACTTTTGTGCTTCAAAGGAAGTGAAATGACAACCCACTGTATGCGAGAAAATATTTGCAAATCGTATATCTGATAAGGGACAGATATGTAAGATCTGGGACTTATCAGATAAGGGACAGATCTGATAAGGGACTAGAATAGATAAAGAACTCTTCCAACTCAATAATGAAAAGACAAATGGTCCAATTTAAAAATGGGCAAAGTATCTGAAAAGACATTTCTCCAAAGAAGATATACAAATGGCCAGTAAGCACATAAAAAGATGTTAGACTTAATTAGTCATCAGGGAAATGCAAATCAAAACCACAATGAGGTACAAATTCACATCCACTAGAATAGCTATAATAAAAAAGACAGACAAGCCAGGCACTATGGTGCATGCCTGTAATCCAAGCTACTTGGGAGGCCAAGGCGAGCGGATCACTTGAGCCCAGGAGTTCAAGTCCAGCCTGGGCAACATAGTGAGACCCCATCTCTAATAATAAAAAATAAAAGACAATAACAAGTGTTGATGAAGATGTGGAGAAATTAGAACCCTCACATGCCACTGGTGGAAATATAAAATGGCGTAGCCACTTTGAAAAACAGTCTGGCAGCTCCTCAGAATGTTAAACACAGAGTTCTCACAGGAGCCAGCACTTCCGTTTCTAGGTCCATACCCAAAAGAAATGAAAACACATGTCCCCACCGAAACTGGTATACAGATGTTTATAGCAGCATCATCCATAAAAGCCCCAAAGTAGAAACAACCCAAATGTCCATCAGCTGATGAATGGACAAATAAAATAAATGTCTAGCCATACCACGGAATATCATTCGGCAATAAAACGGAATGAAGTACTGATGCGCACTCTGGCATGACGGGCCCGGAAAACATTCTGCTCAGTGAAAGGAGGCAGCCACAAAAGCCCGCGTATGGTCTCATTCCATTTTTAAGGAACGCCCAGAGTAAATCGCCCTGCAGAGGCAGTATGAAGATTCGTGGTTGTCCAAGGCTGAGATGGGGGTGCAGTGGAGGCAGGGGGAGGTGGTGGCTAAAGAGTATGGGGTTTGCTTGTTTAAGTGGTGGAAATAGGTTCATATTGATTGTGGTGATGACTGCACACTCCACGGATATACTAAAAGCCATTGAAGTATGTACTTTAAATGGATGATTACATGGTAAGTGGATTATATCTGAATAAAGATGTTTATTTAAAAATCCTCTTTGGAGAGGCATTTGCAGCTCTGCCCTCTTTTCCAGGGCGCAAAGCTTCAAGGAGAGGAAGGATCACCAGCCCTGGGGCCAGAGCCCAGCAGTACCACAGACCTGCTGGGTTACCTTAGCCAGGTCTCCGCCCCTCTCTGACCTCAGTCTCATCTCTGATCATTTCTGAGGGCCTTTTGGCTCTTTGAGCTGGCAGCCCCAGTTCTGGAAATCTAGACTGAGGAGCCGTCCTCATGAAGGACAAAGCTCTATGCTCAAAAAACATTCAGCGCAGCTTTTTCTGTAATGGTGAAAAACCAGAAGCCACCTGAGTTTCCGATAACAAGAGAAGAGTTACATAAATGAGGAGGTGCAGCTGTGCCATTCTAAGCAGGGCCTGCAGACACTGGTGAGGCGGGAAGTGCTGCTGCTGGGAGGTTTGCTGAAGGCAGGACACGAAACCCAGTGGCCGAGACAGCCTGGAGCTGGCAGGACGGTGGCAGTGGTGGGACTGTGAGCATGTCCTCTTCTACTCAGAAGCCCATCACTGTAGCCTTCATGGTGTCTGTGTGCCTGCACTGCAGACTGGAAGTAGATCCCTAATGTGTGATCCATGTGTACAGGCTGCCTGTAGGCTGCAGCAGCCCGAGGGTCAGGCAGACTTGAAGCAAGGAAGCCATTCCTCAGCCGGCCTCTGAGATGGCCCGATGGGCAGAGCTACCCTGGGGCAGCTGCCATGGACCCCAGTGAGCTCCAGCGGGGAGTTCTGCCAGTACACCCCATAGAGCGTCCTCACCCAGCTGGAATGGGGCTGACATGGATTAGAACGCCCCGGGAGGAACGGGGCTCCCTCTGGAGGGAGTCACTGCCCCATCCCAAAGTGCAAACGTCTCTTAGACAAAGACCATTGTTTGTGATCATTCTCCATCCTTGTCCCTCCACAACAGCACCTCTACACCGGCACTACCTGTGATCCAGAGCATGTTCGAGGGAGTGAGGAAGAAACGTGAGGGGGAAATGGGGCCTCATGGTCCAGCCGGGGCTCCTCTTCCCAGACTTACCTGGGCACTGGCAGTGGCCTCGAGCGGCAGGCTGGGTCCTCTTTCCCAGCCACGCCAGGCTTGGCCCCATGCCCAGCTCCCCTCCAGTCCTTTCACAGGCCCAGGTCACAGCTGAGTCGGAACCATAGGTCCAGGGGTACAAGCTTTCCGCACCTGGGCCAGGTGCCACCTCCCTTCCTTCCTCCGCCCCCTGCCTCCTGTGGGTGGCTCCCTACAAGCCTTTAGGTGTCTCGCTCCCACCCCACGCTGCACAGGGACAAATGAGGGAGCCCACACACTCCTGACCCCCTGCACCTGGGAGGAAGCAAAGACGGAGGGTGGAGGGTGGAGGGTGAGCAGGAGGGAGAGCCAAGCAAGGCTGCTGTCGGCACCACCCCCAGGCTGGCTTGTGTCCAGCACTGGCCATGAGAGTCCCTTGCTCTCTGGCGGCCTCTGTTCTCATTCGGCTGTCCTCAGCTGCATCTGGTCAGCAGCTAGCAGGGGCTGCAGCGTGGCAGGTGGAGAACTGCGAGGGGCCCTGGTGCGGATTCCAGGCCTCACCTGAGTCCTGCTTGGTGCCATTTGTCTTGACAACTGCTGACACTGAGTCTCCGAGACAGAAAAACAGGCAGAAAAGGGAACTGCGGCAGAAGGGGCTCCTGAGAGAGGGGCTGTGGCAGGGCAGGGGCTCGAGTGTGCTCTGGGCCAGGGAACCTGCTCCTGAGAGTCTGGGAGACTTTTCCATTTTCCAACGCGGTTTCACATTCAGGGCCTCAGTCCGCCTCACAGCACCAGCCCCGGCCTGAGACAGGCAGGCTCAGCCTCGCTAACAAATGAAAGAGCCACTTATGGGCCCTGTTTTGTGCCGGGCTTTGCACTGGCTGCATGTGGGACCCAGTCCAGGGAGAGGCAGACAGATAGATAACTGAGAATGGTGCCGCAAGGGAAGTGCTCCAGCTGGTGTGTCCCCAGGCTGCAAGTCCCAGGCCCAGGAGGAGAGTGGAAGCTGGGGGCTCAGAAAGGCCTCCTAGAGCAGTGAGCCTAGAAGGAGGCCCAGAATGCAGCCGGCTGGGAAGAAAAGGCCAGGATAGGGAAGAGACATGCAAAGGCCTAGAAATTGCAAAATAGCTTTAAGTACTGAGGGCTTACTAAGGGCCAGGTGCCTGATGGTCCATCTTTCCCAACATTTTTCAACGTAGGCATTATTATCTCATTTCACAGACGAGAAAAGTGGTCTCATGTTACACCACTTGCACACCGTTACTCCTAAGGTTTTTGTGAGTCAGAGTAAGCGAACTGCTAGAACAAAGAATCCCAGATCTCTGCAGCTGAGCACAGGCTGATTTCTTGCTCATGTCACAGTCTAGGGTGAATCCAAGTGGTGATTCAGGGACCCAGGCTCTATTTATTCTCTAGTGCTACCATCTTTAGCTTGTGGCCTGCATGCTTGCAACAAAAGGGAAACTGAGTAAAGGATCCTGCTTGGGAGACTTTCATGGGCCAAGTGGATGTGGCGTACGTCTCTCTTCCACCCCCTTTCCATTGGCCCAACTCATGCCTAGATCAAGGGGGCTGGGAAATGTGGTCTCAGGGTGGTCAGGAAGAGGGGGACACCAGGAAGAGGGGGACACCCAGGATGTCAGGGGACTCTGGATGGTACATCCCTGAGCAGCTGATCCTGGGCCTGTGTCCTTAGCCAGAGGCTACTGCCCTTCATGCACCAGGGAGGAACTGGGCACCCTGGGGAATGGCAAGTAACTGGGGTGGCGCCTGGACTTTGTCCTGTGGGCAGCCAGGAGCCACCAACAGGCTTTCAGGAGGGAAGTGCCCTGGGCAAGCCTGGGTTGCAGAGAGATAAGACTGCCGAGGAGAGAGCGTCGGGGAGGCAGGGGCGAGGTGACCAGGCCTGCAGTTCTTGTGAGCAGCCCAGAGCCCTTGGGGACCCCAGGCTGAGTCTCTGGACCCCTGCTCCAGCGCTCATCCTCCTCCTTCCCAGCCCATCATGAAATCCTGGCCACCCAAGCCTCAGCCATGCCTTCCCAACAGGGACAATAGGCAGGACACCCAGCTCCGCCCCAGAATGCAGCTGAGGGGAAGGCCGAGGGGAAGGCAGCGGAGGGCAGACGTGAGGCTATAATTCTATTGCCAGCTTCTGGGAGCCAGCAGGGGCAGAGGCACGGATAACCACATTTGGTTCATTGCAGGCGCCGGGGACATCACTCAGGCCCGGCAAGGAGCCAGTCATCCAGACTGCATGTGCCCTGCAGGGAAACCGTCTCCCAGCAGCCTCGTTAGGGTAGGGGCTTGAACAGGAGACCGAGGGCAGACCTCGGCAGGGCCATTTGAGAGGCTGGGAGGCTGGCAGCTTCTGAGAACCACTGCCAGGAGCTGGTCCCTGACTCTAAACCCCCTCTCCTGGAGCCATGGGTCGGTCGCACGGGGCAGTGTGAAAGGAGCCAGGTGGTGGGGGTGGTGCCCTCCCCAGGGGAAGCTTGGTGAGGCAGGCAGGGAATCGGGCCCTGGATCTTGGCTTCCTTAGCTGGAGCGGAGAGGCGTTTCCTGACGTATGGGAACACCTGGTGTGCAGTTACACGCTGGCTCCTGTAAACCTCCTCGCACCCATTCCCACTCAATGCTGCCTGGTAACAACACCTCTCCCTCTTCTGTCCCCTCCAGGCCCTTCCAGGCTTTGCAAAAGGAGATGGGTGTGGCCCCTGTGGGATTTCCCCAGTGCCCAACCCTGATGGCAGCTGCTGGCTCCTCCCTGTCCTCGTCCTCCCTCCCATCACAGGCCTCCTGCAACAACCACCCCACCCCCCAGAGCTGGCCCCCAGGACATGCCTGTTTTCAGGCTTGGCTTGCACTACCCTGCCTCGTCTCATGAACCTTGTGAGCCCTGTGCTCTCCCCAATCTACAGAGGATGGCCGGCTCCCCCAGAAAGGGGAGGGAGCTTGCCTGAGGTCGCACAGCAACAGGGGGTAGAGTCAGTCCATGAACTCACAGGGGTGTCCCGCAGGAATTGCTGCCACTTCCCTCCTGCCCTGGCCCTCCTCTCTATCTTCAGACCTCCACCCTTCCCTCCCACTGCAGGGTCCCTGGAGCTGAGGATATTATAACCATGCCCCACATACACACTCTTCCTTCCTGGTGCCCCAGGAATGGTGGGAAACCAATGCCCGCCTTTACTGGCAGAAGAAGCCAGAAAGGATCCCCAAAGGGCAAGAGGGAAGCTGGCAGCTGGGAGGCTCACCTGCAGGTCAGCCCTAGAGGCGCTCTGTGGCGGCCGGGGGAAGGTGGCAGCTGGGACAGGCTTAGAAGACAGGAGAGGAGGGAAAGGCTAAGGAGGCTCATGGTATTTAGGATCCTAGTTAAGGATCTTTACTCACTCAGCCATGTAATCCAATGAAGTATCAGCTTCAAGCCAGTGCCTAGGTGAAAATTGTTGATATTCTAATTCCTTCACAAACAGCTTCTGCATGTGCCCAAAGCTGTTGCTTCATCTCCTCCATATTTGGGCCTTGCCCCACCTCTCTCGCTGACAGGGTGGCATCCTGTGGGCAGAGGTCTGGGGCAGGCCCCTGGCAGGAATAACTCCTGTAGCACTGGCCTTTCTAGGGGCAGCACAGGGGAGGAGAGGGACCCTTTGGAGTCAGAGGCCTGGGTCTGCATGTCCAGCCTCTCATTTATGGGCTGTGTGCCCCTGGGCAAGTGGCTTCCCTTTTCAAGGATTCAGTTTCCTCTTGTGTAAATGGGCTAGTGTAGCCAAACTTTCAGGGTGGTTCTGAGGATCCCATGCTGGGCAGTTTACACCACACCCGGCACTCAGCAACCGGGAGCTCCCACTGTGACTTGCCAGAGTCTCAGCCACCTTGGGGCATTTCTTCTGTCCACTGTGCCATAGCCTTTAAGTCAGCTTCTGGAAAACCGAACTCCTTGTCTTGGTCTTCACTCCAGATCCTCCACTTAACTTCCACATTTCTGACCTGAGAATGACATTCCCCTATGCTGAGGCTAAAAGCTATGAAATAATCTTTAACTTTGTCTCTTGGCTTAAGTGGCCACCACGCTTTGATTAAGCCCCTCACTCAAATTTGCTTTCACCCCTTCACCCTTCACTCCATATTCAGACCAGGGTCAGGAACAGAGGCTGTCCATGGCAAGGGCCCATTCTGTATGAGCTACAGGGTGTGGGCTAGAGGTGGGGATACAGAGTGGGGGCCCTGCCCTCTGGGAGCTTCCACTCAAATGCAGGAGGACAACTTGCCCAATCTTCACCACGACAGAGGCAAGGGGCCAACAGTGCTGCTGACCATGAATGAATGGAAAGGCCACAGGGAGGAGGGGGCCTTTGGATGGTACCATGCAGAAGGAGGGTAAAGGCGTTCCAGGCTCGAGAACACTGACTGTTCATTTGATGATATTTAAGTGCCTGTTACGTACAGGAGGAGGCTTACACCAAGTAACTAGGACAGAAGACTCTGTTCTCAGAGGGTATATGAATTCAAACACGATTAGAATTATGGGGAAAATAAAACAAGGTCATGTGGCAGAGAGTGACAATGGGAGGCCTCTCTAAGGAGACATTTCCAGAAGATCTCAATGATAGAAAGGAGCCACATGAGACTGAAGGGAGAACATTCCAGGCAAAGGGAACAGCAAATAGACATATAGACTAGTGGAGTAGAATTGAGAGTCCAGAAATAAACCCAATATGTCTATAGTCCATTGATTTTCAACAAGAGCAGCCCGAACATTCAATGAGAAAAGAATAGTCTTTTTGATAAATGGTACTGGGAAAACTGGATATCCACATGCTAAATAATGAAAATGAAGCCCAACTTCACACCATCTATAAGAATTAACTCAAAATGGATCAGAGATCTTACATTTAGTAAGTGCTTAAACTATAAAACCCTTGGAAGAAAATATAGGGGTAAATATTCATGACCTTGGATTTGGTGATGAATTCTCAGCTATGACACCAAAAGTGTAAGCAACAAAAGAAAAAATAGGTAATTAGAATTCATCATAACTAAAAACTTGTTCCTCAAAGAATACCATCAAGAAAGTCAAAAGACAACCTACAGAATGGGAGAAAGTATTTGAAAATCAAATACTTACACACCTGATAAGGATCTAGTATCCAGAATACATAAAGAACTCTTTCAACTCAATAACAAAAAGACAAAGAACCCAACTGAAAAACTGGGCAAAGGACCTGAATAGGCATTTCTCCAAAGACAATATATGAATGGCCAAACAGCACATGAAAAGATGTTTAACATCACTGTTTGTTAGGGAAATGCAAATTAAAATCACAATGAGATACTACTTCACACTCGCTAGAATGATCAGAATTTTTAAAAGCAAACAATAAAAAGTGATATTACAGAGGTGGAGAAATTGGAACCCTCACACATTGCTGTTAAGAATGTAAAACGGTACAGCCGCTTTGGAAAACACTGGCAGTTCCTCAAAAAGCTCAACATAGAATTATCGTAGGGGGCCAGGCAAAGTGGCTCACGCCTGTAATCCCAACACTTTGGGAGGCCAAGGCGGGTGGATCACCTGATGTCAGGAGTTCGAGACCAGCCTGGCCAACATGGTGAAACCCCATCTCTATTAAAAATATAAAAATTAGCTGGGTGTGGTGGCAGGTGCCTGTAATCCCAGCCACTCAAGAGGCTGAGACAGGAGAGTCACTTGAATCCGGGGGCCGGAGGTTGCAGTGATCTGAGATCGTACCACTTGCACTCCAGCCTGGGCAACAGAGCAAAACTCTGTCACAAAAAGAAAAAAAAAAAGAATTATCGTAGGACCCAGCATTTCCGCTCCTAGGTACACACCCAAGAGAATTAAAAACAAGGACACTAATGTTCATAACAGTCCTAGTCACTATAGTTGGATGCAAGCCAAATGTCCCTCACCTGCTGAACAGATAAACAAAATGTGGTCTATCCACATTTCATTGCAAAAAGGAATGAAGTACTGATACCTGCTGCAACGTGGATGAACCTGGAGAAAATATGCTAAGTGAAAAAAGCCAGACACAAAAGGCCACAAATCATGCCATTTCATACCTATGAAATATGCAGACTAGGCAAATCCATAGAGACAGAAAATAGATTAACGGTTGCCAGGAGCTGTTGCAAGGCAGAAATGAGAAGTAATGCTTAATGGGAATGAGGTTTTCTTTTACGGTGATGAAAATATTCTGGACTGAGATACGGGTGATGGTTGTACAACATTGTGGATGTACTAAATGCCATTGAATTGTACATTTTTAATGGTTAATTTCACGTATTGGTAATTTTACCTCAATTTAAAAATACATTTTCTACTTCAGGAGGCCAAGGGGGGCAGATTGCTTGAGCCCAGAGTTCAAGACCAGCCTGGGAGACATGGTGAAACCCCATCTCTACAAAAAATACAAAAATTAGCCAGGCGTCGTGATGCACACCCATAGTCCCAGCTACTTGGGAGGCTGAAGTGGGAGGATCCCTTGAGCTCGGGAGGCAGAGGCTGCAGTGAGCCATGATCGCACCACTGCACTCCAGCCTGGGCAAGAGAGTGAGAACCTGTCTCAAAAAAAAAAAAAAATTCTGAGAAACTACCAATTTTCAGAATACATAAAGAATTTCTATAAGCCAGTAAGAAAAAGACCAAATAAAACAATTTTTTAATAGGTTAAAGGCTTGAACAGACACTTCATCAAAGAGGATATCCAAATAGCCAATAAGCACATGAAAATATGCTCAACATAACTAGCCACCAGGAAAATGCAAATTAAAACCCATTAGGATAGGATGGCAATTGTTAAAAAAAAAAAAAAAAAAAAAAAAAACAGAAAGAAAGGAAAATAACAAGTATTGGTGAGGATGTGGAGAAATTGAAACCCTTTTGTTCTGTTGGTGGAAATGTGAAATGCTGCAGCCACTGGGAAAAACAGTATTGCAGTTCCCTTTTTTTTTTTTTTTTTTTTTTTTTTGAGACAGCGTCTCATTCTGTTGCCCAGGCTGGAGTGCAGTGGCATGATCTCGGCTCACTGCTGCAACCTCTGTCTCCTGGGTTCAAGCGATTCTCCTGCCTCAGCCTCCCAAGTAGCTGGGATTACAGGCACCTGCCACTATGCCCGGCTAATTTTTGTATTTTTAGTATAGACGGGGTTTAACCATGTTGGCCAGGCTGGTCTCGAACTCCTGACCTCAGGTGATCCACCTGCCTCAGCCTCCCAAAGTGCTGGGATTACAGGCGTGAGCCACCGCACCCAGCTGAAAGCAAGATCTTGAAGAGATATTTGTACACCCATGTTCACAGAAGCAGGATTCACAAGAGCCAAAAGGTAGAAGCAACTCAAGTGTCCATGTACAGATGAACAGATGAACCAAATGTGGTTTGTACATACAATGGAAGATGATTCGGCCTTAAAAAGGAAGAAAATTCTGACATAGGCTAGAACATGGATGAAACTCGAAGCATTATGCTAAGTGAAAGAAGCCAGTCATTAAAAGACAAATACTGCATGATTCCACTGACATAAGGTACCTACAGTAGTCACAATCATAGAGACGGGGAGTAGAATGGTGGCTGCCAGGGGCTTGGGGGAGGGGAAGTGGGGAGATGCAGTTTTACATGATGAAAAGATTTCTAGGGAAGGATGGGGTTGATGACTGCCCAAGTTGTGAGTGCATTTAATACCACTGAACTGCGCACTTAAGGATGGTTAAGATGGTAAATGTTGTTATGTGTATTCGACCACAACTAAGAAAACTGGGAAGAAAACACTCCCTTCTTTTCCAAAAAAAAAAAAAATACCCACAAAGAGATACTACACACTCACCAGAATGACCAAAAGCAAGAAGACCAATAACACCAAATGCTGGCGAGGATGTGGAGCAACCGGAACTCTCAAACACTGGCGGTGGAAGTGTTCATTGGTAGGCTCACTTTGGAAGATTGAATATCCACGAAAGCTAAATATTTGCTTATCGTATGACCTAGTAACTCCACTTCTAGATATTTACCCAAAAGAAATGAAAGCTTCTGTGCACCAAAAGACATATGTATGAACGTTCCTATTGGCTTTACTTATAGTTGCCCCAAACTGGAAACAACCCAATGTTCATCAACAGGGAATGGATCAACAGTGATACATCCACACACTGGCATACCACTCAGAAATGAAAAGGAATGAACTCACGCTGAAACAACCTGGATGACTCGCCTAGACATTATATTAAGCAAAAGGAGCAAGACACAAGAGACTGTTTTGATTACATTTATATGAAAGTTCTAGAACAGGCAAAATTAATCCATGTGGTAGAAATCAGAATGGTGCTCCTTCTGGGTGGTATCGACTGAGAAGGGGCATGGGGGACTTGCCGGGGTGAAGAAAGCACCCTGCCACTTGTTCGGGGTGCTGCATGCCTCTGTAAACTGTCTCTGAGCTATACCCTAAAGGCTGCCATTCATTGTCTGATCTGGGTAATCATTTGTAAAGGTCCCTCTGAGTGCAAGGTAGAGAGGCGTTTGTAGAGGTCTCAGTCAGAAACGGGGGCCCTGAAAAACTGGCACATTCATCAGCAAGCATCCCCTAGCCCCCAAACCTGGCTAGTCAGACCTGAACCCCAGGAGCAGACCCAGTGTGGACCCCAAGCAAGAAGAGGTCTTTGGGAACGTTTTTTGTCCCACCACCCTGGCCTAGATGGCAAGGCCCAGGCCCAGAGAGGAGGAGGGACTCACCCCACAGTGCAGGGCAGCAGAGCGGGGCAGAAGCCAGGTTCCCTGCCTCCCAGCCCAGGGCTCACTCCCAGCAACAGGCTGTTCTCATAAAGATGCTCTGACGAAGGTGACAGTGTATCTTTTGAAAGTCCTAAAAGCATCTTTCTGGTAGGGCACAGGAGGGCAGGAGAGGGTCATTCTGAGACCAGATGGGGATGGACAAGGCATTTCCACCCCTCCTTGGCAGAACGAGGAAGGAACAGGGTCATAAGACCAGCAGTAGCAAGCTCTGAGGTGTCCAAAGAAATTAGGGCCCTGATGGGGCCACACTCCACCCAGGATCCAGTGGGTTCTGGCTCAAATTGAGAAGAGTCTGGGGAACTTGGAGAATAACCTACTTCCCTCAGAGAAAACAGAAAGGCCCTGCAGGAGAGGGGGTCCAGGACTGGCGGCTGCTGGGCAGAGCAGGCCAGGCCTGGACCTGGGCTCTCTGTAGTCCCAGTGTGGCAGTGAGCCCTGATTAGCCCCAAGACCTGCAGCTTCTAGATGAGGGATGGGGCTCACTTCTGAGGCTCCCACCATTGCCAGGCCTCTTTCTGGGTTGATAGCTAGGTGGCAGCCACCTTCTGCCTAAAGATCCCATCAACCTCAGAGGCTGCCACCAAGCCTTCAGGGCTCTCTGGAGCAAGAGGAATGGAGAAGGGAGGGTGGGGAGAGAGTGAGAGGACCTGGAGTTTGTGGTCCCCAGCTCCCTGAAATCCTTTACCCTGGTCTGGAAGAGGCTCTGTCGATGAATCCTGGCTGTTAAAAATAACCCACCTCTCCATCATCCCGACAGCCGCGCTCCGGGACAGTGTGTTCCAAGGCCAGGCTACTCTCCAGGGACAGGAGCTGTGGGGCAGGAAGGGCTGTGGATTCTCCAGGCCAGCCCAGGCTGGGAGAGAGGCCCACAGCCCTGCATCTCAGTCCAGGCATCCCAGCCACACGTGAGTCTACCTGCCTCCCAAGACCCTGGGTGTCAGGTCCAGTGACAAGGGCCTCCGGGTTCCAAGGGTGCTGCAGCTACCCCAGAGGCTCATGTTGTTACAGGATCTGTGGGCCTCTCCCGGTGACCTGGAACTCGCTTCCCCCTTACATAGAATTCAGCAAAGAGGACACTGTGCCACGTGGCTTCCTCCTCTGATTCTCAAAAATGCCTCTGGCTGGGACCACAGGGGGCTTGACAGGAATCAAGGAGACGGAGGGACTTGGGTGTGTGTAAAGCCCACATCCTTGTCCCACAGATGCAGTCCTCTCTCTGCTGCCATCCCCTCTGCATAGCACTCAGGGCTAAGAGCCCAGGCTCTGGAGGCAGATAGACCTGGGTTCAAATCCTAACACAGCCCTAACTACAGTGAGACTTGAGAAAGTTACTTAACCTCTCTGTGCCCTGATTCTCTCATTGATAAAATAGATAACTGTGGCTCTAACCTTGTAGGGTTGCTACGAAGCTAGATGAGTTCCCAGTGTTCCTAAATGCAGGGCCCGACACACAGTAAGAAAGAATGAGGAGGAGGAGAAGGAGGAGGTGGAGGAAGGGGAGGGGGAGATGAAGGGGGAGGGGAGAGAAATGAGGAGGGGGAGAGGCAGAAGGAAGAGAAGGGGAGGGGAGGAGGAGGAATGGGAGGAGGGGAGAGGAGTAGGAGGAAGGGGAAGAGGAAGGGGAGGGGGAGGAGGAGAAAGGGGAGGGGGAGGGGAAGAAGGACAAAGAGGAGGGGGAGGGTGAGAAGGAGAAAGAGGAAGGGGACCGAGAGGAAGAAGTCGTCCATCCAGCATCCTGGTTAAGAGCATTGGCTATGGAGTGGAATTTCATGTCCCACTTCCTCTACTGACCAGCTGTGTGGCCTTGAGCCAGTTGCTTGACCCTTCTGGTCTCTAATTTCCTGAGCTGTAAAATGGAAAGATGACCCCTCCTGGAACCATTGTGTGGCCTCTGTGTGGGTGCCCTTAGGATGGTGCTGAGCAGAAGTCGGCACTGGACAAGTGTGTGAAGCCCCAGTCAGGACAGCAGGAGAGCTGGAACCCCAGAGACTGTTGAGCTGAAGCTGGGGCGGGGTTGGGGTTGGGGTAAGGGCAGCTCCCTTGGCCACACTTCTGCAAGAGCAGTTAGGCCTTCCTGGCCACGCACACCACAGAGGCTGGAAGCTCTTGGGCGTGCAGCAACATGCCCACCCTGGGCTCACCTCACCCCAGGCTGGAGAGCCCGAGGGGCTTCCTGAGGCTCCTGCAGAGCAGACCCATCCAAGGCAGCAGGCCCCGCCTGTCCCCACCAGCCACCTTCCCACAACCCCACTGCATGCAGGGATGCGGGCAGAAGGAGGGAGGGAGAGCGAGAAGGGACCGAGGGAAACCAAGAGAGGAGGCTCAGGGTCCAGGAAGAAGGAAGGAGAGAGGAGAGAGTGAGGGAAAGGGAGCGGAGAGAGACCCAGGAACACAAAGGGAGACAGAGAAGAAATTTAGAAACAGAGGAGTGATCTCTCTAAAAAACTAAAATGGGAGGGAGGAAGACCAGCTGTGGAACCCCAAGGAGGGCTGTGAGGGACAGTGATGGAGCTTGGGGAGCTGGAGACAGCCTGACCCCCCTGCAAACAGGGCTTTTATCTAAGGATGGGTAAGATGTTGTTATGACAACAGATGTAGCATTTAGGGTAATTCCTGGTGAATAACCAAGAGAAGAGGTGGCAGCTCTGGTGGGTGCTGCAGTCCAAAAACAGGGTCTCAGAGGCAGCCCCAGGCCCCATTCGCCCCTGCCTCATTCCAGACCCTTCCCTCCACCTGAGCCTAGCCAGGACCTTCCTAGTCCCTGAGGCCAGGCCACCCCAGGACAGACCTTCTGAGCCACAGCCAAGCACCCAGGTCCCACCTCCTCACCCATCCTGCCTAGGGCTGACAGCAAACCCAGGCCCTGTGCATGGACACTGCCTCCGTGACAAGCATCTCAACCTAACTCTCCTCAGGACCCTGAGAGTGAGATGCAGCAGGAACCTCATTTTACAGATGATAATATAAGAGTCAGAGAAGTTGAGTAACTTCTCTGAGGTCACACAGCAACTAAACTGCTCTACACGGTCCCACCCCAGATCATTCCCAGGGCCAAGAACTGCTCCTGGGCAGATCTAGAGACAGGCTATTCTTACAAACCTCATCCCCTAGCACTTTCTGGAAAAAGTTAGAGACAGCACTTGTGGATGAGAAGAAAAGGAGAGACAGAAAGCGTTTTCTGCACCTGGCTCTCTACAACACTACACCACTGTGGCCCTTGAGATGATTATTTCTATTGCAACCCACTGGACACTCCCAGTATTTGGGAAATACTACAGGGTAACTGTGGGGCCTGGGCTCTATTTGGTGGAATCTCTCAAGTCTGGGGGACCCTGAAGGCCAAGGCTCCCATCCAGCCCCCTCCAGCCTAGGGGAGCTCCATGAAGCCTGCGGCATCCACAGCTGCCCTTTCTCCTCTGTCCTCTGGGCCATTGGCCTCACACCCACAGAACCTCCTGGACATCCACCCCAGGACTGCCTGGTCCACGGGAGGGACGCATCCCAGCCCTAGGGAGCTCGGAGGGTAGGGAGAGGGAGCCAAGAGCTGGGGCAGCCAAGAGCTGGTGGGGGGGGCGCAGCCTCTGCAGAGGGCCTGCTTGTCGGTGGATCCCAGGCTCTGGGAGGATGAAGCCCTGGCCTTTCACATGCCTCGGGGCTCCTGCCCCAAGCCCAGATCTCTGCCTGGCTGGCATCACTGGGATGACAGAGGGGTCTCTTAACAGCCTCCAGGGTCATCGCAAGGGAGCTTCCTCAAGGACAGGACCCAGACCCCAGCACCTCCCTGAAATAACACCCTGGACCTGGAAAGGCAGGCCAGGGGTGAGGGGCGACCCAGCTGGGAGAGAAGAGAGCCCAGAGGCTGGGGGCTTCCAGGGGCTCCAAGCTGACTGCGCCTGAGGAGTGGGGCTGTTGAGCAGGAAGGGATGTGTGTGTGTGTGTGTGTGTGTGTGTGTGTGTGTGTGTGTGTGTGTGAGAGAGAGAGAGAGAGAGAGAGAGATTACTAATGTGATGGAACTGTAGTCGGTGAGGCAGAGCTGAGGAATTTTTTTTTTTTTTGAGTCAGAGTCTTCGCTCTGTCACCCAGGCTGGAGTGCAGTGGCACAATCTTGGCTCACTGCAACCTCTGCCTCCCAGGTTCAAGCGATTCTCCTGGCTCAGCCTCCTGAGTAGCTGGGACTACAGGCACATGCCACCATGGCCCGCTAATTTTTGTGAGTTTTTTTGTTTTTTGAGATGGAGTTTCACTCTTGTTGCCCAGGCTGGAGTGCAATGGCGCAATCTCGGCTCACTGCAACCTCTGCCTCCGGGGTTCAAGCGATTCTCATACCTCAGCCTCCCTAGTAGCTGGGATTATAGGTGCCCGCCACCATGTCCAGCTAATTTTTTTGTATTTTTAGTAGAGATGGGGACTCACTGTGTTGGCCAGGCTGGTCTCGAACTCCTGACTTCAGGTGATCCGCCTGTCTCCGCCTCCCTAAGTGCTGGGATTACAGGTGTGAGCCACCGCGCCCAGCCAAGCTGATGACTTTGAGCCCTTCTAGAGAATTCTTCAACAGAAGATTTGATTTAAACAAAGAGAAGAGGAGGAATTGAGGAGAGGGAGTGCAGGGAGCTAAGGTCCTGCAGGACAGCCCTTCGTGCAAGCTGCCCCACTGCGTTGGACTCCCTTGCATGCCCCTGGATGCAGGTCTGTCCCTGCAGCTGTGGATGCCCTAGGTTGACAGGGGCTGAACATCCCCAAAGAGCTCGCAGCCAGCTGTGATCAGAGTGGCGCAGGTAAACTGCAACAGGCACTCAGCGGAGCGAGAGCTGCCCTCCGTGGCCCTGCACTGAGGCTCCAGGACAGCGGGTGAACCGCAATCTCAGGCAGTCAGGGTTCACCCCAACAGAGGGAGGTGGAGGGAAAGGAGGTGCACTGGTCACAGGTGGCCCCAGCCCAGGCCTGGGGAACTGGTGTGCCCAGGGGAGGCAAGGGGCCTGGGCAGAGTGAGAGCAGCCTGCATCTTCTGCGGCTCCACCTAGGCCAGAGTATGGACATGAGAGGCTGTGTTCGAGCCACCCAGGTAAGGTCTGGAGCCAGGATGGGAAGGGGGCTCCCCACTGGCCATGAAAGGCAGAGGGCTTGGGGCCCCCACACATTTACCCCTCAGTGATATCTGGAAGCCTGGCAGGTAGGCTGAGATGGGTGTCATGTGAACCCGATGGCTGCGGGACAGCTAGGGCCCGCCTGCCCCCGGCACTCCCATCCACACCCAGAGGCCTGTTCTCACAACTGCAGGCCACCCTTCCCTCCTGCTGCTGCTCCTCATAGTAGTGTGGGCTGATGCCCCACGCAGACGGCTGTGCCCTGTGTGTGTACAGACCTGGGCTCTAGAGTGGCTCCAAGCATCATCAGACACAGGACCTGGGATACATCCCTAAACCACCTGGGCCAGATTTCTTCATTTGCAGAACAGAAGGGCTAGAAATCAAATTCAAAGCACCACGTTGTTCTCTTCCTCCAAGCAGGCTCTTGGAAACCTGGTTCCTTTTGCCTGCACTCAACGGGGTCCTGTCTCCCGCCCTCCACTGACTGGGTTTCTAAGACATTCTCAGGACACAAGGGTGCTGGGTGTGCAGCAGGGCTCCAGAAGACCCGTGCCCTTACCAGATCCAGGGGGTAACAGCCTGAGACTTCAGGCCAGAGAAAAGAAAACAAGTTTGTTGGACGCCTTCAGCTGTGACTGCTGTCTCCTCCCCTTTTCCTCCTCCCTGTCTTGTCCCCCTCCTCCTCTTCCCCCTCCATCTCTGGCTCCCCTTCTTCTTCCTCTCCCCCCTTCCTCCTCCTCCTCCTCTTCCTCTTTTTCCTTCCCTTCCTCCTCTCCCCCTCCTACCCCCTCCTCCTCCTCCTTTTCCTTCCCTTCCTCCTCTCCCCCTCCTCCCCCCCCTCTCCCCCTCTTTCCCCCTCCTCCCCCATCCCCTCCCTCTTCCCCCTCCTCCTCCTTCCTCTCCCTCCTTTCCCCAACTTCCCCTGCTCCTCTGCACTCGAGGGCAGCTCCTGACACTCATCACTCTTCTCCACTTCCTGGAGACAGGAGACTCTGATATCCTAGCTTATTTTAGTCAGCTGCCTCCTGGAGCCTGGCTGCTGGCCTGGGGCCTCGCTGGCCTGGGGCCTCCCTGCCCTGTCCCTTGCCCCTGAGGGGGCAGCCTGGGGCCAGAAGTCACCTCAGAACATGAGCAAGCCCACACCCAAGCCACAATCTGGATAGCATGCCCCCTGTTCCCCTTCTCCTGCCTGTGAAGCTGGCCTCAAGCCCTCGGTAGGGTGCCACCCTCCCACAGACCCTCCTCCCTGCTCCCCACCAAGGCCCACCCACTCGGGTACCCGCTGATCCTTGCCTTCCCCAAGGGTCACTCACGCCATCCCTCAGTGCTCTGTGCCCCTGGCACCAGTGGCTTGACCCCATCTCACAGCCAGGGTTCAAGGTGGTGTTGGCTCTCTGAGGCCTTTGAGCCTGGCATGGAGCTTAGTGCACTGGAGACTAGTGTCAAGGTAGATTTGACACAGGGCACTCTAAATTGTGTACCCCGGACCAGCGGTCCATCCTGTTTCTGCAGCTGAGATGGGTGCAGTGGCAAAGGGCACGTGCCTACCTCCAAGGTCTCCAGTAATTCCCTTCCAGCCCCAAACTTGCCCATCCTACTCAGCAACACCAACACTGTGCTGCAAGGGCACTCAGCCCTGCCGCCCTCCACAAGGGCCACTTAAGAAACAAACAGCATCTGTTGTTGTTCAAGCTTGTCTCTGGAGGCCTCAATTATTCCTCCCTCTCTGGGAGGAGATCTCATAAATATAGTTTTCTCCATCTCACCACTTTTCCTGGGATATTTTTGCACCCCTGAGAGACTGGTGTCAGGGGCCACTGACAAGCCAGGCCAGCCCTTCCATTTTCACTATTTGCTGGGCATTGTCACACATGATCCTGGGATGCACAGGGAATGAGACAGAAATATCTTGACACACATGGATGAGGGCCCCCTGTGTTGCCAGGATGGGAACTGCAGGGTTGGCCCCATTGCTGTGGAGCACTGTGCTGGTGGAGGGAATTGGGGCACAAGTTCCACTCCTGGAGCATGGGGAGCAATGATGCCCACCATGGAACCAGGCAATCAGACTCACAGGCAGCACCAGAGGCCATTCAACTGTGTGGGCTCAGGCGGTGCTTGAACCATCCTTGCCTTGCTTTCCATGCTTCTGAGAGAATAGGACCTCCAAGTGCCCCTGCCTCCCTTCACCACCCTTCCTGCCCATCTTCAGCCTAAGTCAAGGTATGCTGGCTCAAGAAGCTCTCACCCCACCAACACCTACCCTTCTCTCTGCTCACTGGCTGTGTTTCTGATGCAGGCTTCTTCAAATATCAGGGTCCTCCTGAGTGCTGACATTTGACCCCTGGATGCCCCTACTGCAGCAGCAGCACAGGAATCCTAGAGGTCTCCGGAGATGGCCCTCTTTACTGCCCTGGATGACACCCCTCACACCAGGGTGGGCAGCCCTTTCCCCTGCACCCATCAAGGACAAGGCTGGGGTTCTCCACAGATCTGAGGGACAAACAGTTTCATCTTTCACACCAGCAATTGTTTTCCACCTGGGACTCCCTGCAACTTCGTCTCTAGTCATGGAGAGAGCTCTGGGGCCCATTACTGATGTCTGGAATGGGCACAGCAAGAAGGGCATAGGCTCACATGTGGCACATTTGACACAGCTGCCTGAGAACCTTCCCCTACTAGCTCCACACTGGAGAGGGCCTGCTGAAGCTCTCCATGGGAGAGTCCTGGAGCCCATGAAAGCATGGGGTGAGAGCAGGCAGGACACAGGGCAGAGTCCACCCTCCTTCCATCAGGCCTCTGAGCAGGAGTCAGAGGACAACTGGGGCAAGGAGTTCTGCCCACCCACTTTGAAGAGAACCTGAGGGTCCAGAGGATTAAATGTAATGGGTCTGCCATTTGCAGGTGCCCGTCTGTACCCTCACACTCTATAGGAACACCTTACATGTCATCTCTACCTCTCAACACGCTCCTCAATCTTAAAGTAGTTGATGTTATCACATTTATTTATTTATTTTAATTATTTTCTCCCTCACTTTTTTTTCTTTTTGATACAAGGTCTTGCTCCATTGCCAGGCTGGAGTGCAGTGGTGCAAGCACAACTCATTACAGCTTCGAACTCCTGGGCTCAAGCGATCCTCCCACCTCAGCCCCCCAAATGGCTGGGACCCCAGGCGCACGCCACCACACCTGGCTAATTTTAAAAAATTTTTGTAGAGGTGGGATTTCACTATGTTGCCCAGGCTAGTTTCCAACTCCTGGGCTCAAGTGATCCTCCTGCCTCGGCCTCCCAAAGCGCTGAGATTTCAGGCATGAGCCACCACACCTGGCCCTTTTTCTTCTTTCTTTCTTTTTTTTTTTGAGATGGAGTCTCACTCTGCCGCCCAGGCTGGAGGTGCAGTGGCGCAATATCAGCTCACTGCAAGCTCCGCCTCCCAGGTTCATGCCATTCTCCTGCCTCAGCCTCCCCAGTAGCTGGGACTACAGGCACCCGCCACCACGCCCAGCTAATTTTTTGTATTTTTTGTAGTAGAGACGGGGTTTCACCATGTTAGCCAGGATGGTCTCGATCTCCTGACCTCGTGATCCACCCACCTTGGCCTCCCAAAGTGCTGGGATTACAGGCGTGAGCCACCGCGCCCGGTCCACGTGGCACATTTTAAATGTGAGCAAGTCAAGGCTCAGAGAGGTTTAGCGGTCTGTCTGAGACCATATATCTGGTAAGCAGTAGAGCCAGCTGTGACTCCAAAGCCAGTGCTCTTTCCATGCTGCTCCAGGAATGGCCCCAACCATGCCCTCTCTCTGCCCATCCCCTCTCTGTCGGGCCCTGTCTGAGCCTCTGCTCTCTGGGTCTGGTCCCTGCCACCACCTCTGCAGATGCCCTGGTGCATCCCGGGTGCTGTGGGGACAGTTCTCCTGCCTCTAGCTCAGCCAAGGCCAGGATGGAATTTTCCAACAGAATTTCTCTAGGAAACTATGGAGAAAACAAAACAAAACAGAAAATGAAAACCCCAAATCAGAGACACACTCCCAGAGCCCAGGGTCCCCAGCCTTAGATAACCAAGGCTGCCCCAGTTTGCTGGGAAAACTCACTTCTCCAACAAATATTTACTGGGCAGCTGCTCCGGGCCAGGCTCTGCCAGAGGGCGAGGAGCACAGGTACAGACGAGGTAGCCAAGTCCCTGCCCTCTCAGGCTGTCCTCTCAGAGGAGGTCCCTGGGCACAGACCCAGCCCTGCTGGGGTGAAAGCAGGTCTGTTGTTAGGAGCTGCATCTTCTCCTGCATCATCCTGAGCCATGACCCCATGGGAGCCCGCTTTCCCAGAGCCCACCTCCCCACTTGCCCCTCCCAGAGTATCTCACCCACTTCCTCCTCTGTTGCCCCCCAACTCCAGTGCCCCTCCCAGCCTTACTATAGACACCATGTCCCGCCCAGGCAGGTGGCCACTCCCCTCTCCCACCCGCTTCCACCTGCCCTGGGGAATGTCTTTCAAGATGACCCTTCTGGGGCTCAGCCACCTAGATTTCACCAGGACACAGGTGAGGGGTGTGACTTGAGCCCAGGTGGGGTTGGGGGATGGAGGCTATGTGGGTGCAGGCTGGAGGGCAGAGGAGGAAGCCTGGTGAGCAGGGAGGAGAGCTGCTTCCTGAACAATCAACAAGTAGAAAGGTGGGGGGAGCGGGGGGCAGGAGGCTTCAGTTTCCCCTCATCTCTCCTGGGGCAGCACCCAAAACATCATTAGAACCATGCTCCTGTCCGACCCCCTCACTTGACAAGAAGGCATCTGAAACCCAGAGAGGTGAGCAGCCTTGCCCAGGGCCACCCAGCAATTTGGTGGGCCTCCTAGGATCACGTCCTGAGCCTCTAGACTCCGAGACAGCTGAGGAATCCCTCAAAGAGCTGCCAGCTAGGTGCCCACCCAAATCCAGCTGCCAGGCCAGCAGGGGCAGAGGGGCTGCAGCCTGAGGGGATTTGCAGCTGAACAGCTGCATCAAAGCTGCACCTGACAAACAGGGACCAGTGGAGCCTGCTGCTGTGGCTGCTCCACCAGCCTTTCCCGCACTGGGAGGAGGAAAGCTGTGTTTAACCCTTGGCTCCCCAACAATTGACTGGGGAATCCAAGCAGTGGGCCCAGGTAGTCTCTCATGCTCCGTTCAAGGCTGTGGCTGGGCTGGGCTGGGCTGCGACACCAGGACACCTGGATCCCCCACACCACAGCCCAGCCCTCTTCCCTCTTAAAGCAGCTCCAGTCCCCATGGGTGGGGAGGAAATTCCATCTGAGTCCCAGCTGCTCTGAGATTGGTGGGGTCCACTCTGCAGCTCCAGAAGGGGCCTGCCCTCTCCCCGGGGAAATCAAAGGTCAGGACCCTCAGCACCTCCCCCGCCTGCCCTGCCGGAGAGCTGGGGGCCCCATGGGCTGCCACAAGGACAGAAATAGCCCTGACTTTCCAGGGAGGGAGGCTCTTTTTTGGTCTCCAGTCTGTTCCAGTCCCCTCACAGGCACCACTGCTCCATGGAGCCCGTAAGCTCAGGAAGAGCCAGGACCATCCCCCTGGGCAAGGCAGGGGTCAGGGGATCAGCAGGAGGCAACAGGAGGCTTGGAGGAGGGGGAGTCGCTGAGGACCCGGAAGTGGGAAGGGCCAGGATAGGGGAAGGGAGGAAGGGAGGAGAAGGGAGAGCAGAGGAAGTTGGGAACATAGAATCCCAGGGGGTAGTGGTGCGCAGTAAAGGGGCACCTCATCCTGAAATCACTGCTGATCAATCGCTGGCCTCAAGGCCACGCCAAGGGCAGGAGCCTTTGGCCAGGGTCAGTCCAGGGTGTGAGAAGATCAGAGCAGACAAGCCCGGGGGAGGGTGCGAGCTGACATCCAGGCCCTTCCAGCCCTGGCCTTCTGACAACAGCCTTTCCCAAGCCCAGATGGAAGAGCGGACGGATGCGGGAGCACGAAGAATCCCGGAATCTAATTTTAGCCCAGAGTTCCCCGCCTCCCCTGCTGACAGTGAGCAGAGCCTGGGAGGGTGGTAGCCTTGCACCCCCTGCCAGGGGTCCTGCTCTCGTGGAAGGGCCAGCCAACAGGGAGAGCTGCCAAGAGTGGCTGGGGTCAGCAGGTGAGGCTCCCAAGCTCACACAGGGCAGGGGCGTTGCTGGACTGGGAAGGACCCAGAGCCTGAGCTCTGGTGCTGGAGGCAGGGCTGGTGAAGAGGCAGAGGTTGATGCTGGAGGCAGGGCTGTTGAGGAGGCAGAGTGAGGCCAGTGGGTGACACCACTGAGATGAGACTGGGTACGTTTATGTCCTGGTTCTGGATAACCTCAGCCAATTGCCTCTGCCTCAGTTTCCTTGCCTGTGAAATAGGCATAGTAATCACATCAATTTCAGATGATGCGTATCCGGCCCTAGACCCTAATGTCTTAGGACTGTCATGATTGCTTTCACCACGGCATATCTCAGAGGGCCCCAAACTGATCTGTTACTCCAGAACTGGTGCTTAACTTTGTGCTGAGGTACAAAGGTGAGGAAAACACCACCGCCATCCTGCCCATGAGCCTGATGCTAAGAACAACTGATTAACTCCAGGAACCTTCATGTCTGGACCTCCCAGGGAGCTGGGGCAGGGAGTGGCAGTGGGGGGAAGGCAGAGATGGAGCCCCAAGCTGGGGAACCCTGGGGACCGCAGGGGCAATCCTGCATGGGCAGACAAGGACACCAAGGCCCAGAGAGGGACCGAGTCCTGCCTAAGGACAGCCCAACAGGTGGTGGCAGGGACAGGACATGAATCCTGAGTTCCCCACCTTCTCCTGCCCTCCCACCCACAGCAACCAGGATCTGGGAGCAGAAAGCCCCACCAGTGCCAGGGAAGCCAAAGGCTGCCCAGGTCCGACTCCAGCTGGGCAGATGCCTCCTCCCCAGCCAGCAGCAACCCCATTTGCAGGTGGGAGTTGGGCAAGGTCTCAGACCCCTTGCCAGTGGCCCCCCACACACAGGGTGGGGACCATGCAGAGGATGGGGAGAGGGTCCAGGGCCAGATGAAGCCACAAGCCTCCTCCACCTTGAGCACTGATGGCAGATCAGCTGGGCCCTCCTGCCACAGGTCCCTTCTTAAACAAGTGTCAGGAGTCCCTTCAGCCACAGTGCTCCAAAGAGGAGTTCTCAGCAGCCCCAAAGTTCTCAGCAGCTATCCCAAGGTAGAGCTGGCTCTTAAGGCCCTCTCAAGGGTATCCTTGCCAACTAAGGACCCAGGCTCTCAGAGGGGAGGTGCCACTGTGGGATATTCCTCATCCTGCTCTGCCCAGCTCCTCTTTAACTGCATTCTGCAGCAGCGCCTCCCTTCCAGCAGGGACGTCTTAAGAAAGGGGTGTCTGGAAGGATGATGTGACCGGCTGAGACAGCTCCCGTCCACCTGGTGAATTGCCAGGTAAAGCACCCCTGCTGGCCTCACACCTGCTCCCCGCACCCACCACCCTCACCTCCAGGTGACTTGCCAGGATTACTCTTGGAGGCAGAGGGCTGCACCCACCCCACTCCCGCCTCTACTGTTCTCAGCCAGCCTCATCAACCTGTAGCCCTCAGATGGGCTCAGGGCGAAATCAAAAGCAGGTCCTACTCACAGAGAGCTTCAGGAATGGAGCATGAGAGAGAAGAAAGCCTGATCGGGAGCCAGGTCCTGGGCCCAGCTCCAGCTGCACCCCGTTAGTCAAGGGGCCTGGGCAGGTGCCTGAGACTCCGCCCCCCAGTTCCTCATCTGAGAACTGAAAGAGACAGCAAAATGGGGACGAGCCCAGCACAGGTCCTGCCACACAGGTCAGCGGATGTTTCCTGAATGTGGGCCTGTTATTCCTTGAGTTCGGATGCAATTCCTTCAGTGTGAAAGTGTGGCATGATGGGCAACCTGGGTCTAGATCTAGATCTACATCCAGCTCAGCCAGCTGTGTCTGTGTGACGCCCTCTGAGGCAATTCAACTCCTCTCTCTGGGCCCCAGTCTTTTCCTTCATACAATTCAGTGGTTGGACTGAGCTGTCAGGAATGGAAAGCCTGGGACACACCTGCCATCAATTACATATTCTGTGGCATTGACAGACATGAACAATCAATCACAGCATGGTCACCTGCTGAATCCATCCACGTGCAGTTTCAGGATCTTCAGATACCCAGCGCCACTGAATGAGAGCTGGCTGAAGAGATGGAATCACAATTCTTCATCACCTGAATTTCATAGTTTTGTGATTTCAAGACCTAGAGAGGCCACTTTAAGTCTCAATTTCGTTTTTTGTAAAATGATCATTCTCAGCAAGGTTGTGAGGATTAATGAGATAATGTATTCAAAATGGGCTTGCAAACAGTCCTGCTCTAGGAGGGGTACCTTTCCACCACCATTTCCAGAGTCAGGGCAGGGTTCTCTACTCCCAGGCTCAAGGGCCTGCCCCTTGCAGACGCTTAAGCACTGGGGACAATGTGGTCAGCAGAAAGAGCCTGGGCCTGGATGACCTCAAACAGGTCATTACAGCTTTCTCAGCCTGCATTTCTCTAGTATAAAAGGGGCTGATACTTACCTTACAGTCAGGCATAAGGATTAAATGAGGTCATCAGACAAAACCAGAAGAGCCTGGATCAGTAAAAGGGAGTCAATGAACCATCCTCATCACCCACATCAGGCCTCTGGGTGTCAGCAGTGGGTGCTTCGGCAGGTGTGGGAAGCTGAGAGCAGGGCAGGGCATGTCTTTCTTGTTAAGTCCTCAGCAAAGCCCATGTCCCCGTGTCTGTCAGTGATGGTGGGTACACTGGAGGTCTCGCTGGTTGTCCCTAGCAGAAGCATGGCCCACGCCAGTATGGAGGTGGTGAGAGTGAAGATTCTGGGCCAATGTGGAAGTAGAGGGGTGGCCTCACACTGAGGACCCTGGGGCTTCACGTGTCCTCCTTCCTCCCTCCCCTCCCTGGGCTGGCCACTGGCACTGGCCCTGCCCACGGCCTCCTGCTGCCAGCCTGCCATCTGCCCCCCTGCCCATGGGAGCAGGCCCACCTGGTTCAGGCTCCAGGGACTGCCCACTCTGTGGCCACTAAGTAGGGCAGGAAGGCTGTGGCACCAGACCACCCGGGGCTAGCTTGGGGCTGTTTTCAAACCCAGCCACAAATCCACCAATCACATCCTTTACACATGCCCTTCCCCCTACCCAAAACACCCTCCCATCTTGCTTCTTGGTGTACTCCTTCTCTTCCTCCAAGACCCAACCCAAAGGCCACCTCCTCCAGAAAACCCTCCCTTTTTTTCCCTCCCAGGGAGCCAGTCTCAGGCTCCTCCAGCCACCCTCACCCATTGGCTTGTGATGATGAGTAAGGATGCTTTGTGGACAAAGGCGGGTAGGAAGGGCAGGGGCTTGGGGGAACCAGCCAGCCACATCTCGGGGAGGAGAGGACTACTGGCCCTGGGAGGGAGCCCCAGGTCATTAGGCCAGCACCCAGAGTCTGCTGTGCCAGCAGCTGAGGAATAACTGCTCCAGGCAGCCTTTGGGCAACAAGGACACCACTTACTTATTACAAAATATCCTTTATTGATAAAATAGCTCAGAGTTTAAAAAAAAAAAAAACACCACCTGCATGTCGCAATAAGAGGTCACAGGCAAGAACACTGGGGGTCCCATGGGGCGCACACAAGACCGGCCAGCAGAGGGTCACAGTCAGTCCCTCTCCTGGCCCAGCTCCCCACCACATCCCAGGGCGATACTCTGGCCTCAACAACCCACTGAGGACCAAGCTGGGAAGCCTCCCACACCCCAGGAAGGACTCTTTTTGGTCCCCTCCATTCTCTCTACACCCAGAAAACTCCCTCGGTGCCCTTCCAAATCTAGCAGGTCCATCTGGCCCATTCCCCCGACACCTGCCAAGCTAAGATGCCTACTGGCCCAATGTTGAAGCCAGGCCCTCTCCAAGGGAAGGCCGATAAACCTCCTTTCCACACTTCCAACTGTTCTGGGTGCCAGGTTTTGGGGTGGGACTGAGAACCAGGAAGCAGGGGTCCTCAATGCACAGCCCCATCAGCATTGCGGGGAGCAGCGTGGCTGGGTCCGAGGCAGTCCACAAGCACCCACCTGGGGGGATCAGTTGTGGTTCACAAGGACTCATTTGGGGCTTGGAGACCTGGCCGGGCACTCCAGTGGGAGGCTCCCCTAGGGGCGCACCAGGCTCTGATGCCAGTACCCCACCTGGGGGCGCTGCCACCTGTCACAGGCTCTCATCTTAGACTGTTGCCGAGGTGTGGATATTTTGAGCTGTCTTGGGGAGACAATTTGCCTCCTTGATGACAAAAGACTTATCCCCCACTGGGGAGACCCAAGCCACTAAAAACCCTCTTGGTGTTGCCGGTGAAATGTCGAAACGTTGTCATGTAGCGTAATAACTCAGACCTTTGCAGCCAGAAGAACACATTCTCAAAGAGATCCTTTAACTTGAAATAGTGATTCTGTCTGCCACTCCCGGCTTCCAGTTCGGGGTAGGAATTCACACACCCCAGGGACAGAACAAAAGTCTACAGGAAGACAGGTGGTGGTAAACACAGAGGAAAGGGATTTTTATATCACCATATAATCACATTTTTGGTTCTCTAGTGTGTTCCCCCACAGAGCTCAAAGCTTTCTGCAAAGCCTTTCATCTCCCTGCAGCAAGTAGGCAGTGAGCTATTGTCGCCCCGATTTTTGCAGGGGGTGAATGCCAGTGATCGGGGATCTCCCGTCGAGGCAGAGACCAGGCCTCCAAGACCGCCCCAGCGAGGCATCCACGTGGCCACCCACCTACCGGAGGGGTGCTGGGTAAGGAAGCCGATCCATTGTTCTGGCTTTCAAAGGAACCACAGATCCGAAAACAGGCAAAGGGGGAAAGGAGGGCCCAGAGACGATGCCACCCCATAAGCCCCCATCCCAGCGCCTGCCAGGGACCGCGAGTGCCTAGCGTGGGTGATCAGTCTTCGTTTCTTCCTCCCCCTCAGCAGCAGGCCCCACTGGGAAAAGTGGAAGGCTGGCTCCGTGCTCTTTGTGGGTGGGGGGGAGATGAAAAAGAAACGAAAACACCACAAGCAAGTGACCTGCCAGGAACACAAGGTCCTCAAGAAAGGGAAGCCCAGACATTGGTCTGGAGAGCATGGGGCTCTGGGAAGAAAGTGCTCTCTCTTCTCCTGGTCTTGGCTATGTTCCAGAGGATTTGAACCACCTCCATCGGCCTGTGCTCAGGGAGAGGGTGGAGAAGGGGTCCCCCACAGCTAAGCCGGCAAGGGGAAGCTTCACTGGGACCCTTGCTAGCAGCCCCCCTGCCCACCCCTCCCAAGGGGTTCCTAAGATGAGGCCTACAGGATCTGGGCAGGGAGCAGAAAGCCCAGGGGAGGCAGCCACACACAGCAGGGCAAGAAGCAGGGTGACCCCGGCGCCACCGCACCAACCCCACAGGGGCAGCGCAGGCGGGCTCACCAGGCCGTCTGGGTCCACGGGCGGCACAGGATCCTCCGGAAGGCACGGCGGAAGTCCTGGTTGAAGATGGTGTAGATAACAGGGTTCAGTGAGCTGTTGCAGTAGCCGATCCAGAAGAAGAACTGGAAGAGGCCATGGGGCACCTTGCAGTGCTTCGGGCAGATGGCTCCCAGGCTGTAGCTGAAGAAGAAGGGGAACCAGCAGAGCACAAAAACGCCAATGACCACAGCCAGCACGAAGGTGAAGCGCTTCTCCCGGGTCAGCTGCGCCCGTCGACGCCACCACTGCCCACCTATAGCACCCACGCCCCTGCCCAGGAGCACCTGGCCACGTAGGGTGGCCAGCACCCGGGAGCCCTGTGGCTGCTGCAGCGGGGGGCTGCAAGCTGAGGCCGGAGACACTGGCACTGCCTGGGGTTCACACTCTTCCTCCTCCTCCTCCTCCTCTTCCTCCTCTTCAGCTTCATCCTCTGGAGATGCCCCACAAACACCCTCCTTCTGGCCCTGGCCTGAGTTGGGAAGGGCAGCCCAACTGGGTGGCAAGGCCCGGGTCCCAGTATCTTCAGGGGTCTCCCCCTCCTCCTTCTCCCCAGTGGACTTCGAGTGTCCGTTGACCTCTCTGGCAGAAGCCACAGAGGCCAGGGCTGGCAGTTTGGCTGAGGCCAAAGCCCCACCATGGTCGGGTCGGGGCTGCTTGGACTCACCCTGCCCAGGCCCCCCCTTGGCCCTGGGACCTCTGCGGTTGCTGCGTTTGGCGATCAGGTAGATGCGCAGGTAGACAAGGATCATGATGAGGCAAGGAGCAAAGAAAGATCCGATGCTGGAGGCCAGGATGTACCAGGCCTCCTGGTTGAGCTTGCACTGGGGGCGCCCGCGCGGCTGGGGGCCCTGGTCGCCCTTGTAGATGAGGGGCGGCAGCGAGATGACGGCGGCGATGAGCCACACAGTGAGGATGATGCACTTGATGCGGCGCGGGGTGCGCTTGGAGTTGTACTCCAGCGCGCGGCTCACGGCCCAGTAGCGGTCCAGGCTGATGGCGCACAGGTGCACGATGGACGAGGTGCAGAAGAGCACGTCGAGCGCCAGGTACACCTCGCACCACGTGCGCCGGAAGTACCAGTAGCCCAGCAGCTCGTTGGCCAGCGAGAAAGGGATGATGAGCGTGGCCACCAGGATGTCGGCGGCGGCCAGCGACACCAGGAACAGGTTCTGAGGGGCGCGCAGCGAGCGGCTGGTCAACACAGCCAGGATGACCAGAGCGTTGCCGAAGATGGTAAAGAGAATGAGGAAGGTGATGGCCGCCGCTATGGCCGCTGTGGCCTGCACGGAGTAGGGGTCCTGGTGGTCCATGACGGGGCGGGAGGTGGGCAGAGGGAGCGCTGCCCGCCCAGTGCGCACCGTGGACGACAGCGCTGCCCGGCTCGGCTAGACAAGAGCGTCGCCCCTCGGGCGGCGCCGAGGGCGCTGGAGCCCCATGGCCTGGACGAGCGGGGCCTAGGAGGTCGGGAACACCCAGGACCAGCAGCCGCCCTCCTACATCCTCCTCCACCGGTGCCCGGGGTCCCTGCCGTCCGCCCCAGAGAAGTTTCCCAAGTTGTCCCGCCGCCGTCCCCGTCCCGCCCGGGACCGGAGAAAGTCGCGCCCTCCCGCCACGCGGATGCCGTACGCTCTGGGGGCGCGGGCCGGGCTGGGCCGGTTCTTAAAGGAGGCGCGGAGGACCTTGCGCCCGCTCAGCTCGCAGGCTTTCGCCCCAGCCGCGCCTGCAGGGGAGTGGGGAGCGGGGAGAGCGGCTGGAGGAAGGCGGAGACTGGAGGCGGGCGCGGGAGCGGGCGGGAGGCGGGGCGGTGGGCGGACCGAGGTGGGCTGAAGGTGCGCTTCGCGGGAGGCGTGAGCCCGGGACTTCCCGCGCCCGGACCCCGCCCAGCGCCTCTACCTGCCTTCCTCCCGGCGGCCGCGCCTCGGGAGAGCGGAGGGGCCCGGCGGCCGGGGTCTCCGGCCCCCAGGCAGGACGCGCGCAGCTGTGGAGGGGTCGGTGGGTGCCGGGAGCCGGGACGCGGAGCTAGCGCGCGGGCCGGCACCGGGACGGGACACTTCTCCCGGGGGAACCGGGCTGGGCCCGGCGCCGGTGCGCCCTGCTCTGCCTTCCGCCGCTCGGGAGCCCGCAGGGAGGGCAGGGCGGGCGTGGGGCTGGGGCGCCGGGTCGCAATACACCACAACCCCGCCCGGCTCGGCCGTGGAGACGCCCTGCGGAGAGGTGGGGGAGCGGGGAGCGGGGAGCCGGTCCCGACCCTTTCCCAGGCGCTGCCCCTCGCGGACCAGCTCCGTCGGGCCAGCGCCGCGCGAGGAGGGCGCGTCCCGGCCTGCGAGCGCCCCCTGCTGCCGCCCGCGGGCCCAGCCCGTCAGCGGCAGCCCGGGTCCCGGAGCCAGCGCTCGCAGCCTGGGTCTTAGGACTTCGGCTTCTTGTGTCTCCGCAGCTGCCTCAGTTTCCTCCATTAAGGGCAAAGGAGGTAACAGGGAAACTGGCTTGGACTCGAATCACAGCATCAACTGCGATTCAGCCAAGGGTTTGTACGGGGCACAGGGCGAGCTGCCGCCCCTTGACTAATGCGAAGGGGAGGTCCCTTCCTTGCCGTGGGGGAGTAAAGGGTGGGGACTTTGTCACACAGCTCCGAGAAAAAGCAGGTCTCAGGGGCAGCCGTGAAGAGAGGAGCGTCCCTCCGCTTCTGTAGTGACCCCGGGGGAAGGGGTTGACCCTCCCTCCCTGCTGCGGTCCTGCCCCACATACACACTGAAGCCCTTCTGGGGGTGACAGTGGAAAGAGGGTTGGGGTAAAAAGAAACTTCAGACTAAGGCCCCCCACTCGCCTTCAAAGCGCTATGAGCAACTGTTCTCCCTCAGGGCCCCAACTCACTCTCCCTGCCACACCGCCACCAGCACCAGCCTGGGCAGCCCTGAGGGCATGTTTCCCCGGTTCTGGAGCCCCTAATGTCATAAGCCCCGCCTCGAGCCAGGCCTCTTATTCACAGCCCACGACTCTGCAAGGCATCCTCTGTATAAATAAGCACCAATCCACCTCTGACAGTGGGGCTCCCCCAGGCCCCGTCCAACCTGCTGGACCTCCTCTCCTCCCTGCTCCCTCCATGGGAGCAGAGCACGTGGCCTCTCAGTGCCCACGGACAATGTCTAGCGCCTCCCCAGGCTCAGGTGGGAGGTGCCCCGTCTCAGGTACCCAGACCAGCACCCCCAGCCACGGGGGTGTGTTGGGAGTAGGTGCCTCCTTGATCCCCCCATCCCTGTCATTCTGCCAGACTCCCCAGCTTCTGGTGAGGTGCAAGTGCCCACAGCCCATGGGGTGGATGCTGCCAGGGCTGGGTTCGGACAGGGCAATCAGCCTCCTTCCCACCCCCAACCCTAGGCTTCAGCTCAAAACCGACCACTCTGCTAGACACAGTTTCCTGGATGTGTCTTTCCCACCCTCTGGGCTGGGCAGGGCCTGGGCGCCGCCTGGGCATACATAACCAGTGATGGAGAGATGCCAGTAGCTCTTTCCCTGAGGAAGGACAGAGGGTGGCCATGAGAGCCTGGGAGCAGCTACTTAGGCAGGTGCCTGCCTATCCAGGGGCTCCCAAGGCCTTCACAGTCTGGGCCTGCTAGAGGCCCACATGGGCATCGGGAGGAACCGCCTTTCCACTGTCTCCAACCACACTTGGGCTGGGGGCCAGTGAGCAGCTCCCCAGACTCTGCAGCCAGCATCAGCCTTTGTCTTCTGACCCATCTTCCTTCAAGGGATGCTGCAGGAGCTGAGACTGGGTTGCCCGTGTGCCCTCCCCACCCTGCAAGTCCCCACTGAGGACGCTTACCTGGGCCTTCCTAGAAGTGACAACTTTGGGTCTACTGAGTGCCAAGCCTTGCTAGGCATCTTTCATTGGGCCAGCTAGGCACTAGGCCAGGTGGGGACAGCCAGGGACAGAGTCTACAGCTGGCAGACCTGGGAGATGTGTGCCCTCCGGGCAGCAGGAGCTGCCTTGGCATCCATACCGCTGCCCCAGGCTGTCACCGTCTACTGCAGCTGTCTCCTCCTGGCTCCACCCCAGGATGGACAAGTGCAGCGTGGGTGCGCCAGCTCTCCACGGCCACGCAGGCCATAACATAACTCAGCTCCTGCTCCTCTCGGCGGCTCACCATCTCCCCCCGCACACACACACCTTCAGGCCTTGCCTGCTCCAACCAGCCCCATGAGGCTGCCAGGTGCAGGAATTGGAGCCTACTAGCATAGCAAGGCTTCCTTCAGCTCTTCCCAAACTAGACCTGACCTTCCACTGTCATCCTGTTCCACAGGAACGGGCATAGTTCAGTCCCAGACCAGCAACAGCCAGCAGCAGGAGCAGCCGGAGCTTTCCCAGACACATAGCAGGGGAGTGGGCAGCAGGGCACAACCTGGATCCCAGCCCTCCATCCCTGCCCCGCCAGGCCAGTGTTGGATTCTGAATGTGCCCTGGGTCTCCACTCTCTAGACCTTCCCTGGGGCTGTTTGCTCTGATAGAGATGCCCTATCACCCTTCCTTCTGTGTTTGGTGGGCTCCTACTCACATTTCAAGGCCCACTCACCAGTCACCAGGCTCTCAGGCAGAGGGAGGACCTCCATTCTCCAGGTTCCTCGACGCCAGGCGGCACCACTTTCACACTCAGCACACTGTACTAAGATGCTCTCTGATGGGTTTGTTGCATCACCTCTGCCCATCAGAGTGGACATCCCTTCTCTGTCCCCAGTACCTGGCACAAGGTCATTGGCCGTGAGGGACAGTGGCAGCAGGCAACAGTGCACTCATACACATGAGCATTCTAAGACAGATAGCCCAAATGAGGGTGCCCTGGAGGGATGTCCTTGGGAAGAGGGGCCATGGGGAAAGGACCTAGCCATGGAAGCGATCCACCTTTTCCAAAGAAGGGCAAGACTGTTGTCCCATTGCTGGCTGTGAGACCTTAGTTGGAAGCCATGGAGACACTTCTCCAGGCCTGAGAGGTGAGATGGTGCCACCAGATCTCCTGGGCTGGGGCTCCAGCAGCTCACAACGGTGCCTTCCCTCCCCTAAGGGCCCACTGGGACAGACCCCCATCAGGCCACACACCCCACCTTTCTCCAGATGTACCCCGCCCCCCACCAGCCTTTCAGTCCCTGGGACTCTTAACCCCAGACCATCCTGTATGCCCCAACCTCCCCACTTCCCAGATCCTTGGGTCGTGTCCTCTATAATAGAAGTCAGTCGTCCTCTCTGCATAAAGATCTTGACAAAACCCCAGCTCTGGTCAAACCTAAATCATCCACCCACTGCCTGCCTTTGACCAAGCAGCTGCTCTTTCCGGAGCAAAACACTCTCTGCATCGACTGGCCTCACTCTAAATTCATGACCACAAATCTCCAAACTTCCCTAGTATGCTCACTTTCCCACTTGTTAAAATCGGCATCCCTCCCTCCCTCTCCAACCTCCCAGCCACTCCTCCGCCCCACCATGCTGTGACTCTGCCTGGTACTTAGGGGGAAACGGAAGTCCAGGCAGGAACTCACCCCCGCCGCCCACCTGCATCTGGCCTCAAACTCTCTCTGCTGATTGAAGGGCAAGTCCTCAACCTATGCCCTAGAGCCCAACCCCTCTCATCTCACCCCAGGGTTCCCCCGCTTCAGTTATCCCCCTCTTATGGTCACTGCCCCTACTCTACAAAGCCAGCCCCACCCCTTAGAACTGCCCCCCAAGCCCCATCACCTTTCTGCTGCCTCCCATAGCCACCTTCCCCCCGTGTCTGTATCCAGGCACTGTGGCTGACCCCTCACATTCTCTCCTTAACCCCCGGCAGGTCATCTTCAGACCCTCCACCGAGGGTCTTCTGTGGGTCATGCCCTACTCCACATCACCAAGCACCAGGCTTATTCTGCCCTCTTTCTCAGCAGCACTTGGCACAGCAGCCCTTCCCCTGGAACACTCACAGGGTCTGTGACCGCCTTGAAAGCCACTCCTCTGCAGCCCTTTCTTCTCCCAAACTCTTAAGTCAGAGGTTCTTGCTAAGAGTGATTCTCCTCCTCTAAAGGACGTTCGGCAATGTCTGGAATACAGGGAGGGGGCCGCTATTGGCATCTGTGGGTAGAAGCCAAAGATGCTGCCAAATGTCCTGCAAGGTTCAGGGCCGTCCCCACAATAAAGAATTACCAGGTACAAAATGCTGCAACGCTGAAATTAAGAAATGCTGCTCTAAATGCAGCAACCCAGCTCAGTCCGGGGATCCTTCCTCTTCCTCTACACGTGTGGCTCCCCTCCAGATTCGACAGCACTCCCCCAGGCACCTCCTGCCCTGCTCTCCCCGCTGAACCCCAGACTCCTTCAGCCCACCTACTCTCTGACCCCTTTGATGTCGCATGGACACCTCAGACCTGACATACCCATTTCCCCCAGCCCTGCCTTGCCCCGAGGTCCTCAGTGCTGGATTCTCAGTGAATGGTGCAGCTCCCACCCAGAGCCTGTGCCCTCACCCCATGCATGCAATCACAAGTGGGGCCACTGTGACCCCTAAACACTCCAAAGGCACCTGCTCCTGTCCATCTCTGTAGCCTCTCTCCCTTGCATAACCTCAGTGGCTTCCCGGCTGTTCTGCTTCCAGCCCATTCTCCAGAATGCATCGAGGACGTTTTAAACCTTAAGTCGGATGTGGCACCATCTTCCTTCAAACCTTCCAGTAGTTGCTGCCTGTTGCTTGTGGAATAAAACCCTCCCCATCTCTGACTTGGCTGTGGGCCCCTCCCCATGCCAGTTACACAGACCCAACACACCTTGCTTTCCCCTGCCTCAGGGCCTTTGCACTGGCTACTCAGGAATTCAGGAAATTCAGTTCCTGAATTTTCACAGGCAGCCTCCTGCCATTTAGGGCTAGGCTGAAATGTCACATCCTCAGAGGGGCCCTTCCTAACCAGCAGCCTAAGGGGGTGCTCTGCTCTGCCATCATTTGCCAATGCCAGATGTTTTCTGGTTTGCTGACTTATTGTCCAACCCTCCCCACCCTGAATAAGCTCCACGAGAAGAGGAACCCACCTTGCTCACTGCTATTCCCAGCAGAACAGAGACTGCCTACCTGGTATGTTGGATGAGTGAACAAATTGAGCCTACACAGCTGCATGGTCGGTGACTGGGGAGGTGAACAAGCCACAGACCCCTGGGAGGGGATGGCTAGCCGCCTGGGCTTGGTTTACACCCCAGGGCCCTGTACCCCTCCCACCACCCAGGCTGGGGCTCAAACGACTGAACCTTGTCCCTGTGCTCCCCTTAAGCCACCAGGCTCAGACAAGTGGCATCTTCAAGAGAACAAGATCGGAGACCAAGAGACAAATCCCAATGGAGGCTGGTGACGGGTGGCCCGAGCCCCAGGGTCCTCCCTGGGTACGAAGCACAGCACCTCCTTCCACCCAACAGCAGAGGCCGAGAGGAGTGCAAGCCTCTCTACTGTCCTTGATAAATGGGGCACTGCATGTACTGCCTCTGTCCTAGGGCTGCCTCAAGGTCTCTGCCTGGAAGCCTCCCAGCGGGGCTGTCCCCTACTCCTTGGGGCATGGCCAGAGCCCCTATCCACTCTACACTCACGCAGACCCCACTCCCCCAGCCAGGAGCAAGAGGAAGAACAGCACCTCCCTGCAGTCCTTCCCTTGTGCTAATGCCTGGGACTGGGCCACTGTTCAGTCTCAGGGTTCATGACTCATGACTGAAACCCAAGGCCGACTGAAGGTAGAGGACACAGTGTCCCCTGAGTGCATCCCCATGTCCTCAATGCGGCCCCAGCACGTGACCCTCCAGAAGGCTGGCAAACAGCAACCTCTCCCCAGAACTTGGGAACTCCAAGCTTCAGCCCTGCCCTGCTGCTTCTTGGCCAGGACCCCTGGAGCACTCGCTGAAGTCTTTGTCTTCCCTGGGAGGTGGGATAGCCACCTGGGGCCCCAGAGGGCAAGGGGTGTTAAAGGCACACAGGAGGTGGGAAGGTCAGCACAGCACACTCCACTTTATTTCCTCCCCCAACATGTGGGGCTCCTGCCCCTTCTACCCCAAGCAGGGCTTCCTTGACCCTCTGAAAGGCCACCAAAACAGTACCCTTGGGGACTGAGGGGCCTCTGGCCTAGGCCCACTCATTGGCACCCTGGATGCTTTCTTCATGCCTGGGACAAACCTCATGGGGAAAGCCGGAGCTGGGGCAGAGGAGTAGGGCCTGCCTGGAGGAGGCCAGGCTGGGAGCTGGGGCAGAGGAGGAAGGGGGCTTTCCTGGAGGAGGACAAGCCAGGTAACCCCAGCCCTTTCTCCTTCCAAGGCTGCGCCTGGCTGAGCTCCAGGGAATAGCGGTGTAGGGTGGAGACAACTGAGTCCTCTGTTCAGGGGCCAGCTGAGGTTCCCATTGTGCAATCTGGTGGGGCCCCACTTCTTTCTCGTCTCCCCAATGGTGGCCACACTTGACCTACCACCTTCCTGCTCTGCAGGGGAGTAAGTTGGGCTCTCAAAGCCTCCTGGAGAGAAGGGCTGGAGGCTACACTGCTGTAGAACATTCCCCCACACTTGGGCATGTTGGGTGGGATGGGAGGCTGTTCCCAGGGTCCCAGCCACAGGGCTGCCCTGAGGGAGAGGTAGGGACACCATTAGTCCATGCTGGGGGGCAGGGCCTCAGGCACAGGAGGGATTCCAGGGTTCTGCGGGGCTGGAACCTACCTCTTCCCCACCCCTTCCAGGACCTGTCCCTGGAGAATGTCACCTCCCATTCCCAGCATCCACCAGGGCTGGGCAAAAGTCAAGAGCAGGCACAGCCAGGCCTGCCTTCCCCTGTGGCAGAGCTAGAAGAACCCCTGGCCCTAGGAGCCCTTAGGGGAACACAGTGAAGAGAGACAGGGGAAGAGTCCTGGCCCTCTGAGATGGGGTGGTAGGTTGGGGCTGGAAGACAGTGGTGTGGCCCAAAGGAGCCAAGAGGTAGACGACCCAGCTCCACTGGGCAGAGGATGCCCTCCCTACTTGGGGACAGAAGCCACAGGCTTAATCTTCGGACATCCCCTTGAAATGATTTCTAGGTACACAGCCCCCTGGCAGAGCTGGGCTTCCCTGGACAGGGACTGGCTGGATTCCTGCTTCTGAAGATGGGACTGTGGGCTTGGTGGACACTCCGGCCAGCCAGGACTGCTCCTGAGCAACACCGGGGGCACCTGCTCCAGGCCTTGATCTTGGGGAGGAAGCTAGGGTCTGAGGCTGCCTTGCCGAGGCCTCTGCACTGAGCTTTTTCAGGGCAGGGGACTCCCACCCATGTGGGCTCTCCCCAGGCCCTGCAGGAACGGGCTGGCCTCCCGCACTGGAACCACTGGGGTCGGGGCTCCTGGATTCCGCCGACAGTGCCTCCAAAAGCCGCTGCAGAGATAGGGAGGCCGGAGCGGGGCTCCTACCAGTGCTGTGGGCATGGGACCCTGCAACAGAAAAGACAGGAGGTGGAACCTCAGAACTGTAGGATGACATGTGGCCCAGCTGTGCGGACCCAGAGCTGGCTCAGCTCACAGGAGTGGTGCCCACCCATGCCACGGCCTAGTGCATCCAAGACCCAGATTCCCACCCTACCAGAGACCAGGACAATGAAGCCATCCCATCTCTTCCCTGCCTGGCCCCTGAAGTCACCATCAGAATGTCAGTCCACTCAGGCTTCCACCACTGCCCCATTCACACCCGAGACTGCTGGGACACTTAAGTCACCTGACCCAGCACCAAAGCGCCCACCTTCCGGACCCTTCACCCAGGTTGTTCTGCCTATGGCCATACCCTACCACTTGCCCCGAACCCAAGACCTCCCCTAGAACTGTTCCTGCACTTAATGGCCACATCTAAACCCTGCACCGTGCCAGGAGGTAGGTTGGGGCTTCCTTGTTCTTCACTGTCATGCCAGACTACAACTGTACCCCACCTCTTTGTGGGCACTCTTCCTCATTCAAGCCCATGTTCTCTGGCTGGCCCCAGCCCCTCAGCACTGCCTCCCATCCCAGTTCCTCCTGCGCATGCAGCGAGGGCTTCACCAGGAGCCTCTTCCCTCAGCTGACCCTGACCAAATCCTCACTCCCACACTTCAACTGGTGACTCTTCTACCAGGTCCTGTTAGCCTCACAGCCCACACCGCCCTCCAGACCTGGTCAGCACCAGGAGCTACCACCACTGCAGCCTGTTCCTGGGGGCCACCCTCCACAGTACCGCCTCCACCTGTGCACACTGAGGTAGCGCGGCTCTGCAGATACTCCCCAGACCCAGCATCATCCTACACCAGCCCTCCCCACTTCAGATCACTCCCACCTACATAGGCTTCACAGCCCCCATGGCAGTCACCCCTCGGAGGTAGCCTCAACCACCTTTCCCTGCTGTCACACCTGCCGCCAGACCCAGCCCTAGAACGCTAGCATCCCCCACCTCTACCAGGTGTCTCCTGCTCTCCAGTCAGCGGAGGCACATCTTCTCCTTTGTTTCCATCCCCTTCTCCCTACCTCTGGTGGCCTCACCTCTCCTTATGTAACAGAGTCCCCAGCATCCATACATCAAGATCCTCCTGCAGACTTGGGTCTATTCCTGTCTTCTTCCTTCCCACTAGATCCAAGGAAATGCCTCAGCTCCCACCATGTGCAGCCTTTTTCCAAACATTCTGGGTGTCCTTTCTCCCCGCTATATCCACCCCTCTCCTCCAGCAGGTCATGGTTCCAGCATCTGAATGTGCTCCCATGCTCACCATCTTGATAGACCCAGCCCTTGACCACAGGCCTTTCCACCACCTCCCAATTCCCTAGTCATGGTAGTCAAACCTCTAGAAAAATTGCATACAAGGCCAAGCATGCTGGCTCACATCTGTAATCCCAGTACTTTGGGAGGCTGAGGCAGGCAGATCACTAGAGTTTGGGAGTTCAAGACCAGCCTGGCCAACATGGTAAAACCCTGTCTCTACTAAAAATACAAAACGTAGCCAGCATGGTGGTGCTCACCTCTAATCCTAGCTACTCGGGAGGCTGAGGTGCACAAGACTCCATCTCAACAAAAGAAATTACGCACAAATTTCTCACCACATCTGTCCTTTAGGGATTTTTTTTTTTAGATGTTTAGTACAGTAAAAAAAGTGTAGGGGAAAGAATGGTGCTGGAACAACTGGCTAGTTACATGAAGAATGAAGTTGAACCCCTTCCTTACACCCTGTTCAAGGGTTCACTCCAAATAGGTCATATACCTAAATGTAAAACCTGAAACTAAGACTTACATGGAAACAGGAGCAAATCTCCATGACCTCGGGTTAGGCAAAGGCGTCATAGACACCAAAAAGGAGTGACAAAATTGGTCAGTTGGACTTCCAAATTTAAGATGTTAGTGTTCAAAGGACATTATTAAAAAGTGGGAAAAACAAAAAACATAGGAAGTGATGAAATATTTAAGGGCAACATCTGATGAGGGACATGTGTCTAGAATATATAAAGAACTCTTACAACTCAGAAGAGAGAACCCAATTGAAGAAAAACAGACAGAGGATATGAACATTCTCCAAAGATGCAGATGACCAACAAGCACATTAAAAGATGTTCATCATTAGTTATTAGGGAAATGCAACTCAGAACTACAATGAGATACTACTTCACACTCACTAGGCTGGTTCTAACCAAAATGATAGATAAGAAGTGTCAGCAAGGATGGGAGAAATCGGAACCCTCGTATACCGCTGGTGGGAATAAAAATGGTGCATCCACTTGAAAATATCTTAGGCACAGTGGCTCACACCTGTAATCCCAGCACTTTGGGAGGCCGAGACGGGTAGATCACGAGGTCAGGAGTTCGAGACCAGCCTGACCAACATGGTGAAACCCCATCTCTACTAAAAATACAAAAATTAGCCGGGCATGGTGGCACATACCTGTAGTCCCAGCTACTTGGGAGGCTGAGGCAGGAGAATTGCTTGAACCCTGGAGGTGGAGGTTGTAATGAGGCAAGATTGCATCATTGCACTCCAGCCTGGGCGACAGAGTGAGACTCCATCTCAAAAAAAAAAAAAAATCTTAGCAGTTAAACATGGAGTTATTGTAGGACCTAGCAATTCCATTCCTAGCTGTATACCCAAAAGAAATGACATGTTGACACAAAATCTTGTACATAAATGACCATAGTAGCTCTATTCATAATAGCTGCAAAGTAAAAACCCAAGTGTCCCTCAACTGGTGACTAAGTATGGCATATCTATCCAACGGAATGTTATTCAGCGATGTTATTGATACATGCTACAACATGGATGAACCTTGAAAACATTAAGAAGCCAGACACAAGAGGCTATGTGTTATGATTCCACTTATGGGAAATGTCTAGGCAAATCCGGAGAGGCAAAGTAGGTTAGTGATTACCTGGGGCTGGGGGCAGAAGCAGGTAAGGTAGTGAGGGGAGGGAGAGGGCATTTGCATGCAAGATGACCTAGGAGTAGAATCTGGGTCAGGGGTTATGTACACTTCAACCTTCCAGGATGTCAAATTGTTTTCCAAAGTGGTTGCAGCCACTCATATTCCTATCAGTAGGGTCTAGCATTTCCATTCATCACTCTATATCCTTAACAGTATTTGGTATTATTGGGCTTTAAAGTGTCTAGTTTAGTGGCTATAGAATGGTATTGTAGACTTCATTTGCATTTCCTCAATTACTGAGGTTGAACATCTTTAGTGTGTTTCCCATTTGGTCTCTGAGATGTCTATTAAGTCTCTTCCCATTTTTCTATTTGATTTTTTTCTTTGCGACAGAGTCTGGCTCTGTTACCCAGACTGGAGTGCAGTGGCACGATCTTGGCTCACTGCAACCTCCGCCTCCCAGGTTCAAGTGATTCTCCTGCCTCAGCCTCCCTGAGTAGGTGGGACCACAGGTGCACACCACTATCCCACTAATTTTTGTATTTTTTTTAAGAGACGGGGTCTTACTATATGTTGTCCAGGCTGGTTTTGAACTCCTAAGCTCAAGCGATCCACCCACCTCAGCCTCCCAAAGTGCTGTGATTACAGGCATGAGCCATCACACTCAGCTGGTTTGTTCTTATATTAATGTGTAGTTCTTTATGTATTTTGTATACAAATTATGTGTTGCAAAAAAATATATTGGGGCCAGGCACAGTGGCTCACACCTGTAATCCCAGCACTTTGGGAAGCTGAGGCAGGGGGATCACCTGAGGTCAGGAGCTCAAGACCAGCCTAGCCAACATGGTGAAACCCCATCTCTAATAAAAATACAAAATTAGCCAGGCATGGTGGTGCGTGACTGTAATCCCAGCTACAAGGGAGGCTGACGCAGGAGAATCACTTGAACCTGGGAGGCAGAAGTTGCAGTGAGCCAAGATCGTGCCATTGCACTCCAGCCTGGGCAAAAAGAGTGAAACTGTCTCAAAAAAAAAAAAAAAAAGTCTATTTGTAACCTGTATTTTCACTTTCTTTTTGGTGCCTTTGGACAAAGTTATAATTAATGTAGTTGAATTTATGAATCTTTCTAGTTTTACAATTAGTGCTGTATCTCATTTAAGTGATCCTTCCCTATCCCAAGGTCATGAAGAGATCTTACTATATATTTTTTTTCTAAACATGTTAAAGTTTTTATTACATGTGTCTTTCATGCATCCAGAGTTATTTGCGCATGATATGAGTTAGGGATTTTTAAATAGATGCTAAATGGCTCTAAGACAACTAAGTAACTTAACTGTCCTTCCATAGTGACCATCAATGGCCCTTCATCAAGGCTCTGCTTCTGAATGGAATCTGTTTCTAAATTTGATTCTGTTCCAGCGGGCAATTGTCTAGCCTTGCTCCAGTGCTATGCATTTATGTAAAGACGTTTCATGAACTAGATGACTAACATCTGCTAGGACAAGTCTTTTTAGTTTTTCCTTCAGGGATGTCTTGGCTATTATTGACCTTTCATATTCTCATATAAAAACTTTATAATCACCCTGTCAATCGGGAGGCCAAGGCAGGCGCATCACTTGCGGTCAGGAGTTCAAGACCAGCCTGGCCAACATGGTGAAACCCTGTCCCCACTAAAAATACAAAAATTAGTTGGGTGTGGTGGCACGCACCTGTAAGCCCAGCTGCTCAGGAGATTGAGGCACAAGAATCACTTGAACCTCGGAGGCAGAGACTGCAGTGAGCCGAGATTGTGCCACTGCACTCCAGCCTGGGTGACAGAGTGAGACTCCATCTTTAAAAAAAAAAAAGAAAAAAAAAATCACTCTGTCAAGATCAAACTTATTTTGAGTGGGAATTTATAGATTAATTTGGGAAGACTGAATTTTTATAACATTGCCTTCCTTTCAATAACAGATTTATCTATATTTAAGTATTATTTAACGATTTTAATAAAGGTTCATTTTTCCTCAAATGTTTGATACAGCTGTCAGATTTATTCCTTGGGACCTTTATGATTGCTATTATAATGGTATGTTTACTAACAATTGTGTTTTCTAACTGGGTGTACAGAAATATGATTTTTATATTAACTGTATTTACCTTTTCTAATTCTTATTAGTTCTAATAACTTGTTTATAGATTGTTGCTTTCAATACAGGTAATCATCTATTATGAACGATTTTTTTGCTTCCTTTCCAATCCTCGGACCTTTAGTTTCTTTGGCTCTACCTCGGTGCCCAGGACCTCCACTGCCACACAATGTGGAGTAGATGGGACAATGGTGGGAAAACTTGTCTTGGTCCCAGTTTTAATGTTTTACCCTTAACTTTTGTTCTAGGTTTTTGGTAGATGTTTATTATCTAGGCTAAGCAAGTGAGCCCTATTCCTCTTTGGTTACAGTTGAGTCATAGTGAGTGTTAACTTTCCTCAAGTGCTTGTTCTGCGTCGTTGTGGCAAGCCCCCGTGATCTCACCCTGCTCCCCCTGCAACCTCATCTCCCTCCTTGTCACCCTCCCTGACACCATTAGAGCACAGGCGCCTTCTCCAGGTTCAAGTCACCTTCCTGCCATGCCACTCACCTCTCCCACGGGGCCTGGGGCCACTTGGGCTGCAGCCGTAGAGTTTGAGGACCCGGGTGATGTCCGAGGCACTCAGGTTCCATCGCTGGCCGATGTGGACACTGGGGGCCCAAAGTGGTGTGATGGTGGGCAGCCCACGCCGGCTGAAGGCGAGCCTGGAACCCAGCGGGAGACCCCTGAGTCCAGATCACCACGGGAGAGGCTGGGGGAAGCAGAGGGAGAAGAAGGCAGGGTCCTCACCTCCCATAGTGCATCACAGAGGAGTAGTCATAGGGCGTCAGCATGTTGCTGCTCTGAGACTTGATGAAGTTGATTTCAAAGCCTAAAAATACAAAAACAATACAACTTACTGATATATAAAGAGGGCAGGCAAGAAAGGGCAGGCAATGGCTGGGAGAGTCTTCTGGGAGCTCATAACTCACCCAAGCTGAGGGGCTGAGCCCACAGCCACCATGCTGCTTCTGGTACCAGTCCCACTTTCCCAGCCCTGGGAGGATCCCCAACCTGTACTAGTTGAGGTAGAGGCACAGGGACCCCATGGCTGGCCAACCATCACCTCCTAGCTGTTCCCTCCACCCATCCTTCCTCCTTGCATATTCAGTCTGCACGGGGCTGGTCTCTGCATAAGCCACAGCTGCCACGGGTCCCACACTGCTCAGGGTCTCAGATGTCCCTCCCACCCCAGATGAAATGTCTATTCCTTGACCCAGCTTTAAAAAGCTGCCACGCTGTCATCTGCAGTGGTGATGCCCTAGTCCCCAGTCACAGGCCCACCTGTTCTTCCTGTGTCAGGCCACAACACTTCCCCAGATTTGGAGCCCATCTCCCCCTCACTCAAGTCCCCCAGGCCTTCAGAGGGATTGCTCCCCCAATCCTCCCAAATCCAGCCAGCCAGCCACGCATACACGCCACCTCGGTCACAGCAGCTTCCTCTCCATGGAGCAAATGAGCCCTCCAGCACCTTCATACCCCACCACCTGCCTAACATAGCTGCCTCTTGAGCTCTTACTTCTTTTTAAAAATTCATTAAACATACTTTTGAATAAGTAGTATATTCATTTGGTTCAAAAGTCAAATATTGAGATGTAGTAAAAGTCTATTCCATCCCCTGCTTCCTGAGTTCCCACCTCCCCGCCCCACAACAGTTAATTACTGTTATTAATGTGTCTGCCCTGGCAGTTTCTGTACATGTTAACCTAATGAGAACATATTAACCTAAATGGGAACAAATATGTTCTCATTTTTTCCACTGGGGAACCCGTGTTTTAGCCTGTTTTATCATTAGGAATAATTATTAGTGCTGTTTTCCAACTCAATTTCTGCTTTTACCTTTTGAAATTCCCTCCTGCTTTCATTTAACTTGGGTTGACATGCTCAATTTGTTCTGTTTACTGATACGTAAGTCTACACATTTTCTCTGAGCATTGCTTTAGCTGTGAACCATTGGCTTTTCTAGTCTTTCATGATTTTTTTTTAGAATTGCTGTACTTTAACTCCAGAGCTGAAAGAAAGTTTTGTTGTTTTTTT